>NW_021159991.1:0-341066 GCF_000001405.40 Homo sapiens | reverse complement strand
GAATTCTTACGGGCATTTGGGGAATATATTTTCTGTTGAGTCCTATACTAGTAAGATTTTCAACACAAGGTGACTCTCGACCTCGCCTTGTAGGAAGAGTGCTGAGAAAATATTTCACCTGCTCTTTCTCCATAAAGAGCTGATACTGATCATTGCTATTTTCTTATTCGATCTGTAAAGATAGCAAAGACAAATGCTTAATATTTCATTTTTCCTTAAATGATTCTTAATGACTTGCAGTTTTTAAAAACTTACCCTGAGAGTAAACCAAATTACCCACTAAATAGTGTTTTCACAGAGAAGATGTGTAAGAGCATACCTGTTGTAAGGAATTATAATTTTAAAATCGTTCTAAAGAAGCACCATTGTTTCTAAGGTGATTTCTACTGAACAAGCAGTTCAAACAAAGTAGACAGGGAAGAGAAATGGCTATCAGTGATGTATGGCTCAACAGGTAAAACTTCCTGCCTTCTAAAATGGCTCTACTTGTAAGATTCTGAAGATTCCATTAGAAATACTTGTATTTAAAGGGTAATAATGTGGGAAAATGAATATATTGATTTGCTTGATTATAAGAACCACTTCACTAGAAATAATTATATCAAAACATCATGTTGTACTCCTTAATGTAGGTTAAGAAAACTAAAATGAACGAAAAAAAATCTAGGAATACTTGTGTTTAGTAAACCAGTTTTAGATTTCACTCTTGTACATTTCACCCATTATCTAGGACCAATTAAACATTTGGCACTGAGGAATAATTCAGAGCAACAACTCCTAGGGGAGAACTAGATTGTCTGGTTGGTGATCAAAAAGAACTAAAGCATCTCTGAAGGCAATTAGCCCCCAACACTGTGACCAAGGCCCTGGAGGTGGGGGCATGTTCTTTCTGCCTTCCACACACCGCTTCAGGCTGAACAAGGTGTTATTTTTTAACCGCTTTGTGAATTACACTTCTTTAAATTCCTGTGATAATTATTCCCTATTTCACAAGGGTGCCTTTCTGTAACATCTTGAATATGTTACACAAATAGTCTTTCTTGAGGCACCCTCTGGTGATAATACTAAAGATCACAATCAAAAACAATTGTGCCCAGAGTAGCAGTACCACTTTACATTTAGGTTGTGATCCACTGAAAAGTAAATTAAACACATTAATATTTCTATTTAGGGAAATTCTGACAAGTAATTTTATAACAAGATCACTTCATTAATTATAAAACTTCAAAAATACTTAGTGAAAAAAACTAATAGATCAGGTTAATTACATGAGACTTTTCAGGAAAAAAAGCCATACAAAAGCAAAAAAAAAAAAAAAAAATGAGAGGAGAGACAAAAACTATCTTTGACTAACATTTTAAAGGTAAAATTATTTACTAACATTATTTTTCAAAATTACATTGTCAAATTAGCATTCACTTCCTTCTAATCTCCTGAAGCCATCTCACTAAAAATTATGCTTTTGAAACAAATTAATGAGCTTAATTCATTTTCTATGAGTGTATGTTTTGACTTACTTAGTTAATTTTTTTGACATGGAACTGTTAGCTTTCAATGCTGCTGCAAAGCCTTCCTTATATTCTTCTAACTCAGTTGTAACCTCTTCATAAGCAGTTTTCATTTTGTAGAATTTACATTCCACATCTTTAAGTGTGAGTTCCTTCTTATTTAGTGAAGCTGTATTATATCCTTGTTTAACTGCTCTAATTGTTTTTTATATTGTGCTTGTTCCTAAAACAGAGGAAAAGAATACACTTTTAAAACAATTATAACCTAATTATTATGTTTGTTGCCTTTCATTTTGAGTCAGTGATTCAAAGAGCATTTTTGAATATGTTAAAAAAGAGGATGAAGTTTAAAATATTTCAGCAATATCAAAACTAATAACTGAATTCAGAATTAAGTCTGATTTGTAAAAATTTGAAATCATAATTATGCTAGTATTAATGTAATCTGGTCATATAAAAAGTAATAGCATCCATTCATAGTTTTAAAAAGTGATCAATGAACACTGTAGCTTAAGACCAATTCATAATTATCACATAATTTCTAAATCACAATTTTTTCCTATGCCAACTGGTCTTAATCATCAAATGACTCCATAATGAGAATCATTACTCTGAAAGATTGATTTTGTTATAATAATAATGGAAATTTAAATATTTAAAAGAAAAAACAGATACCATTTTTTTCTAGAACTCTACAAAGCAGATTGCTACAAGAGAGGCAGAGGAAACACTATATATATATATATATATATATATCCAAAATATAATTTGCAGTGAAATAAATGAAAGCACATTACAAGTAAACTTACCTGATTTAAACAACTCACCTGTAAATGGATTTCTTCTAATTTTTCTACTGCCTGCATTGCCCTTTCATCTAGCTCTGATTTATATTCTTGTAGTTTACTAAGTTCTACCATACTGTTTTCCATATGTGTCTTAAGATTTAATATTTCTTCTTCCAACATCTTTTTATCCTCCTCAAGTTTTTCACATTCCTGTTGTACTTTTTTCATAGATAATAACTTCTGTTGAAAAACTTGATTCTCTTTAGCCAAATTGACACATTTTGAAGATACAGCTTCCTTCTCCACCATAAGATCATCAAACTGCATGAATAAAATAGTATAGCTTGATAATGAAGTAGGCTGAGAATAATCTAATACAAAACCAATAGCAAATTTTGAAATGCATTTACTTGCAATAAAATGTTATCTGTAATGCAGCAGATTCTTCAAATGTGAACCCTTAAATTACTCAGAATTTTAAGAACAAAGTTAAAGCTACCATGAGTCATAAAAATATATTCTTTACTATCACCATCTTTGCCACAGAATTTTTGTACTTCATTTTACTTTTATTTTTCTGATAATTCATTTTTGTTCCTCCTTAAATGGCACAAAGTTATCTCCTAGTAAAAAGTGTCTAACCCCCTTCCTTCATTATTATTCCCCACAATATGTCAAAAAAAGTTTCAGAGATATCATATTGAGTTATTTAGGCCAAAGTCAATAAATGGGTCTAGGAATAAGATTTTGAAAATGATATTACACTCTATATTAGGCATGGTGGCTCATGCCTGTAATCCTAGCACTTTAAAAAGCTGTGGCAGAAAGATCACTTGAGGCCAGGAATTTGAGATCAGTAAGAGCAACATAGTGAGACCCCCCTCTCTACAAAAAAAAAAATTTTTAATTACCCGGGCATGGTGGCTCATGCCTGTAGACCCAGCTAGTTGGGATACTGAGGCAAAAGGATGGCTTGTACCCAGAGTTCAGGGCTGCAGTGAATTATTATCACTGCACTTCTGCCTGGATGACAGACAAAGACCCTATCTCAAAAAAAAATCCACAAAATAATGAAATCTATGATTAAGGATTCTGATGCTATAAGCCTTTCCTTAAACTGCAAATGTTTCATGCTAATTTGAATTGCATTTTAAGAAGTAATGATTCTTGGGGTAAAGACCATAGAATACGGCACCCAGAAATAAATCCACATATTTCCAGCCAACTGATTTTGGACAAACATGCCAAGAACATACGCTGGGGAAAGGACAGCCTCTTCAAATGAATGACACTGGGAAAACTAAATATCCATATGGAGAAGAATGATACTAGCTTCCTATGTAACACCATATAACAACATAAACTCAGAATCGATTGAAGACTGAAATGTAAGGCCCAAAATTATCAAACTACTCTAAGTAAATATAGGGAAAATGCTTGAGGACATTAGTCTGCACAAAGATTTTTATGGGTAAGACATCAGAAGCATAGGCAAACAACAAATCATAGACAAAAGACACTACATTAAGCTAAAGAGCTTCTGTCCAGCAAACAACTGAGCGAAGAGAAAACCTGTAGAATAGGAGAAAATATTGTCAAGCTATTCACCTAATAAGGGACTAATATACAAAATATACAAAAAAACTCAAACAACTTCACAGTAAAAAAAATCTGAGTTTAAAATTGGGCAAAATATCTAACTATACTTTTTTTTAGAAAAAGAAATACAAATAGCCAATAAATAAATTTTAAAATGCTCAGTATCACTAATCCTCAGGGAAATACAAATCAAATCTACAATGTGATATAATCTTGCTTCAATTTGAATAAATTGCTGTCATTGAAAATACAAAAAAATAACAAATGCTGGTGAGGCTCCAGAGAACAGTAAACTCTTACATGCTGTTGGTGGGAAGGTAAATTAGTGCAGCCGCAATAGAGAATAACAGGAGGTTTTCTCAAAAAAACTAATAATGGGACTGCCGAGGGATCCAGCAACCCCACTACCGGGTATTCAGGCAATAGAAAAGAAAACAATAGATCAAAAGGATATCTGTCCTCATATGTTTACTGTAGCACTATCCACAACAGCTTGTGTATGGAATCAACCTACATGTCCATCACCAAATGAATGGACGAAAAACTGTGGCACACAAACACAGTGGAATACTATTCACCGTATAAAGGAATTAAATCCTGTTATTCGTGGCCACGTGGATCAGTCTGACGGATGTTAAGTGCAGACACAGAAAGATAAATACTGCACATTCTTACTCATGTAAGGGAGCTAAAGGAAAATTGAAGGCTGGGCAATATGGCTGATGCCTGTAATTTCCTAGCTCTTTGTAAGACCAAGGCAAGAGAATCATTTGAGGCCAAAAGTTCCAGAGCTCCCTGGGCAACATAGGGAGATATCTCTACAAAGTCAAAAATCAGACATGTGCAATGGTGCATGCCCATAATGCCAGCTGCTCAGGAGACTGAGGTGTGAGGATCAGATGGGCCCAAGAGTTTGAAGCTGTAGTGAACTATGATCAAACCACTGTCTCCAGTCTGGGTGACTACAGTTGCCCAGAGTCCAGACTATACTAGCAAGACCCCGTCTCTTAACAAAAAAAAAGCTCACAGAAGTAGGGGAGGGGAGGCTGGTTAATGGATACAGAATTACAGTTAGATAAGAGGAGTGAGTTCTGGTGTTCTGTGGCATTGTAGGGTGAATATGGTTAACTATGACTTATTGTATATTTTTAAAAAGCCAGAAAATTTTGAATGTTCACAATTCAAAGAAATGAAAAATGGTTGAAGTAGTAAATGTGGTAGTTAGATTGATCATTACACACTATATACATGTATAAAAATATCACTCTATAGCCCACAATTATGTATATATGTGTCAATTAAAACAAAAGAGAAGCTACATTCATCCCATTTAAAAAACAGAATATGGGCCAGCCTTACTGACTTCCTTCTAATGAGTAGAATGTAGTGAAAGGGATACCATGTGGCTTCCCTATCTCAGACTGTTTTCCCTTGGAACCCTGCCCCAATTGTGAGAGCCATCAGGCCACAAAGAGAGCCTGAAAGTGCCTGTGTCAGTGTTCATGCTGCCTGTCCCAACCAAGTTTACAGCCGATGGCCAGCATCAACCATCAAACAAGTGGGTGACCAAAGCTTCAGAGGATTCCATTTCCCCAACTGATCAGCTGTTCCTAGGGAAGCTGAAGGGAGCAGAGACAAGCTGTCTTGGCCAAGTTTTTCCCCAACCACAGGTTCATGAACAAAATAAATGTTTTTCTTTCAAGCCACAAGACTCTGGGTAATTGTTAGGAAAATAAGTTTTAAAAAGAGACAACAGGAAACATAACTTATGCAGCAGAAAAGAGTCTCCTTTAAAGCAGGATCTAATAAAGGTTGATATTTATTGATGTCAAACATTATTGAGAAGCAGTAGATAACCAGGAGAGAGACATAAGCTGCTGAGGAGGAATTTTCCTAAAACAACTTCAATTATGAACTCTGATAACAAGGCAAGGGTGTCTTCTTACAATTTCCCCTCAAGTTAGGAAGTAAGACTGGGAAGCAAGAAGATGTATGATTTGAAAAACAACTAGAAATACTGGGTGACATAGGCAAAATCAGACATTTACCTGATTTCAATTAACTAAAATTCTAAAAGAAGAAGTTTTGAGTATTTATTAATCAACCTAGTATTCAATTTTCATTTTCTTTTCTAAATGAGGAAATAAGGAGAATATTATGGAATGATTTTTATTCTTCACAGAAGTAAAATAAGCATAGTGTGTTTTGAGTGTTAAGACACAAATGCGATTTCTCCTTTACCTTACTCCAAGCTTGTTTGTATGGAGAAGTAAAAACCATCCCATCTCTATGTTATGCCACAATGCTTCTCTATAGCACACAACTTGGCTCTGAAATTTTGAAACTCAAAATACTAATCTACTATGTGTCTCTGATAAATTGCCTGAACGTTACCTGATTTTGAAGTGCTGCACTCCTAAGACTTTTTCTTGGAATGAATTAAACGTTTTATTCCAAGAATCCTCTACTGAGCTAGAAAGCAGAGCTGTGCATCTCTGTTTCAGTAAAAGGAGGTCAATACAGGGAACTGTGGTTTCTGAGAATGCAAGATCTGCACTAAGAAAAGGATTAGCCACAGTGCTACCCAAGAGAACCAGCTACCAGGAGAAAAGAGGGTCTGTAAACTGCAAGATGATGACTTCACTTGATTTCCACTGAGGAAAGCTGGTGGCTCAGACTTAAACTTCTCCTTCCTAGATGGTAAACATCTATGGAAGGTTCTATGAATTATAATGAGTTAGTAAAACATAATGCACTGAATATTAGACTATGTCAGCAGATCCTGTAACCAAAACTTACTGAAAATATAACTATAGTGGGAGGTAATGGAAAAGAGACTAAAGGCTTGAATGGAGAAAAAAAGAAATTAAGTGTGTCTTGTAAGCCTGGCGTCTGATCATGTCTTAGAGGAAGTAAGGTATAAGCTGGCCAGAGACTCCTTTGTGACACAAAATGTGAAGTTACAGACATTCCACTAAATTTAATTTTTATTATGACATAAGATAACTGGTAATATGCAACATGATTGAAAAAAACTTCTCATTCAATTCGATTGGGCCTTGACATAAGAATAGACATAAACAAGCTAAGAATTGACAATCTAAAAATAAGCCTGCACTTTTACAGTCAATTGATTTTATACAAGCTTAACAAAAGAACAAAATGGGAAAAGAATAGTCTTTTCAACAAATGGTGCTGGGACAACTGGGTATCCATAAGCAAAAAATAAATAAAGTTCGACCAAATATCTTATTTAATAATTAACTCAAAATAAAATAGTTAACTGTAAAAGCTAAAACTATAAAACCCTCAGAAGAAAACACTGGCATAAATCTTTGTGACTGCATTTGCCAGTGTTTTCTTAGCTATGACTCCAAAGGAAAAATGGATTCAATGGACTTCAAAATTGAAAACTGCTGTGCCTCAGAAGACAGTATGAAGAAGTGAAAAGGTAAGACGCCAAGTAGAAGAAAGTATTTGAAAAGCGTGTATCTGATAAGGGACTTACATATATAGGAAATATAAATAACTCTTGCAATTAATAAATAACAAGATAAGCCAATTTTAAAAAATGGGCAAAGATTTTGAATAGATATATCTGCAAAGAAGATATAAAGATGGATAAGCACATTAATAGATGCTTAATGTAATTAGTCATTAGGAAAATGTAAATCAAAACCACATGTGGTATCACTTCACACCACAGGATAAAATCTTTGTTCAAGAAAAAAGAGTGTTAGGAAAAATGTAAAGAAATTAAAACCTTTATCTAATGCTGCTGGGAATGTAAAGTGATGCAGCCACTTTGGAAAACAAACTGGCAGCTCCTTAAAGGGTTAAGCATGAAGTTACCATATGACACAGAAATTCCAGTCATAAGTATATACTCCAGAAAAATAAAAACATACGCAAACACAAAAACTCATACATAAATGTTTACAGCAGCATTATTAATAGTAGTCAAAAGGTGGAAAGAACCAGAACGTCTGTCACCTTTGGGTGGGAGAGAACCCAAAGGTCCATCACCTGGCGAATGGATAAATAAAATGTTTGATGTATCCATACAATGGAATATTACTCAGCAATAAGAAGAAATTAAGTACAGATACCGTATTAGGAGGAGACAGCAAAATGCCTAGGCAGATACGGAAGGGTCCCCGGAGAATCTCCAACCAGCCCCACAAGTGTTTACACCAGATGTTATGTGCAGATAAGGGAACCTGGACTTGTCTTGCCTGGACATGCCCACAGCAGACCGGAGGCCCACATGCAGTGGGGGGATGGGGTGGAGTCACCAGGAATTCACGCCTTATGCAGAGGAGGAGCCTGGCCGCTTCAGCTCATGTGATCCTGGTATTCAATTGTGAGGTGGAAACCTCTTTGCAGGACCCCTCTCTTTGCTGAGAGCTGTCCTTTCACATAATAAATTCTGCCCTCCTCAATGTGTCTGCATGCTTAATTTTTCCTGGTCACGAGAGAAGAACCCAGATGTAGCTGAACTAAGGAGCAAAAACCCGGCATCAATACCTGCTACAGCACAGATGCAGCATGAAAAATTATGCTAAGTGAAATAAGCCAGTCCCAGCAGACCACTTGCTTTTTATTTCAGAGGCTTATAGGCAAATCTATACAAAGAAGGTGGGTGGTTCCCTAGGGCTGAGGGAGGAAGGGAAAGCTAGTGAAGATGGCTAAATGACGTGGGGTTTGTTTTTAGGGTGATGAAAATGTTCTAAAATTAATTGTAATGATGATGGCATAGCTCTCTGAAAATACTAAAGTTAATGAATTCTATACTTTAAATGAGTGAATTGCATGGCGTGTTCATTATTTCTCAATAAACCTGTTACCCCCCACCCCAAATTAATTTGGTACTAGAGATCTGCAGATAGGTACTGCTTGGTTTCAAATCACTGGCCAGGGTTCAAGGTCTAAGAGAATCAACAACATGTCCTTTTTATAGAAAAAGAGATTTATATTTTACAAGCTATCCTTTTCATTAGTATCAAGTCTGTAAAATTCAATGAAAAATCTTTCTTTCACTGCTTAAAGCACTGACAGATTTATATAGAGGAATAACACCTTGTTTTCCTTGGCCCCAATTTCTATCTAAAGGTCTGGGAAACACACCCTTCAAACTATCAAATCTCATCAGATGGGTTTTATTAACACTTATAATGTGGCTTCCTTTCTAATCTGATTCTGGTGCAGCATCACAGAGAGAAGAAGCTGAAGGAAATCAAAATATTTTACCCCCAAATATATTTTTTGACGTATTTTGAAATGGCTGCTGCAGGGCCAAGAGATTGAAATGGCCCTCATTAAGGTAGCCCAATCTCTCCCCTTCTAGGTCTTCCCAGATCTGGGGAAGATTAACTAAGAGCCTGAGGCATTTAAAGTTTGAAAAGATATATTTACCCTCTATTTTCTCAACATATTTTGGCAGAATTTGGATTTTTCCATTATCAATATTTTCCAAAATGCATGATTTTTAATACCAAAACTGATTTAAAATTACCATACTTTGGAATATAAATTATTCTATAAAGATACATGCATTTGCATGTTCACTGCAGCACTATTCACAATAGTAAAGACATGTAATCAACCCAGATGGACATTATCAGTGATAATGGGATAAAGAAAATGTGGTATATATACACCATGGAATACTATGGAGCCATAAAAATGAATGAGATCATGCTCTTTGCAGGGATATGGATGAACCCGAAGCTGATATCTTCAGCAAACTAATGCAGGAAGAAAAAACCAAACACTGCATCTTCTCACCTATAAGTGGGAGCTGAACGATAAGAACACATGGACTCGGGGAGGGGAACAACAAACACTGGGGCCTGTTGGGGTCAGGAGGGAGAGCATCAAGATCAATAACTAATGCCCACAGGGCTTAATATCTAGGTGATGGATTGATAGGTGCAGCAAACCATCATGGAACACGTTTACCTATATAAGAAACTTGTTGGCCAGACTGGTCTTGAACTCCTGACCTCATGATCTTCCTGCCTTGGCCTCCCAAAGTGCTGGGATTACAGGTGTGGCCACCATGCCTGGTGGCTATTTCTCTTTTTAAATTCTCTCAGGACTCCTAAAATCTCAAAACTTTGACCTAGATTCCCTAATCTACATTTCCAGCTCTGACCATTTTCTTGAGGTCTCTTCCTTCTAGTACACATATTATAGAAAATATTCTCAACCACATGCTCATACATTGCTAATTGGTGCAGATTACTTTTGTAGATATAGTGAATGTTGTCTATTTTATGTTGGTTCTCATTAATGTTACTTTGAGTATACTGTTATTTTCTAATCTCAAAGGGGTACTATCTCACTGTTATGATACTAACCAGTATACTTTGTCCTTTTTTTCTTGCTTTCTTCTTTTTTGGACCAGTATACTTTGTCCCTTTTTTGTTTTTCTTTTTTTCTTTTTTTTGAGATGGAGTCACACTGTGTCATCCAGGCTGGAGTGCAGTGGCACCATCTCGGCTTACTGCAACTTCCACCTCCTGGGTTCAAGTGATTCTCCTACCTCGGCATCCCAAGTAGCTGGGACTACAGGTGCACACCACCACACCTGGCTAATTTTTCTATTTTCAGTAGAGACAGGGTTTCACCATGTTGGCCAGGCTGTTTTTGAACTGCTGACCTCAGGTAATCCACGCACCTCAGCCTCCCAAAGTGTTGGGATTACAGACGTGAACCATGGCACCCAGCCCTCTTTTTCTTTTATGATGAAAACTTTCCCATGAGAATCATATTATCAATTGTTTGCCTTTGTTTTCTTTTAAAGAAATTCCTTTTCCGTAGAGATATGGCATGATGAAAGTCTTGTTCTAAAGTTTCTTTTGGGGGACACTTAACTATGTCATTGGGAAGCTTCAGTAAGTAGAGATCTCCCTTCTTCTCACTCAAGATTCTTCATCTCAAAATGGTGTCCACCAAATGTCTTAATCCAGGTAATCGCTTGTTTAGAAATTCATGAAATAAGAACCTTCTCGAGAAGTTGGAGGCTATTGATTGAGATGGTTTAACGCTGCCCATTATATGTTTTACTCCCAAGGTAGACATCAAAGTGGCTAATAATTCTATGACTGATGTCTAACTCACTTCTATGGGAATCTATACAAAACTTTTTATTTATGAGACAGAGTCTCCCTCTGTTACCCAGCCTGGAGTGCAGTGGCTTGATCACTGTTCACTACAGCCTCAATATTCCAAGCTCAAACGACCCTCCTACCACAGCCTCCCAATGTAGCTGGGACTACAGGCGTGCACCACCATGCCTCAGATAAGTGTTTAATTTTTTTTTTTTTTTTTTTTTTTTTTTTGAGACAGGGTCTCACTATATTGCTCTGGCTGGTCTCAAACTCATGGGCTCAAACGATCCTCCTGCTTCAGCCTTCCAAAACCAGGTGTTTAACTGGGGACTAACATGAAACACTTAGAAGACTACGTGGAACACAGTGAGCTACATAAAATATTTGCTATTAGCATAATAATTTTATTGTATATCTTAACAAAATTGTGTATTTTAGGCAGGTGGCATGCCAATGGAAGTACTCTCCTATAGCTGCACTGAATCATTCTTACCACTGAGAGTTGCAGCAAATGGGGGACATAATTTATAACTTACTTTTCTCTCTGTATGACTCATTAGGCAATGACTATGTATGTACTACAATGTAAACAGCACCTCCTGGATTGAATAGTACATAACTGACATGACCAGCAGAGACAGGCTAAAGACACTGAGCTGAAAACCCTG
This sequence comes from Homo sapiens, assembly GCF_000001405.40. NCBI lineage: Eukaryota > Metazoa > Chordata > Mammalia > Primates > Hominidae > Homo > Homo sapiens. Next base: position 329,388 of record NW_021159991.1, on the reverse strand, counting down.
GACTCTATTGCTAAATCAAGGCTCCTGAATCCGTTCCCTCTGAGCAACTGTTGCTGTGGTGCTGCCTTCACAAGCACTCTGCTGAGCACTCAGATTGAGGGGCTGTGCTATCCGTCATCGGACAAGCTGCACCCAGAACTGTTCAGCTGACAAACTGGGAGCAGTCCAGAAATACAGTTCTGCTGCATAGTGAAAAAAGGCCAATTTAGATTCTTTTTCATAGAGAGAAAAACATAAACATGTGATTTAACAAGTCTCCTGTATTAGACTAATTGGTTTAGATTTAATATTTAATTGCTAAAAACACACTTAGAATATAAACCTTACTGTGTCAAGGTCTCAAAGAAGAAATAATTGGTATGGTATAAAGTATTGAATTGTATGCTACAAACTTCTAAGCTAAAATATTTTCAATGTATGCAAGGATAGGTGGCATACATATTATATATTATTCCCCCATTAAGCAAATTTATAATGAGAGAAAATTATCTTCCATAAAAAAGCCATGTAAAATTAAGAACTAAGTTTTTCTGCACAGACTAGACAATGATTGCTAACACATAAGGTCAATGAGAGAACAGTCAGAGAAAGCTTCATGAAAACAATAAATTGTCTGCCACGTCTGAGTGAATGAGGCTAGATGAACAGAAACTGAGAAGGTAGAAAGAATAGCATGAGCAAGATAAGTGCTGAAATCTGCCCAATTAACTCTGAGGATAAGGTCCAATGGCAGAGAAATAAAAACCCATGTCCACATAATAACCTGTAAGTGAATGTTCACAGCAGCGTTTTTCATAAGAGCTAAAAAGTGGAAACTAACTTAAAGGTCCATCAACTGATGAATGAATGGAAAACCAGTATAGCCATGGAATAGAACATCATTTAACTATAAGAAGAAATAAACTACCAATGTGTGCTAAAACATTATGCTAAGTGAATTCTGAAAACATTATGCTAAGTGAAAAAGCCAGTCACAGAGGACTATGTATTGTATAACTCTATGTATATGAAATAAGCAGAACAGGCAAACATATGGAGACAAAAGTAGATAGATGGTGGTTGCCTACAACAGAGGTAGGTGGAGGGACATGGAGGAAGGCTGCAGTCATGCCTAGGAGATGTGGGGTTGCTTTTCAGGGTGATGAAAATGCTGTGAATATACTAATAGATACTCAGTTGTACATTTTAAATGGTTGAACTCTCTCAAATGTGAATGATATCTCAGTGAAACTGTTTTTAAAATCCAAAGGCAGGATCAAGATAATTTTCTCAACTCTCAATTTTTGATGTACATGTTATCTCAAATTTAATTATTTCCACAGTTTTATAGTATATTTTAAATAAAAGATAAAGAAAATGCCTAACTTTTCAAATAGTTTGTAAATTAACCTAAAACATGCACTTTTAAAAGAATAGTATAATGGCCTTTCTGTACAAGTTAACCTAGAATCTGTGAAATAAATAGACACAGATTCTGTGTCCACTCACAAAAGTGAAGAAATAAGACAATTTTCTGGAACATTCCATGAAACATTCTTCTCTGATTTAATCTGGCCCGCCTCATCAGAGCAATACAAAAATTACTTAAAAATACTGTTTTAACAGGACAAAAGTCAGTTTTCTATGAGGAATGATGTATAATTCTCAACTTTTCCAAGGGTACATATTGTAAGAGAAAAGATATGCAATGGTTTTTCAAAATGGTAGAATGAAAGTCACTATATAAAAAAATAAGTACATTATAGAGATAGTAAAATGGAAATAATTCATTGTAATGAAAATAAAAAATCAAGCTTCTGCCATAATTAGTATCCTAAAACATGTTATGTAATTCAACTAGCTACAGAATAACAGTTGACATGCTAAGTTCCATACATACTTGACTTTCCACTTGAAATAATTTCTTTTTTGGGACCTGTGTCTCATCCAAATTAATGTGATAATGTGATATGCCTTCCAGTGGAGACTCTAACATAGTTAATTTTTTTAGGCTGTCAGCCGCTTCTTGTTGAAGTTGTCTCACAACCACCTGAGAAAATATTTTTGTTACTGATTTTATAAATTGCCTTATTATTAAATTATGTTAATAATATTTAACTCTAACATACCTACTTTGAAAATTATCACCACACATATCAATTCACCTTCTTTTAATCACATGTACACATTTTTATTTATTACTGAATTCAGTGAGGGATGCACAATATGTTCTCTTCCTGCCAAGTTGGTTTTCTCTTACCTACATAACAGATTCATCCCACCATTCAATCATCTTAGAAGCTCAACTCAACCTCAAAGTTCCTGACATATTCAATCACCTGTTCAAATCCTTCCAACAGATTCCTATCTCAGAATAAAGGTAAAATTCCCATGGCCTTTGAGGTCCTAGGTAAACAGGTCTCTACCTCTCTCTCTGACTTCAAAGCTCCTTCAACTCCCTCCTGTAATTACTCCATTCCCACTGTACGTGAAGCCTGCCACCCCTCAGTCTGAAAATAGGGATCTAATGCCTTACTCATAAATCACAGGCAGCTACAAGTATCTTTGTACTGAACAAAATTATATTCCAATGATAGTCATTGAGCCTTGAAATAAAAATTAGGAGCTAATTATTAATATAAATATTCAAAGTAAACTATAAATACCAGTGGGAAGACTAAACCAAATATAGTTTTGCTAAATATTACCACATGTATCCTAAATTATGATTTTATAACAAGTAGGTGCCTTTGAAACATTACATAGTCATAAAAATATGTAATTTGACATATTTTCAGATTTGTTAAATTAATATGATTAATAACAAAGATATACCAACTAAAATACATAAAAAGCTACTTAAAGCAAGGTATCACAAGACACAGCAATACACTTCAGTTCATCTGGGAAATCTAGAATTAAGTGTTAAAGAAAATCAATTAAATTTTAATTTGAAAATACTCATTTCAGGTGTAAACATTTCCATTTATACTTACATTATGGTCTTAACATGTGGCAACATAAAGTCATTAAAATTATTATTTCAGCAGCACAGAACTATCTACCTTAAAATATGACTCTGTCCCTAATAAAATTTCATAGGTGACACAATGTCTTTTCTCAAAGTAAATCATCTCTCACCTCTACCTTTTATTTCCTAGAAATGAGGCACGTTTCTAAGCTGGTATAGTAAACACGGTTTTCCTTTTTTTTATTAAAACAGCTTTGTTCAAATATAATTTACATACTATAGAATGTATCTGTTTTAACTTAAAGTTAAAAGATTTTTTAGTCCATTTACTGAGTTGTGCAGCCATCTCTACAATCCAACTTTACAGCATTTCCATCACTGCAAGATCCCTCACTCCCATTAGCAGTCACTACCAGCTTTCAGCCCCAGCCCTTTGCAAACATTAGTCTACTTTTTGTCCCTATACGTTTATCTTTTCTGGATGCTTCATGTAAATGGAATTATACAGTATGGTAAACACACTTTTTATCCATTGATTTTTATATTCAACTAAGTTCAACATGTATCCAGAACCAAATGTTTAAATTTTCTTTCTAAAAGTTTGAAAATATTTATCTTCCTTGATACTTACTACTCTTTCTGCTTTCTCTCTCTCATATTGAAAGAGACTTTCTTTTAAATGATCACATTCATTCATTAGCTTCTTATTTTTCTCTTCTAGCATGAGGTCTTTCTTTCCACTCTCAATAAAGCCTCTTTGGATATTAGTTACTATCTCTTTATGATCCTCTTTCTGATGAACATCATCTAGTTGCTGTTCAATGCACGGATTTTCATGTTGGAGATGACATATCCTCTCTTCTACACAGCTCCACTTTCCAGTGGAATTATTCACTTTATCTTCTGCATTTTCATACATCTCTTTCATTTCCTTTATTTGCTGCTGTGTTTGGCTTAGGTCGTTTGGAGAGTTTCTAAAGCCGATGACTTTTTTCTGAGAGTATCTCTTTTCTTACGGAACTTATCTTTTAAGGTATTGAGTTTAATTTGCATTTTAGAAAGTTGTTCAGTAAGAAACTCATTCTTATCTTCTACTTCGGAAATATCAGAACTCATTTTTACTTGTACGGAAACGTCTTGTGTTCACTCTAATGCAAGTTTTAGGTTTCTTTCTGTTTTCACACTTTCACTGTGTTTACTTATAGCAGCAGTCAGTCTAGACTGATGATTCAATTTCAGCTTCCAGTCTTTTGTTGCTTTCTTCTTCCTTCAACAGTTCGGAATTGAGCCTTGTATTCTCAGCTTTGAGATCATTAAGCTCTTGTTGATACCGGAATGCTGTTTTTGTTATCAATTCCTCATTGAGTTTTATATACTTTTCAAGGGCAGCATTTGTTTTTTTAACAATTTTAACGTCCTTAAGATATTTATTTTCTTTTTCCACATTGTCATTTTTCATTGTGCATATTTCCTGTCTGAGTATAGCAATATCTGTCTTCAAAATGCAATTTTCATCCATCAGATCTTTCATTTCTTCCTGATTATGAAAATCCTAAATAAAACAAAAGAAAGTTTTAGCTAGTATGCAATAAAATAACATATCATGATTACCTCCGAAGTTAAAGAGTAACCTGCACATCCATATACTAAAAAGGTTACTGTAAGTGGATATCCAACTGGAGAAAAAGTTGAAGCAAAACTTTGAACCTTATAGAGCATAAGTTCCAAAAAGTTCAGAAATTTATTTAAAGTCAATGAATTTATAAAAGTAAACACACACACACACACACGCACACCAGAGAATTTTTAAGAATTTCAGAATTAGAAAAGCATTTCCCTGAATTACAACAAACTCAAAAGCATAAATTAAAGCATTAACAAATTTGACTAAATTAAAATATATCAAAAAATTGCATTTACACTTTGATATCTAACCCTTACACCACCCTATAGTAAGAACTTTACTTCACATGTATTTGGACAGATAAAATTTCCCAGAGTTACTACAGTTCTATTTCACTGATAACATTCTATTTCAATTTGACTCTTTTAACACTTTTATAGTCAGTTGTAAGAATTACATTTACTAAATCATAAATCTAGACATTATACTAGTCACTCCTATATACATTCATTGATGAACTCATCTAGTTACCAGAATTTTGAAAAAGAAATGTTAAAAATATAAGCAAGATACAGGATTTTCCCCAGGACTTCTGACTCTACTTCTAGTTCTCTGACAGATCACAGTTACTTCTGTGGTGTAAATGTATCAATACGAAAGAAAACTTTTATTTCAAAACACCAATGGTAAATAAGATAAAATTTATAGAGCTCTTCTTAGAATATCATGAGATTATTTGTGATTGCAATAATTTGTTTCCTCTTTATAGTATTAGGTACAGTAATCAATATGAAATAGCGGGAAGTACAAGGAACAATTTTACTGGGAAAAAAATCTTTATCAATAGGTTATCACTAAGTATATATTATGGCATATTATTGTTTTCAAAAGCTCTTTGTAATAAAATAATATCCTATGTGGATGCCAAGATTTATAATAAATATTAATAATTGTACCTGTAAGTGTCATCATTCATTTTTTGAAAATGAGATAACATTTCTGGTTTGTTTTATACCAAAATATTATATATTAAATCAAGAGGATATTATAAGTAACATTGATAAAATAAAGTTTAAAATATAGAATTTTTAACAAAGATTGATTTATCTGATTTGGAGTATTTCTTGTAGTCTTCAGTTTCATCTCTAGTGATTGAACAGTTGGTTCAAGTTGTTTTGCTTCAACTTCTTTCTTATATTGTTTCTCTTTCCTTTCTAATTCTTCTCTATTTTTTTGTACAGCATATTAACATTTGTTTTTTCTTCACTTTCTTGTCTTAAGATGCATCTGCAGATAAAGACATTTATCTTAAAATTCATTTTGTTAAAAAACAAAGAGATCATCCTGTGATCTACCTCTGCAGATGCTCTTTATCATCCTAATAAAATTTCTATGTTCTGGATTATTTTTCCTTTGTAGTTCTCAGATATTTAATTTCTCACTTCAACATCTTCAAACGAATGTATATACTTGAAAAGTAGTAAGGAAAGAATATTCTGCTAAAGTTTTTGTTACTAGTCACTCTAGTATGTATTATAAAAAAGGATACTGGAAATAATTCAGTATAGTTAGAAGTTCAAAATTACCTTTTCAAATCACACAGTCATAATTACTCCCCGATTAGAAAAGGTCATTTACAATCAACTGAATTTTTAAAGTTACTATTTATTGACAAGCGTATAAGTTCACTAGAAATAAATTTTCATCTCTATGAAATATTGTAGGTGTCTCTCCAAATGATTTACAGAGTAAGATGTGTCTCACACAAACTATATCTGCAGATGATTGTCATCTAAAACTAGGCTAAAGAGTATAACATCTGTTACCCCACACTTTTTATAATTCTTTCTTAATACTTCCAATTCACCTTCTTATTACATATATTTTATATATTTATTAAGCTATTGTTCATTATGTGTAATATATAATTAATGCCCTTAATAAGTGTGTGTATGTTTACACAAGTTATGTTTTCCTGTGAAATCTAGTCCCAGAAGTGGAGTTGTTGAGTTAAAGGGATGTCAGGTTATTTGAAATTTTGATACACAGCACTAAGTTACCATTCAGAAATAATTTACCAATTTCATATACCAACAGTGTATGAGAATGCCTTTTTCCTCACATTTTCAATGGTAGTAATTACTTTTTCAATATCAGCATGACTTTACAAAATATATCTTATTTTATGTTAATTTGTATTTTTCTGATTACCAGACAGGGCTAAATATCCCTGGTAAAACTATAAAACTTGTTAATCATAAGGAACATTAGTCCAATTTTGAATTAGTTTATAGCACAATGACAATTATCTGCTGAGAAATACTGCTGTAGGTGGCCAGGCACGGTGGCTCACTCCTGTAAACCCAGCACTTTGGGAGGCCGAGGTGGGCAGAACACCTGAGGTCAGGAGTTCGAGACAAGCCTGGATAACATGGTGAAACCTCATTTCTACTAAAAATACAAAAAATTAGTTGGGCATGGTCGCACATGTCTGTAATCTCAGCTACTAGGGAGGCTGAGTCAGGAGAATCACTTGAACCCAGTATGCATAGGTTGCAGTGAGCTGAGAACACACCATTGCACTCCAGCTTGGGCAACAAGAGAGAAACTCCATCTCAGAAAAACAAACAAACAAACAAACAAACAAAAACACACTGCTATAGGCTTACTTACCTATCATGCTCTTCCTTCAGTTTCTTGGGAAATTGCTGAGGATACGTTTTCCCAACCTTTCTTTGTTTGGTTAATCTGTCAGCAGCAGCAGAAGATGTACTATGACATACATTTTCTGATAGTTGTATTTTTTCACTTTTGTTTGTATTATTTCCTTCTTTGACCTTTAATAAAAGTAATATGAATAATAATTATTATTTTATTCAATAAAAAAACTTTTTCCCTGATTTTTTCACTTGATTCAGGTTAACTATCACCATTTTAATGATAAAAGTATTTTGTGCTTACTTTAATTTTATCATTATACATAATAATTATAAGACACTTATCATTTTATCATTGAAATTTTTGTCAAGTCTGCTCATTTCTGTTTGAGTGAATGGAATAATTTTCCAAAATTTCAAAAAGGACTCTTCTCCATTTTGTGCTTTTATTCGCATCCACTCTTTGCTATCTGATATAAATGTTTATGCTATCTGACTGGCAGAAACAGAGAAATAAAAAGACACAGGCATAACATATATCTTCTGTCATTGCCACCTGGATTTTACATGAAATAGCCAGATTAAGAGGATGTGACCTTGTAGGCCTTCAGGAAGAGTAAAGAAGTTTTCCCTTTTCTGCACTGAGCTATTCTTTTCCCCACTGCCTTTTATCTCTTTTTTTTTTTTTTTTTTTGGATCCTGGGATATCAAAAAAGTGAAAGTTCTCCCTGAACTATGGGAACCAATGTTTGCCACAACACAAGAAGCAGAGTGAAACTGCTGAGTTTCTAATGCAGAATTCTGGAAAACGAGATGCTTCCCAGATTTCACATTCAATTACCACAAACGTTTATAGGTGGAAAACATATGGTACAGCTAACTACTTTAGCCCCATTATCTACTGAAAATGGGAGTCAAACCAACCAAGACATATGAAATGTTTCATCCAGAGCTCTTGAGGTGGCATTCCCTAGCATTTCATGGCACCAAATAACATGATACAATTCCATATTGCTCAATTACATAAATTACCAGATAAATTTATCAAATTAGTCAGATATATTAAAAGTCTAACTTGAGCAAAGCAATTTAACACCTCAGAGGGTGGAAAAAGGCGTGGAAAAAGGCCTCATCTGCTTTTACTTTGAAAGAAGAAAATCTCTAGATTTTTGTCTATCTTTAGAACACAATGTACAGAACTCAACTTTCTACTAAAGAGTCAAAGGCTAAATTTTTAGCTAAGAAATTATGCTTCTTTCTTACATGATAAAAATCATACATGCCAAAACTTACCATACTTTATTAAACAACATAATGTAAGGTCTGATTCAACAGAAATATTGGAGTGGTGATTTTTTAAAATATGTGGAAGTATATATTTGTTTTCAAAATATTGGAAATAACCATGATGGAACTATAAATTCAAACAGTTTGAGCTAAGCAGATAAACTGGCGTGCATGAAAACACATTAAACAGACTCATTTGGCTGGGAATATTCATTGCAACTCTCAAGGCTAGACGTGTTTTTGTGGCTCATCTCAGTCATTGCTTCCCTCCCATTGTATTCCCATTCTATCATTAAATAAATGTAATTCATCTCTAAATGAATACAGAAAAAAAGAATCTAGAATGTAAAGCTTATTTCTTTAGCAATTTCTTTATGTTGATCTGGTTCAGAAGGTCACATGGTATATGGCTGAATTAGTTTCCCAGCTCATATGCCACTTGGAAGACTGAGAGTGAGACTTAGGTTGATTAATGAAGAAACATTATGAGAACATTCTCCAGAACCGTTGTTTAGATAGCAGGACTAATCTACTTTGACACATGATTACACATTTAGAAAACCCCGCTGTAACTGTACACATGAGATTTTCTTGAATAGAAAATTTGACTAAATCAAATAATTGATAAAGAGAAAAAAGAAGCAGCAAGTGAACCTCTGTCTTTTTGAAGTTGGACTTTCTCTTTCTCCAAAGCCAGGAACTCTACTTGTAACATGCCTACCTCATTCTTTTTACTATTATTATACTTTAAGTTCTGTTACATGTGCACAATGTGCAGGTTTGTTACATATGTATACATGTGCTATGTTAGTGACCTTGGAATATCTTGCTGTAAGTCTTCTAGCTATATTTTTGATGTTCTCTCACTATGTGGCAAAGAATAACCCGCATTTTATAATTCAAGATTCATGGTTTTGTAGTTATTAACACTGGGATTGTCATACAGCGGCTTCTGGAATAAGCACTGTGTTGGTTTTCTGTTTTTATAAGTATCTGTAGCAGCAGAAATACTGTGACTTTCTATCTGAATCATATGCTTCATTTCTTTGGGGTGGGTAAACCACAAATCAAAAAGACTTTCTGGATCTCTAGACTGAGACCAATGCCTAATTTCCAATTAGTGGTATTTGGGTTTATATATTTTTCCATTTGCATGTCAAACTCTTAATCATCTTTCATTTCAATCATAATTACTGGGTTCCTTACTTTTTCAGTTTCTATATCATAACAAAAATTTCCATCATCTGTGTTAGAAACAAGCTGTGTGTCTGGTTTGTTATCATTTTTATAGTCTGATTTATTTTAATTTAAATGAAGCTTAGAAGATGACTGGTAAGTGTATTTCAGGGACCTGGAGTGTGAATGGAATAAAAAGATATTTGACATGGGCTTCCTCTGTTCAGGCGCTGCCTGGACTGCCACAGAGCTAGACCCTCCAGATACATTTTTCTCCTCACAATCAGGGACATGATTCATCAGACTAGAGGGCACTCCTTTTTTGTTCATCCCTCTTTAGAGTTACCATGTAGGAGCTCTTCCTCAGGGCAAGCAGTAATTTTGGAGTTTTCAGAACTTTTACCAATATTCAGCTTGAACTTGTTTGTAATGAATTTTAAAGAAAGTCATGAATATATAGATTGATTCCCTTTATCACTGTTCTTACCCAGTTCTGGTTCTTGAGACTTTTTTTGGTGGGGGGCAGGTGCAAAATGGAAAACAAATTTGCTTGTTTTGTTTCTCAGATGTCTTTTCTGTCAGAGTGCATGTTGTAAAATTAGCTTTAATCAAGTATAAACAAAGAAATATTAGAAAATAATTAAAATTTAACTGTGAAACTTAATCTATGTGTTGCTACTCTTAAATTATGGGATTGTAACTAAAAAGTGAAAAATAATTTGCCTTGGCTTAACATAGGACAGAAACATGAACCAGCAATCTGAACTCTCAGTGTCTGTTTGGACTAAACTTAATGCATTTGTGTAAAATCTACCAGAAATGAATTCAAAGATGATAGGTAGTATTATAAAAGCTTCCTCTCTTACAAAGACTTTACCTCAGCATACCAGAAAGAGTGAGCCCCTACAGTGCATGTTTATTTCTGAAGATTAACTAGAGCACTAGGCAAACACTAAATTATTAAGAGCTAAACTGAACACCAGTAAGAAAGAGAAGCAAAATTTTAAATTCTAATTCAAATGTTATACTATGATAGTGTTATGTATCTAGATAGAATTTCTGCTTATATCCACTTCTAATATATTTTAAGTTCCGGTAGTGATAGGGTTTGGATTTTTTAAATTTTAGTAATGCTTACTATGTATTTATGTTGAAATAAAGTTATTGTTCACACCCTGACACCAAAGGTCCCATTCTGCAAGGTAGGATTCTCTTAATAGGCAACTGCATTGACTTTTATGACCCCATTCACTCCCTGAACACAGACACAGAAGTCAACTGGTGACCATAAAACAGAATAAATCTTTAACCTCGGCACTGGTGACCAGCAATATAAAACTGCAACATTTGAAGCACTGGCAATGATGACTCCTTTAACACTAGTTTAACTCAGTGGCCATTGTTGTTAAACTGTTCATAATTTCTATTCCTCAGTAATATGACCCAATACTTCATGTTACCTTGTGTATTATGAGTAAGGTTATATAAATAAAACAGCAAGATAATTCTGAAAATTTCTTGCCTCAATTCCAAGGGTAAAGACAGCTATGAGTTACTAGAGATACTAAGAATTACTAGAATAACTAATAGTTACTAGAGATAGTAAGAATAACTTAAGTTTCATAACTGGTTAAGATGTTTTAAAAATTAAATATAAAATTATGATCTATTGGATTCTAAAGGTATAGTCTGAAAGGTCATGTCATTTGTACTATGCTTTGTTAGTAAAGCAAAAAAAAAACTAATATTAAACAAGAACTTAAATTTTCATATACCTGTGATTGCTTCTTTTCACTTCTTTCACACCTTTCTTGCTCTTCCTCTAAGCCACTGGTAAGGTTTGTTCTGTTGACAAATTCATTGATTTAGTTCAAATGAACTAAGAAGAGTTAGATAAAGACTATAATCTTTATAAAAATAAATAGAGAATAACATTTCTTTGTATTTTATATTTTGAGAGTTTGAATGAAACAATGTTTACTGAAATATTTACTTCTGTAAGAAATACTTCTAATTATCCAAAACTTCAACAAAACACTTGGGGAGACACCAGATATCACCAGATTCAAGCCATGCAAAATCTCAGGGTCACTCACAAATTGTTCCACCCAACATAAGTCAACAAAACTGTTGGAAACAAAACAGAAATTTGAAATACAGTCAAAATATACAATGTAATGCTTTACTATACTTCATAACAGTATCTTTTTAACAAGACTCTAATTGAGTTGGCAGTTACTAATAATTTGCAAAATTATTGTTCTTTATACCTCAATTAGTGTGCACCCCATTTTTTACATCACAAATGTTTTCCCCTGCTATTCTGAAAAATTTATTTTCATCTTTTAAAACTCAGAAAGTAGGCTGGGCATAATAGCTCACATCTGTAATCTCAGCACTTTGGAAGGCCAAAATGGGAGAATTGCTCAAGGCCAAGAGTTTAAGACCAGCCTGGGAACCATAGGTAACCTTGACTCTACAAAAAATTAGACAGGTATGGTGATATGTTCCTGTTGTCCCCGCTACTCAAGAAGCTTAGATGAGAAGATCCCTCGAGCCTAGGAGTCTGAGATTTCAGTGAGTCTCAATCGTGCCATTGTACTCCAATCCTGGGTGATAGAGTAAGAACTTGTCTCCAAAAAGAGGAAAAAATAAAGGCTCAGAATGCTATGTGAAATCTTCCTTGATTCTAGCTATCTTTCTCCACACACACAGGTGTCTGCTTCGTTGGGGTCCCTTAGTACCTTGTCAATTTTTCTAGTGTCTCTTTACCACCTGACCTGCACATCATGTCTTTACATGTTGACCCCCTTTGCTGCTAGACTGTAGAGGACAATCTTTTGAATCATCTTTGTATAAACAGTCTTAATTTTGCTAAATAATTACTTATTGAGTTCCTGCTAAGTGTTAGGCACTGGGGAATAAGGAAGGAAAATAGAAGCTGTCAGGGATGGCTTTCCTAAAGATCATCCATGAGCTGAGACTTAGAGAGTGAGGTTAGCCAGATTAAGCGAGGCAGAGGGCAGGAAAGGGTGAGCACATGCCAGGCAGCAACAAGAGAGGAAGAGAAGCCTCCAAGAGAGTATGTATTTCTCTGCAGAAGAGGAATGGTGAGGGGGCCATTACCAGCAGCTCAGTAATTCCAGAGAAAAAGGCAGATGGGGAAAGGGATACAGATGGAGATTTGGGCAGAAATCAGTTTCCTTTTCTTTTCTTTTTTGGGACAAGGTTATACTCTGTCTCCCAGACTGGAGGGCAGTGGCATGATCTCAGCTCACTGCAACCCGGCCTCCCAGGTTCAAGTAATTCTCCTGCCTCAGCCTCCTGAGTGGCTGAAATTACAGGCGCGTGCCACTACCACCTGCTAATTTTTGTATTTTATTAGAGATGGGGTTTCACCTTGTCGGCCAGGCTGGTCTTGAACTCCTGACCTCAAATGATCCACTTGCCTCAGCCTCCCAAATTGCTGGGATCACAGACATGAGCCACCGTGCCCAACCCAGAAGTCAGTTTCTGAAATCCTTATATAAACCTTTAAGATGCTTGGACATTAGGTATTCAGGAGTGGTTCACGGATCTATTTGCATTAGGGATAATTCACTCTAAATACTGTGAGGAGCATAAAATTCTGAGGCATATAAATCAATGAACAAAGATAAAATATAAGGCAATGTTGCAAAGATGATGCAGGCCTGAGGAGATGTTTTCAGAAATATTTAGGATATAGGTATCAGTGGCCATTATAAGAATGAATTTCTATTGAATAAATACATGTATATATCTGGGTCCCTGGAGAAATACACTCTGCTCATTACTTTACAAATTTTATCAAATGAGAAGTAAAATAATATACATAAACTCTTTCAGTTACTTGTATTTACTTTACCCTTTTTCTGTTTCAGTTTTACTGTGCCAAGGAAATGCATTTGTGTTTTGTGGTGGTTGTTGTGGTTGTGGTTGTGGTTGTTTTTGTTTTTTGAGATGGAATTTCACTCTTCCTGCCCAGTCTGAAGTGCAGTGGTGTGATCTCAGCTCATGGCAACCTCTGCCTCCTGGGTTCAAGCGATTCTCCTGCCTCAGCCTCCCAAGTAGCTGGAATTACAGGCATGTGCCACCATGAACAGCTAATTTTGTGTTTTTAGTAGAGATGGGTTTCTCCATGTTGGTCAGTCTGGTCTCAAACTCTCAACCTCAGGTTATCTGCCCGCCTCAGCCTCCCAAAGTGCTGGGATTATAGGCACTAGCCACCGCACCCAGCAACATATGGGGATTTTGTTTTAAAAGTTCTGTTTCCTGGATCTACCAATCTCATGAGAAAATAGAGCAAACAAGTCATTTGCATGGGTAAGAAACTTTGGATTTATAGCTTTTCCTCACTACTCTAGAAGATTATCATCATGTTTTGCAAAGCAAAATGTTAAACACAGACATAAGGGGAAAAAGAAATTAAAACTATAGGGGTGGGTGAAAAAATATTGCATAATTTATTACTGTTGACCTCATCATATGACTGATTAAGGGCACTGAATTTAACTTGGATGTGAAGTAGACCTCATATTAGCTGCAGTTAATCAGTAGACCAGGCGTCCTAGCAGAATTAAATTTGATGCTCCTGTGTTATCTTTAAATGACACAGCTTTTCTGAAAACCCTTACTCATAGTGCATGATTATCCATTAAGAAAAGGTGATGGAATATGTGAATACAGCTGAGGAGACACCACAAGGCAGATGCTCAGTGGTTCCCATTAATATTGGGAAAATCAACCCTATAAAACAGAAAGCCATAGACATTATTTAATATTTGGCTTTGGGAGGTATTTTTAGTGACACTGCATACAGTTGTACCTAATAATTGCTAAATTAGAGATGTAAAAGTAAAACAAAGTCACATTGTGTTTGAGTAGGAAATCTATAGACATCTAGCTGGTTTTCACATCCAGCCACAAAATTCTAAATATAATCATGGTGCCTGCACTCAAATTTATGTTAAATACCAACCTCAATGAAATCACTCTTTCTTCTCATTCTCTTTGTTATTTATATGTTGCTTTCCTTAAGGGAAGAATACAAATGCCTTGCTAAGAACCATTCTGTTTGGTTGTAGGCTGCATAAGGGGAGTAAACACAAAGTACATTTGACCACAAAATGACTTTTTAAAAGTCAGAAATATGGTAGCATGAAGCCAAACGAGGTAATCTAGAATAAAATTTTCTATGATTCTTTCCCTTCTTTGCTCTCTTTCTACTCTAATAACTGCGATTCACACAGGTAATGAAGAGTGTAATTCCTTGATAGAAACACAGCTCCAAGATTAATCCTTTCTTTAACTATGAAGTTCGCGTGTCCAAAATCTCTGGTAGTTGCTGTCTGATTTTTGATCACTGATGGTGATACAGATATTTATCATCAACTCACAACTTCCCAAATCTTTGAAAAGTCTTACTATTGATGGTTCAACTAGTAGAAACATGATGTAAAATATCTGAAAATAAAGTTTTTATTTATTAGAATGTAAATAATAATACAAATTGTAATAAGGTGTAAAAGTTCTTTCTTCACTGAAGCAGTACCATGTTGTCCTCTACCCCACAAATGCACTACTCCCCCGTGGTCTAATGTATTTTAAAAGTCTTGTAATTGCTATTAACTCAGACAAGTTTACTTAACTTGTTCTAAGCTTCTGGTATTTACTACAGTTTACTTTCAATCACTCAACCAGCTCTGTTATATACGTTGTTTTCCATGAGAAATTTGTTTATTAGTAATTAAGATTCTTCAGGGATAAGAAAATATTTGAATAACTAAGTTTGTGCATAAACACATTAAGGTCAAATACCCATGACATTATTGTGTGTTTCTGTGTACTAGAGACAAAAACTTCAAAAAAAAGTTTAATGAATATACGTTAAATTAAAAACTGCTTTCATTAAACTGAGATAATCTTCCCTCAATGCTGAATACCTTCAGAATTCACATAGACCAACGAATTGTATAAAATATAATAGCCTTAAAAATCTTATTTGTAGCTGGCACAGTGGCTCCCACCTGTAATCCCAGCACATTGGCAAGCCGAGGTGGGCAGATCACCTGAGGTCAGGAGTTCAAGAGCAGCCTGGCCAACCTGGTGAAACCCCATCTCTACTAAAAATAGAAAAATTAGCAGGGTATGGTAGCACGTGCATGTAGTATCAGCTACTCGAGGGACTGAGGCAGGAGAATTGCTTGAACCCGAGAGGCAGAGGTGGTAATGAGCCAAGACTGAGCCACTGCACTCCAGCCTTGGTGACAGAGCAAGACTCTGTCTCAAAAACACAAACAAACAAACAAAAAACCTAATTGTTCCCATATAAGTCTATGTTCATACAAGATCTGAAGAGTACACAACACCGTGAGACAGGACAGACATATATTTTAAAAGTTATATTCCTGGTTTCTGTAAAAATAAAATAGTCGAATTTAAGCTTTCAAGACAAGTCAACGAAAAGAGCAAAAAATGCAAAAGTGAAACTCAAAAGGTCATTTCCCCATCAAGGGCTCATGATCACTGGACATTCACAAAGTATACTGTTCAAAACATTAGATCTGAATTTTGATCCAAGTATCCCTTTAGTAGCAGTTTCATTCAAGGATGTCCAAGAGGTAAAATAAGACAATATCACTTGCTATTTTCAGTTTTCTTTTCTGAGAACAGCCCAGCATTCTTCTTCAGAGAAATGAATTGTCCTAACTTCATAGGCTAAAGGCTCATGAGTCATAGTTCTAAGGGCATTAATAAAATATGGTGGTGCATGCTTGTATTCTGAACTTTTCAGGTTTAAACTCTCATATAGTAAATGCTAATAGATACAAACCGATTAAAGAAAAGCCCTCTTAATCTGACATTATTTTTCTTTTTATTTCTTCATTTATCAGCAACAGGAGAGTCTAACTAAATGTGGTAAAGTGGTATGAGGGAATACAATGAACAGTGTAAAATGAATTAAACCAGAGATAATCACACCAATGTGGGTACAAGTGGAAAATATAATACAAAACACACCAAAGAAAGTGGCAGAAAGGTATATAAAGTATATAACCACTCACATACCACTTTAGGACACAAAAAATTCTGCATATTATTTCTGAGCATCACAATGTAGTTAAAGATTTCAAAAGGACATTGAAATGAAAAACAACCAACTTATGATGTTGGTAGCCTCTATGCAATCATGTTTTAAAAACTTTAACACCAAAAAGGCTCAAAATCACCATTTTAAAAGACTGTGTCTACCAGTCATAAATGAATCATTACTTTCGTCATTTGTAATAGTCAAAGATGCCACAAGCGCACGCATACACACATCTATATATACACCTACACACACAGTCTTGCTCATTAGAACATCTGATAGGCTTCAGATCATCAGTGTAATAACACTAGCAGCAAGCCTCTGAAGTTAAAACAGAAACTAACACTTTAATAAGTAAAGCTTTCCTCTAGGTAAAGATCAGAACTCCAACTAGCACTTAACTCACTGGAAATATCTTAAGAATCTCAAAATTCACTGCTTTGAATCACTGACAAGTATAAAAATTTTATACTGAAAACTTCATGCTATTCAAAACATTAAAACAGAAACATCTGACTTAAAGCTTACATTTTTAAAATCTTTTTTATGCTTCTAAATTTGTTTCTATTCAAATATAGATACCAACAATAACATTTATGTCAATGCCTTGTGTTCAATATTGAACAAATAGAATTAGGAATAAGAATAATATGAGTACATCCAATCATTGAATGTACTTTATTTCCAGTATTCTATTAAATGTACCTGCTCTCAATGTCTATACATTCTTTCTTTGTACTGCTCCTTTCACAGCAGGATCTTCCACTTCAGTGCTAGGCTGAATGAGTTTTAAAAGAAAACGATTCATAAATCACATATATTTTATACAACATGGAGTTAGTGATTCAAAAATATACATAATTAATTACCTTCAAGGAAGGATGTTTTGCAGGAGGCCCTACAAAGCAAAGGGGATATGTCATCAATTATATGTAAGTATGACAGGGCCAACCAAACATTCATGCAGTGTTACTGTCGAGCTGAATTCTCAGGCCTGGCTATAAAAATAATTACTTAAGACTATAAAAATAATTACTTCTTGGCTTCTTATTTTCATTGCCTAGGACAGCAACATGACAGAAACACAATGAGGAAAATAGGAATATAGGATTCCCAAAATGCACAGTTTACATTTCAGTAGTGAGATTATGTTTCAAATGCCTATACTTAAAATAGAAAAGCATTGATATAACCGTGAACACGTGGACTGATGAGGAGAAAAGGGACCATTAAACAGAGGGACAAATCAAACCTGAGAGAATCAATGTCAAAGCTGATGGTGAATGTACAGAGTATTTTAACTCCACACACCAGAGGCACTGCTGCCAGCACAGCACAAACAAATTCCCCTTGTCTTGTCACTGAGGAAATACGCAGTTGGGATGACAGTTCAGGTGAATGTGTGATTCACCTCTCATCAAAGAAAGGGTTCTACATTGATCAGCTAGGATACACACTTATGAAATAACAGCTAATCAAACTACTCATTTTTCCCATGATCACATGGGCTACTGGCTACTGCAGCACCTACATTTCTCCTATCCCCTCACTTGGCCTTGAATTAGAGCTCCTTGATCCACTCATGCAAGGTGGTCCATAAAACACATCAAATAAACCATGTCGAATAAGCTTCTGATATCAAAATATTTATCAAAAAAGAAAACATTGAATGACCACAGACTTGCTGGATATTAATACATATTTATATTTCAAAATCAGTGCAGTATTTATTGAAAATGATAATTTTGGTTTTCATGGAATGAATTTTATGATTACTTCTAAAATTAACTAAGTTTGGTATATTATCTTACACTGTAAAGGACTTTTATAAAACAGCTATCATATCAAAGAACTGGCTGTCTCAAAAAAATTTCGCCAAAGCATCTATATGCAACTTAATCATATCTTATTCACTCATGTCAGTGAAACTTCTCTCCCTGAGGCCTGACAGTTATCAAGTGAAATGAGCTGCTGTGGTTTACCCCAACTCTAGCACTCCCTCCTGTCTCCAGTACTCTCCACAGCAATAACCTCTTTTGTGAGACTGGGCATATGCTGAAGCAACTGGAAGTGAGTTGTCTCAAGTTTACTTGGCTTTAACTCCCAAGACCCCAGCAAATGTCTTTCTTTCCTCCTTTTGTGTCCTTTCACCATCCCTCTTCCTTTGAAAAAATGATTATCAGAACTCTCATCCTGATGCTTCCCTTCCTAACTGCTTTTTATGGATGATTGTGACCACTTTTTTCATCCGTATTCAGCAGTAGTATACACCTGTAATCTCTCTTTTTTCATCTCATTTTCCTTCCCCTGTGGCTAGAATCATGCTCAGAAATAAAAGGAAATTAAAGCTTTCCCTGGATTCTGTTAATTTTTAAATTGCTCTCCAGTGGTTCTTTTTCCAGATTTCTCTAAAGGAAGGCTATTCCCTTGCTATTCAGAGCTGTGTCCAAGGACCAGCACAAACATCACCTGAGTGCTCATGAGAAATGCAGACTCCAATACCTGCTGAGTCAGAATGTGCACTTTCCAGAAGCTCCTCAACGAATTCATGACAATTTGAATGTCCTGTTCTACACTGGTGTGCTTCCATATTGGTTTATCCTAATTGGCCTTTTTGGCCTAGCCTCAACTTCTTTCCTATTATGTCCCTGAATTTAATACTACGTTATAAGCCATAATGTTTCTAATGAACTTTTAATCAGGCAAAACTTCTCTAATTAATTTCTTCCCAATAAATCACCCAACACTATTATTTTCAATTATGTTAATATGATACTATCCTATGAAGTTACAACATTTTCTATAAAAACAAATTATAGCCATACATGGCTGACCATTTACGGTGATGTTCATCTATGGTAGATAAAACACAGGTCTGCATGGTAAAGTACCTCAATCCTTAATGCCTCCCCAGTAGCGACAATGACAGCAAGAGAAGGAAAATGTTACTGTAACTATATGACACATTTTGGTACTGGAAGCTCACTTTATCTTCCTTCCTATTTCTAACACCCTGTTCTTCCTTCTTCTACAGATCAATTTGACTTTACTACCCTCCATTACATACATCCACTTTTTTTATTTATTCCATGTACACTCTGCCCTCCTCATTCTTTCTTTCTCTTTTATTCATTTCCTCTTCCCTCTCTCCTGACTTGCCTCAGGTCTTAAGAGTATGTTAAAATGGAACTCATAACTCAGCTCCTTTAGTGGTACTTCCAATAGAATCAACTGCTGACCCTTGGTTAGAGACACCACTTATCACCATTTCATTTCTCTTTTACTTATGATACAGTTAATAGGACATTTTCTTTAGCTATTAAACTCTATTAGTGCTCATATTTTAAAAGAAACATTCCATCAATGCCTTTTTTTTTTTTTTGAGATGGAGTCTCACTCTGTCACCCAGGCTGGAGTGCAGTGGCACGATCTCCGCTCACTGCAAGCTCCACCTCCCAGGTTCACACCATCCTCCTGCCTCAGCCTCCCGAGTTGCTGGGACTACAGGCACCCGCCACCATGCCCGGCTAATTTTTTGTGTTTTTAGTAGAGATGGGGTTTCACCATGTTAGCCAGGATGGTCTTGATCTCCTGACCTCATTACCCGCCCACCTCGGGCTCCCAAAGTGCTGGAATTACAGGCGTGAGCCACCGCGCCTGGCCTCCATCAAATGACTTTTTAAATAAAATACGGTTCTCACCTTTTCCTTTTCCATTGACTATTCTGTTTCCTTTTTCATGAGAAGGTCCACGTAAAGGCTCTGACACTTTCTCGGGGACACACTGCTAAGGTAATATCAAGAATTAGTTTCCATTTAAAATTATAATGAGTTGCATCAAGAGTTTCTTATCAATCTCTTTTTATGAAACTGGGTCTCACTCTGTCAACCCAGGGCTAGAATGCAGGGGCCTGATTATGGCTCACTGTGGTCTCAAACTCCTGACCTCAAGCAATCTTCCCACCTCAACTTCCTGAATAGCTGGAACTACAGGTGCATACCATCATGTCATGCTAATGTTTTTATTGTTATCTTTGTAGAGACAAGGCCTCATTATACCTCCCAGGCTGGTCTCAAGCTCCTGGGCTCAAGCAAATCTTCCACTTCTGCCTCCCAAAATGTTGAGATAAGCAGTTTGCACCACCACACCCAGCCCTAATCAATTTCTTTAAATCAATCTCAATGTTGCCCAGGCATGGTGGCTCACACCTGTAATCTCAGCCCTTTGCAAGGCCAAGGTGGGTGGATTGCTTGAGTTCAGGAGTTGGAGACCAGCCTGGGCAACATAATGAGAACACATCTCTACACAAAAAATACCAAAAGGAGTCAGGCATGATGGTGTGTGCCTGTAGTCCCAGCTGCTTGGGAAGCTGATGTGGGAGGATCACTTGAGCCTGAGAGGTGGATACAGCAGTGAGCCAAGATCATGCAACTACACTGCAGCATGGACAACAGAGCAAGACCCTGCCTCCCCAAAAATTTCAATTTAAAATGTGAGAACAAAGAGAGATACAAACAAAAAACAAACCTAATTAGTCAATGAAATATGAGCTTAAGCCAAGAAAGAAAATGAAAAACATGAAGTACAATAAAGTACATGGGGAAATAGATCTATAACAGAGCCTTCGGTCTTTCATAACTCTGATAATACTAATTAATATTTATGCTGCAATTACTTTTTTGTAAGTACTTCTGTGATAGTGTTTCTTACTATAAGACATTCAATTAGCTAAATATGGTCATCTGCCATTACCTGAAAGAACATTATTATAACAGAGAGAGAAAACTGGAACTTTCCATCAACTTTCCACCCAGAAAAAGAATTGATCACCAGAATTCTAAAGAGTAATGTATGGCAGACACATGAAAAAATGCTCATCATCACTGGTCATCAGAGAAATGCAAATCGAAACCACTATGAGATATCATTTCACACCAGTTAGAATGGCAATCATTAAAAAGTCAGGAAACAACAGGTGCTGGAGAGGATGTGGAGAAATAGGAACACTTTTACACTGTTGGTGGGACTGTAAACTAGTTCAACCATTGTGGAAGACAGTGTGGAGATTCCTCAAGGATCAAGAATTAGAAATACCATTTGATCCAGCCATCCCATTACTGGATATATATGCAAAGGATTATAAATCATGCTGCTATAAAGACACATGCACATGTATGTTTATTGTGGCACTATTCACAATAGCAAAGACTTGGAACCAACCCATATGCCCATCAATGATAGACTGGATTAAGAAAATGTGGCACTTACACACCATGGAATACTATGCAGCATAAAAAATGATGAGTTCATGTCCTTTGTAGGGACATGGATGAAGCTGGAAACCATCATTCTGAGCAAACTGTTGCAAGGACAGAAAACCAAACACCGCATATTCTCACTCATAGGTGGGAACTGAACAATGAGAACACTTGGACACAGGATGGGGAACATCACACACCAGGGCCTGTCATGGGGTGGGGGGAGAGGGGAGGAATAGCATTAGGAGATATACCTAATATAAATGACGAGTTAATGGGTGCAGCACACCAACATGGCACATGTATACATATTTAACAAACCTGCACGTTGTGCACATGTACCCTAGAACTTAAAGTATAATAACAATAATAAAGAGTAATGTATGGCTTGAAACGGTATATTTAATGGAACATGAGTTGGGTCTAATAAAAAGCTTAAGAAATGTTAATCTAAAATCTCAATGTTAAGATTCCAGTTGAATGATACTAGAAAATATATTGTAACCCTCTTTGCTACCGATGACCTATTTCTCTTTTATTTCTTTTTTAATTATGGCATAATTTCTCAACATAACATGTCAAAACTTATACACCCTTAAATATTAAAAAATAATACAATGTAAGCAATATTTTAAATACAATATTTAATGATTAGATACATTAGGTTTATTATATTACTTATAACATTCCATTATATAAAAATTCATTTGTTTATTTATTCAGATTAAACAGCTATTAAGGCTGAATGTCTCATGTCTGTAACCCCAGCACTTTGAGAGGCTGAGGCGAGCAGAACACTTGAGCCCAACAGTTAAAGAAGAGCCTGGGCAACTAGGCAAAACCCTATCTCTACAAAACTCAGCCCAGCATGGTGACACAAGTCTATCGTGACATAGCTCTATTGTTTCAACTACTTGGATGGCTGAGGTGTGAGGATCACCTGAGCCTAGGAAATGGAGATCGGAGTGAGCCAAGATCTCACCAGTGCCCTCCAGCCTGGGTGACAGAGTGAAACCCCATCTCAAAAAACAACAAGTAAAATGCTTCTTACATGGAAGACTGTATTCTAGGTACTCCAGGATACACACAAATATGTTTACTGACCTCCAGTAGCTTACGGTATGCAGGAGCTTCCAATGATCATTTAAAAAACTAAATAGAAAACCTTCTGACATTCAAACTTTCAGAATATGATATAAGGACTTTGAGTGGTTATTTTATTTTATTTTATTTTTTAAGATGTAGTCTTGCTCTGTCACCCAGCCTACAGTGCAATGGTGCGATCTTGGCTCACTGCAATCTTTGCCTCCTGGGTTCAAGCGATTCTCCTGCCTTGGTCTCCTGAGCAACTGGGATTACAGGCATGCACTATCATGCCTGGATAATTTTTGTGCTTTTTTTTTTTTTAGAGACAGGGTTTCACCATGTTGGCCAGGCTGATCTTGAACTCCTGACCTCAGGTGATCTACCCACCTCGGCCTCCAAAAGTGCTGGGATTGCAGGTGTGAGCCACCACGCCTGGCCAAGTAAATATTTTAAATAAACTACAATGACAAAATTATCATGATAAAGACTTACCATATTGGTATTAAGAGTCTCTGCTTCTAGAACTGGTTATTTTCAGGAAAATACATGTTATTCAATTAGATGAAGTGTTTTATATAAACTCTTCATGGACAACTCATAAATCACATAAAAACCCCTTTGCAATACAAATCTTGAGAACATAAATTTAAATTTCTACATTTCCACAATTTATATTTTTAAATCAGATACAATGTTGCCCAGGCTGTTCTCAAACTCCTGTGTTCAAGCAATTTTACTGTCTCAAACTCCCAAGTAGCAGGGACTACAGGTGTACACCACCAAACTCAGCTATTTTTCTACAATTTTTAATACATTTTTAGTCTCACTACAGAACCAATAATATAAGTAGAGAAACAATCTCTCCTAAAAACTATATGACACCAAAATGATAAGTTTCCAAGAACAAAAGCTATATGCTATGTGCTGAACATTTTTGCCACTAAAAATTACCAGGAGGATTCCATGATTACTGCAAACAATTTGATCCACTGAAGATTTATACAGGAATAAATATTAAGAAAGTCACACTCGTATGATTTAAAAGTCAAAGTATTAGTATTTATCCAAATGAAGTTTAACCAAATTTCATATTTCCTCTATTGGAGAAAGCATTTCCTAATGTGATTTTCCTGTGACTACTTATTTTCCAGTTCATTTATTTTTCAGCTCCCACCCTGTCACAGTACTTACCAATCTTTATTAGTTACCAAAGTTAAACACATTTTTTGAATCAACTAGCCATGTGTATGTTTTTCTCTGACCAGCTTTCCATTAACACCATAAAACAATGATAGGTAAACCACTGCTAAATTTGAAAAGTAAATACTATGCAAAACTACACTCAGAGTGAGAAGATTAATTTTACAAGAGACCACTTTACCTTAGTAGCAACACTCAAGTCTTCATCATCCAATGTAGGCAATGAATCCACACACAGTTCATGCAAAATGCTTGAGAGCAAAAATACACAATGAAAATGAGCAAGTTGATTTCTTTATAATTTTTTCAACTGCCAGTTTATATCCAGCTTCCCCCTCAAAAAAAGGAAAACATAATCTGGGGAAAGGTCAGTGATCTATATATTAAATTATGATTCTTGATATAATTAAAATATGTCCTCTGTTCTAAAAATAGATTTTAGTTACCTATTTCTGCCTCCACCTGTCTAAATCTATAAAATATTCAATGAAAACTAACCTTGAGGTTTATAACAAATAGTGACAGTCAATATATTGGCAGAGCCTGACAATAATGTGCCCTCACAAATTATCTGTTCTGAAGCTGAACTTAAAATTCAATTAATGGATGACATAAATTTTGTTCCCTAAACTGGAATAAAACTGATGACCTAAAACAAGGTAGAAAGATCCACTGTCTCTTTTCCGTGATCTGTCTCTGGATAAAAGACTAATCTACATCACTTCAAAATGGTAGTCTTGATTCCTCAGCCTGGATCCAACTTAGGAAGGTCCTATTGCTTTCCTTTACCCTAAATTGGTACAGGAAAGCCCCCACAATATTTGAAATGTATGAAAGCTAAATGTACAGAAGTCAAATAGCAAAGGTGTATGTTCTTATTGAGAATACTTTTCCCAGAAAGATTAAAATATTAACAATTATAAAATCCCATTATTTTCACTCTATAGGTCCTACCTTATTCAGGTCCACATAAACTAGCAAGCCCTTAAAAATTTTCATAGGCACTCAGACACCCAAGGAGAGAGACTGCGAGAAAAGAAACAGTGTCATGATAGTTGTACCTCTATTTCCCTAAGTACTATCTAAGTATATTTCTTCCTATGGACACCCACTTCCAGATTCTACTTCTGCAGGGTTCCACAGAAGTCTCCAATCTTCAAATCTTCAGTGTATGAAAGCACAGATTCCTGAAAGAATGGCCTCAAATGACCAGGAGTAGGAGCTCTCTATATCCCTGCTCCTGAAAAACAAGCTAACTGGAGTCTCCATCACCTGCCACCAGCTATACACACTACCAACTACCCAACTGAACTCCATGACTGATTTGCCAGCTAATCATGCCCCTGACCCAGCCCACCTGGACATGGGAAGGACATCAGTGAACTGTGAAAAGAGGCAGAGGTGAGGAGACACCTGCCCTGTGCCACACATCTATGTAGTTCAGCAATTTCCAGCCCCTTAGTACTCCAGGGGCTCTAAGCCACCCCTTTGTAAGTCAGGATGGAAGTAGATGACACCACATTTCTATCTGCTGTAGACATTCTTCCCAGTGTCTCAAAATGTTTTGGCATCTTTCAGTAAAAATCTTCAAGTTTGTCAGTCCTTGATTTAAAAAAAAAAAGCAGCAAAATTTTTAGAGCTCCCTTGAACCTTCTATTTTAATGTGCCTTTGTAGATAATTGCCAACATCTTGTGTCCTTCATTTTTATAATTTATCTTTATCAAACTTGTCATAAACCCCAATACTTTGATCTCTTGTAGAAGAGTCCGTACTCCTATCCAATCCAGTGTTGTTTATCTTCAAACTTGGACTTCCCCTGCTCATTCCATTCTTATCTACTTCCATTGGGTTCACCAGCTAATTCCATTCTCATTCTATCCACAGGCTCACTCCCGTTTGTATTATTAAAACACACGCCAATAGGACATAAAAAGAAGCAAGAGTACTGGGCTTTACCATGAGTTCAAATCTCATTTCTGCCAATTCCTATGTCTAAAAAAAAAAAAGCTTCCTAATCTCTTTGAGCCTCACATTCTCTATCTAGAGAATCACTTGACCAGAATGTTCAACGCAGATAAAAATACTAGAAGGTATTTTAATTCATTCCAAGATTCCTTAAAATTCTGTAATTCTATGTCCTCTTGATTCTGTCTATAGGAAAACTTGGAATACATAGGCAGCAGAGTTTGAAAAAATAATAGAACAAAAGAAACACCAAGAATAACAGAGAAGAAAGTTTTAAAAAATGAAGACAAGATTATATAAAAGTCATGGAAAAAGCAACAAGACTAAAAAATGTATTATGGAAGTAAGCAGAAATACTTGCCTAAATGGAAAACCAAACTGGGAAGTCAAATAATTTGTCTCTAAGACTTGCCTAAACTTGCTTTGGTAAAACTTACAGTCCTATGGCCAAAGCTAAGTCAGATCTGCCCTAGAGCCTTTGAAGGTAAAAATAAGATACTAGTTACCACTGAAATCGTCAAATTTATTAGGACTAACCACATTCTAACAATAAACTTAAATGAGAGTTCAAGGTATTTAAACTCTCATTAATTTAGAAGTTAATCAAATTAATGAATCCGATTGATCTGATTCAGACCTATACTTTGATCCAAGGGCTGCACAGATATCTATCAATCTATGCTGAGGAGCAAGAGAAAGGATTTGGAAGGCAGGCAGGCTGATGGTCAAACTGTAGGCCAGCTACTTTGTTAACTATGGGATCATGAGGCAATTAATCAGCTCTAATCCATAGTTGTTTATTTAACAGTAGGTTATAGGAACACAGATGTTATGATGGCTTTATGAGATGATAAATGCATAGAACATATTAGGATGTCTAGCCCAGAATACAACACTCAACAGATATTAGTTTCTTCCATCTATATTTTCTTAGTTAACATAATTTTTTAAATCTATGAAATCTTACCTGACTGCAGATTCATCAGAAATTCCAACATCTATTAAAGAAAAAGGTAAAATGCATTTTAAATCAATAATAAATGTACAGAATATTAAAATCATAAGAATGCACAGTGATGCATGCCTCTAATCCAAACTACTTGGGAGGATGAGGCAAGAGGATCACTTGAGGAGCCCAGAAGTTTGAGACCAGCTTGGGAAACATAGTAAGACTCTACCTTCATAAAAAAATTGTGCACACTTGTGTGTATGCTTTAGATCCTGTTTTTTGTTGTTGTTGTTGTTGTTGTTGTTTTGGTTTGGTTTGGTTTTTTAAAGCATAAGACTGACGCTTTGTTACAAAGCATTCCTTTGGGAGCATGCCTGGGACGTTATTAGAATTAACATTCATTATATGTATTGGTAGGTAATTAATGCAGTAAGAACTCTTCCCTCTGTATTTATTAGATGCAAAGAAGAATACATTTATTAAAATTTGGTATCTACAAGTGAACTGCAGTATACAAGTCATCCTAGCCAAACCCTATGAGATTGAGTAAAAATGGTATTGTTAGCAGAACAGGTGTGATGAGTCAACAGTGTCAAAGAGCATGATTTCTGGACCAAAATATGAGGGGCCATTACAACAGAGTATACACTAGTACCCCTTATCCACTATATGTGCAGAAAGACATACTTGACACGTTTTTCTCTGCTGTCACACCACAGCAACAATCATCAACAAAGAAGGCTTCTGTGACCAAATGTGTGGAGAGTTTTTCCCCACCAACAAACAAGCAATCATTCCTGCTGATGACACAATTCAATTCTCACACCTTATCTACAGATAACATCGGATTTAATTTAATTTATAAATTAAACTTTGTCATAGATATGTATGTATAGGGAAAAACAGCTTGTGATTCAGTACTATCCATGGTTTCATGCATGCACTGGGGGTCTTGGAATGTATCTCCCACAGTTAAGGTGTAGTTACTGCACTTATTTTGTTATAACGCAACACAGTCTCTCTAGCTCTTCAGTTCAAACTGTTTAGTTTAGAATAAAACATGCTATCACCAGAAACTAACAAAACATAGGAATCAGACCAGAAACAGGAATCCTTGCAAAGACTTTCCAGCCACCAGTGGAGAAGATCTCAAGAGAGATCAGTGTGTTACTCTGGCTAATACTCTTCTGGGTAAGGTGCTGGGTGGTTTCCTTAGTTGTAGCTATTTGCTCTGGCCTACGTATAACAAGGCCCAAATTCACCTGCCATTTTACCTCCCACAGAAAGAACCACTGGAAAGATCACTCCTTTAAGAGCTTATCCACATTCAGAGAGAAGCTGAATAAACACTGGGGAGGTATGGCAGGCTGCCGGGCAATATTATCTGATGTGAAAAAATATATAGAAAGAAAATTATCAATGCCCTTTTACTACCAGAATGTTCTAATGCTTGCCCATCTCCCTAGTAGGAGAAAAAATTTTTTTCACCTCGCATAAAGCAAAACTCCCTTGTCATCTCTCATGACAGAATCTATTTTTAGGTGAGTCATGTCATCATAATACAGGCTGTTGTCAACCTCATCCCTCAAAGGAAGAGGATCAGTGAGGAACTTATGTATTTACCTAATAGCATTCACTGCCTGGTCTTATTTCCAACCGAAGGTAAGTATGAAAGACTTTGTGATTCCAGTTTTATAAAGCACAACCCTTTACACTTGTCCCCTTCCATTGCTAAAGAGTCTATCTGGACCCACCTCACAGAGCAAGATGCTCCAGGTTGTGCTGTGTAGTACGGCGTGATGTCCTTTTCCTCAACCCTTTCTATTATGTGCCACATATCTATAAAAATCATGTTTTCTAAGTATGTAAAATCATATCTCATCAGAATACATCATTCTTTACAATGATAAAGAAGCAAAAGAAAAACAAAAGGACAAAGAACATCTTAAATGACTACATTCAACTGCCATGGAGCTTTAATTTTTTAACTACTCAAAAAGATATCCACTCTTCTTATTCCAACTATATGACTCTTCTGAAAAAAGTAAAACTATGAAGACAAGTAAACATCAATGGTTGTCACGAGTTGCTAGGGAGAAAGGGAGAGATGAACAGACATAGCACAGAGAATTTTTAGGGCGGTGAAACTGTTCTGTCGATAATATTACAGTAATAGATACATGTCATGTCATTATACATTTGTCCAAATTCACAGAATGTACAGCATCAAGAGTGAGGCCTGATGTAAACTATGAACTTCAAGTGATTATAATGTGTCAATGTAAGTTCATCAGTTGTAACAAATGGACCACTCTCTGGTGGAAAATATTAATAATGGGGGAGGCTATGCGTGTGTGGGAGGCATGGGATATATGAGAAATCTCTGTACCTTCCTCTCAATTTTGCTGTGAACCTAAAACTACTCTAAGAAATAAGGTTATTGATTTAAAAAAAATATTCAGCTGGGCTCAGTGGCTCATGCCTGTAATCTCAGCACTTTGGGAGGCAAAAGTGGGTGGATCACCTGAGGTCAGGAGTTCAAGACCAGCCTGGCCAACATGGCAAAACCTCATCTCTAATAAAAATACAAAAATTAGCTGGGCATGGTAGCTGGCATCTGTAATTTCAGCTACCCGGGAGGCTGAGGCAGGAGAATCGCTTGAGCCTAGAAAGCAGAGGTTGCAGTTAACCAAGATGGCACCACTGCACTGCAGCCTGGGAGACAGAGTGAGATTCTGTCTCAAAAAACAGAAAAGATATTCACTGTCTATGCATCCCAGGATCTCCAGAACAACAATTAAAATAAATAAATAAAAAAGATGGCTGGGGGCAGTGGCTCATGTCTGTAATCCCAGCACTTTGAGAGGCTGAGGTGGGTGGATCACCTGAGGTCAGGAGTTCGAGAGCAGCCTGACTAACATGGTAAAACCTCATCTCTACTGAATATAAAAAATTAGCCGGGCATGATGGTGCATGCCTGTAGTTCCAGGTACCTGGGAGGCTGAGGCAGGAGAATCATTTGAACCTGGGAGGTGGAGGTTGCAATGATCCAAGATTGTGTCATTGCACTGCAGCCTGGTCAACAAGAGCAAAACTCTGTCTCAAAAAAAAAATAAGTAAATAAAATTAAAAATAAAGATATTCACTGAACCTGTTACTATGATATATTTAAGCAAGACACGGTGACCCTAAAAATTAGAGATCATTGAAGACCAAAGTAACAACACGTGGTCATTATTTCTCAAATTGAAGTATATAAAATATATAAAATAAATAAATTTAATTGCATGCTTAGGTAAGAAAATATTGATAAAAATGATTGAATATTTTATCTTATTTCATAATTCTAAGCAGGGCTTTAGCACAATATGAAAACTAGATTATTCATGTAATCCAAATAAAAGACAATTTTTATTCTAATTTTAACTCAGAATTTATTTTGCTTATTTAACAATTTTACTGAAAGGTAAATGAGATAAATAGGACAGATTATAATTACCTAACATTGCTATGGTAACTTATGTACAAATAGCTGTTCGTCACTGAAAGTCAAAAAAGTAACCAGCGCTGCAACTTAAAATGGATCATACAACAGAAATTAGTACCAAGTTACCTTATCTTATAATATTATGTTATTAAAATGAAATTTTAAAACAACACCAAAAATTAAGTTGGGGCTATACAAAGTGTGCAGAAAAGATTTCATATAACAGGCAAGAGACTGCCATCCTTAGAAAGGCCTGCATGCAAGGCTGGCCCTTGGCTGGTGTTTAGGAAATTGGAATTGGGAGGGTTTCCACCATTCCGTGAGAAGAGTGGCTCACTGTGTCTAAAGTTTTTATAGAAACCGCCAATGGGTGAAATCCAAAGCAGCAGCTGGTGTATCCATTAACATTCTCAAAACAGGATGCATCTGGACCCCTGTGTGCAATCTTCATAGCACACAGACACTAAACAGAAAGGCAGTCATTGCTGCCAAACAGGACCCAAATGCCACACACAGTGCAATGAAGCTATAAGCTCCCTAAGGAGAGAAAAGTAGACAAATAAAAAATATTCAATATCCAATCCAAGTCCACATTAAATCTTGATTCCAGAAACGTGCATTAACCACTTCAAAGACTAAAATTTAAACCATCTTTTCTATAGCGATTTCCCATTTGGTTGGCAGGCATACAGGAGTAGAGAATGATTTAATTTACTTACAAGTATTCAGAAAAGATAGTGACCTCTACATTCAACCAGCTACAGCAGCTTAGCACCCAGCCAAAGCCTGCATCTCTCCCACCTTAAGATTTAGTGGTTGGCTAGAGTTAGCAGCATCCAGGCCACATCTATCTCTGCATTCTAAGTTTGCTTCCAAGATAAAGATACAAATGCAGGCTGGCTCCAACCTAGCCAGAGATCCCAGCCCCACTCTCTGCATCCCAAAATCCCTCAAAGACCCAAGAGACTTTCCAGATTTCTACAGTCTCCTCAGAGGTTCCCTTGACAGTTAAATGCCCTCTCTTTACCTCAACTAGCTGCAGGTAGAATATAATGGGTACAGCAGAAAGTCACTGTAAGTGTAATATGAAGATACACAGCCCTTTTAAGCATTTCATTATATTACATCTAGCTTACTTCTAAGTGATTTATTCAGTTGTGACTGAAGAAAGTCTAAAGGGAAAAAAAGCAATTTAATTTGATAAATTAAATTATCAATTATAGCCAAATTATTTGGCTATAACAAATTAAACATTTTAAGCAGACAGAAGATGCAAACATTTTAAGTTGACAGAAGATATAAAATGTTCACTATCAAAATGTCGCAACTGATAAAAATGTTCTCAAATATTTCTGTCTCAAACTTGCATTGTTCATTAAGGAAGCAAAATAGGTGGGACATACACAGCAACAACATCCCTCAAAAAACACCTTGGCTCATTCCTATAAGCCAGGCAGCAAATACATCATCCTTACATATGTTAATTACCTTCCAATTTCAAATTCTCAACTGTGAAATAAAGGACCATTTTATTTGGCTGCTTCCAGTTCAATATGACTGTTTTTATTAAAACATCTCTAACTTGAAAAATATTTGGTGTTTTCTAAAATACTGCAAATTGCCACAAATGGCCAGATAATTTGGAATAAACACCCTACAGAAAAAAATATATATTCAAGTTGCATAAGTCACTTTGAGCAATCCTTTGAGGATATTTCATTTATATCTAAATGAACCACAGGTTTAGCTGGCTTTTCTGGAAAACCAGAAGCAAATAATGTATGATTATAATGAAAACCATCTCAAGCAATGTTGAAATGAAGTACCACATGTCTTATGCTGTCCCTTCCATGCACTTGACAAAACAGCCTATAACAAATTGTTTACTTTGAGATTTAGCAGGAAAATTCCATGAGGTTTAAATGAGATGACTAATAATAAGCCATCTACCTTTGACTCTATTCCAATTAAAAATGGGTTAGGAAAGTGCTTTGAAAATCAAGTGTGTTCATCAGGGAATCATTTACCTAAGTCTTCTTAACACTGCTTAGTGAATATTAAGCCTGATATAGTAAATACACGCTAACCACTAAATTGAAGGGGAAAGAGGGAGAACAAAGAGACATGTAAAGTACACTTACTTTTTCTAGTAGGAAAAAGCCAATTAAAACTATCACCTATTAGTTTTATTGGAATCAGTCTTACAGGAGGTCAAACTTCCTACTGTCGCTACCTATTCTCAATATTTTTCTTATTTCTTCCTAAACTTCTAGAGCCGTGCTGTCCAATAAATATGTGAGCCACATATGTAATTTTAAATGTACTAGTAAGCCCCATTAAAAGGTGAAATTAATTTTAAATATACTTAACTCAGTATGTCCCAAATAGTAATCATAGTAATAATTTTAACATGTAATCAATATAAAAAATTATCAAGCAGATATTCTACGCTGTTCTTCCCACTCCAATGACAAAATCCAGTATATTTAACACAACACATCTCAATTAGGACTAGCCAGGATTTCAAGTGCTCAATAGTTACAGGTGGCTAGCGCCTACTGAATTGGACACTGCAGTTTCAGTGCATTGAATTTCTATCCCACTTAGCGCTAATTAAAACTTCACCCTCTCACCTGATAATTATGCTAAGATCTCAGAAAGTAACCCACTACAGGCAGTTTCAAGCCCTAATTTACCTCTAATTACTCTTACAGCAATGCGATGAATCATGATTTAAAATTAAAAAAAAAATTGCTGTTAAATTATTAGTCAAGCGCCCAGGGCAATGGACAGTAAAGAAATAATGTAGGCCATGGGCCGAGATGACAAAACGGTCCTTTTATTTAAAGCTATAATAATAATCTGAAGCCAGCCCTGTAAAATAGACATCCATTGAAAAAGGCATGCTAGTTCTTTTGCTTTTTTGTGTACTTGGCCTCCTGTGTCCCTAAACAGACCTCTTCTCAGCAGGGTTTGCTCAGCAAGTCACTTGTTGAGTCTTGCAGTCAACAGAGGGGGTAGGGAATGGCAGGGACTGGCATAGGAGTGAGGGGGAGGAGGCAAAGTGAGGGGGAGAAGGCAAGGTGAGGGGGGCCAGGTGAGGAGGGGGGCACTTCAAGGGGAGTTAAAGACCAGCCTGGGCAACATGGTGAGACCACCGTCCCTCACCGCCGCCATCTCTGGTCTCACTCTGGTCTCACACACATGCACAAATTAAATTTAATTTAAAAATTAAAAAATTGTTTTAAAATAAGTGGAATATTTACATGGATTATGTATACATTCATTTTGTAGAACTATAGATCCCATGTAACTGGGAACTCTTTACTCTTCTAACACAACATTTATTTAGCCACAAATGAAAGACCAGTGATGTAGCCTGTACACAAAAAAGTAAGAAAACACTGGTTAGGCTGGGGCATGGGTGGGGGGAAGAGATCTACAAATTTAAAATTTTATTCGGAAGGATCACTATTTAGAATCAGAACAATTACTGCTTTAAAGTAGTTAAGAACAGAGCACAAGGAACCCAGAGAAGAAGCAGATATGATTCAGAGCAGAGCTTACAGAGCAGATGGTATCTGAGCCGAGACTGATAGAATAACATTAATAAGGGCATTCACGGCCATTTATTATCACTTAACTGCAATGCATTTTGTATAAGTTATTTCTACTCTTCATATCAACCATGGAAAATAATACTTATTCTTCTCTTTTGAAGTTAAAGAAGTGGTAAGTGGTCTAAGAAGATAAATTAACATACCAACACCAAATAGCTCAAGTTCAGTGACTCAAGAGGGCCCGCGTCTCCCCAAGAGGTTGCTCAGCAGGCAGACGAGGTAGAGAGCCCTTCCAAGAAGTGACAGTGAGATGTGAAAGGTCTCAGTGTGTCTCTGAGAACAACAGAAACCAGTATGTAGACCAAGTGGGAAAAGCCACGGAAGAGGCAGGGATTTCCTCTTAAGATAGCAAGAATAAACAGAGCAGGGCTGAGGAAAGCCATGGAAAACGGGCAGAATGCCATGCATTTAGTGAGAAAAAAACAACTTTTACTTTAGAAAGGGGGAAAGAATGGTGGTGGTCTAGGTAAGCCTAGAAGCAGAGGAAAGGGCAATGGAGAAAAAATAAACAAAACGTATGAGTCAGGGTTCTCCAGAGGGACAGAACCAACAAGATACAGGTATATGTATAAGGGAGTTTACGAGAGAGAATTGGTTCACACGGTTAGAAGGCAGTCCCACAATAGGCTGTCTGCCAGGTAGGGAAAGAGAGAAGCTAGTAGTGGCTCAGTCCAAGTCCAAAAGCCTCAAAACCAGGAAAGCCCGCAGTGCAGTCTTCAGTATGAGGCCGAGGGCCTGAGAGCCTCGGGGAAGCCGCTGGTGCAAGTCCCAGAGTCCAAAGGCATAAGAACCTGGAGTCTCATGTCCAAGGGCAGGAAGAAGGGAAGCAAGTGTCCTGCACGGGAAGAAGAAAAAAAGAGAGCCAGAAGCTTCAGCTAGCAAGGTTATCCCACCTTCCTCCGCCTGCTTTATTCTATACAGTGCAGCGTATGTACACCACTTCTGTGATATTGTTCCTAATATCCATGGGAAGAAAGAGTGATGTTACTCCCAATAGCGTATGGGGGTGTACATCCCTTGTGATATTATTCCTAGTATGCAGGGGCAGGGAAAGGATGACATTACTCCCAATATCGCAGAGGGTGTACTCCCCGCCTTGTGATATTGTTCCTAACATTTAGGGGATAGTGGGTGATATTACTCCCAATATCACAGGGGGTGTGCACCCCCCGTGGTATTCTTCCTAATATCCAGGGTGGGGGGAGAGGTTTATATTACTGTCAATGTCACAGGGGGTGTACATCCTCCCGTGGTATTGTTCCTAATATCTGGGGGGGGAGAGGATATTACTGTCACTATCACAGGGGGTGTAGACCCCTTCAGTGATATTTTTACTAATATCTGGGGGGGAGAGGATGATATTACTGTCAATATCGCAGGGGGTGTACACCCCCCGTGGTATTGTTCCTAATATCCGGGGGGGGAAGAGGAAATTACTGTCAATATCACAGTGGGTGTACACCTCTTCTGTGATATTGTTCCTAATATCCGGGGGGAGAGGATATTACTGTCAATATCGCAGGGAGTGTACAACCCTTCTGTGATATTGCTCCTAATATCCGGGGGTGGGAGAGGATATTACTGTCAATATCGCAGGGGGTGTACACCCCTTCTGTGATATTGTTCCCAATATTCAGGTGGGGAGAGGATCATATCACTTTCAATATCGCCAAGTGTGTACATCACCATTGTGATATTGTTCCTATATTTAGGGGATAGTGGATTACATTACTGTCAATATCGCAGGGGGTGTGCACCCCCCCATGGTATTGTTCCTAATGTCCAGCAAGGGAGAAAACACTACTACTTCCAATATGGCAGGGGGTGTACACGTCCTATGGGATACTGTTCCTATATCCATGGGGGAAAAGGATATTGGGAACAATATTACAAACAATATCACAGGGGGGTGTACATGTCCTGAGATATGAGGAGTAATATAACCCTCTCCCCCTCTAGATATTACAAACTGTATCACAGAGGGGTGTAAAGCCCTGCGATGTGGAAAGTAATATCATCTTCTCCCCCACTGGATATTACAAATAATATCACAGACGGTGTACATGTGAGGTGTTTACGATATTGGGAGTAATATCATATCCCCCAGTGGATATTATGAACAATATCACAGAGGGGTGTATACACACTCTGCCTTATAGGGAGTAATATACTCCTCTCCCACCCTGGATATTACAAACAATATCACAGAGGGTGTACACACAGGGTGTTTATGGTATTGGAAGTAGTATTATCTCCCCCATGGATATTACTAATAATATCACAGGGGTGTGTACATCCCCTGTGATACAGGGAGTAATATCATCCTTTCCCAGCCTGGATATTACAAACAATATGGCAGGAGGCAGTACACCCTGGCGATATGGGTAGTAACATCATCTCCTCCCCGCGTGGATATTATGAACAATATTCTAGGGGGTTGTACACCCCCTGCAATATGGGGAGTAGCATCATCCTCTCCCCCACTAGATATTATAAACAATATCACAAGGGGGTGTACACTTCCTGTGATAAAAGGAGAAATATAATTCTTTCCCCCAGAGATATTATGAACAATATCGCAGGGAATTGTTCTCCCATGCTATATGGGGAGTAACATCTTCATCTTCCCCCTGGATATTACGAAAAATAATGCAGGGGAATGTAAATCCCCTGCGATATGGGGAGTAAAATCATTCTCTCTGGCCAGGAGCGGTGGCTCACACCTGTAATCCCAGCACTTTGGGAAGCCGAGGCGGGCGGATCACGAGGTCAGGAGATCGAGACCATCCTGGCTAACATGGTGAAACCCTGTCTCTACTAAAAATACAAAAAATTAGCCGGGCGTGGTGGCGGGCGCCTGTAGTCCCAGCTACTAGGGAGGCTGAGGCAGGAGAATGGTGTGAACCTGGGAGGCGGTGCTTGCAGTGTGCCAAGATCAGGCCACTGCACTCCAACCCGGGCGACAGAGCAAGGCTCTGTCTCAAAAAAAAAAAATCAAATCATTCTCTCCCTCCCTGGATATTATGGACAATATCACAGGGGAGTGTACAATGAGTTTCTAGAATGTATTTGAGGAGGGTGACGGGCGGTGTGTGCATGCTTCATGGCCTTATTCAATTAAACACTCTGCTCTCAATTTATTGCTAAATCCTCCTTGAGCCCTTAGATTTCATAACGGTTGTCGCGACATTTTTCTGGATGTAGAAAACTTTCCCATTTCTTGCCACCTCATGGGCTACACCTTGACCTAAAGTTTTTATGTAGATACTTGTGCTTACTCTGCAGCCTTTTCAGGGTTTGCTGAAGATGGAGGTATTTAGGCTGGGCAAGAGGTGGTGAGGTAAATTGGGGTTTATCGATTATAGAACAGCCTCCTTTAGAGGGATATAAAGCACCGCCAAGTCCTTTGAGTCTTAAGCTGTTGCTTGTAGTGTTCTGGCGAACAGTTTTGTTGATCTAACTATTCGAGTTTAGAGTTAAGCAGAGCGGGGTATCTACTCCCAGTTTGGATCTTAGCTATTTTGTCTTCAGAATATTAAAGGCACCTTCGTAGTTATTTCAGCTGGGGTTTTTTTACAACTTTTTTACAACTTATTTAGAAACTTTCAGGTTTCTAAATATATGAATGAACCATAATATAAGCCTCGGCCAATACATTGCTGGTTAGGCCTCCTACTGTAAAAAGGAAAATAAATCCCCGGGCTCACAGCATTGCGGGGGATCATTTGATATTACCGCCGTGAAGTGTAGCTAGCTAGTCAGCTAAAAACTTTGACGCTAGTAGGAATAGCAATAATTATAATAGCAGAGGTGAAGCAGGCTCATGTATCCACATCTATCCCTACCGTAAATATACGGTGGGCCCATACAATAAACCGTAAGGACCCAACTGATCCTATAGCTCACACTAGGCCCATATACCTGAATGGTTCTTTTTTTCCCAGAATAGTATGTTACGACGTGGGAAATTATCCCAAAGCCCAGTGGGATGAGGATGTAGACTTCAGGGTGACCAAAGAATCTGAATAAATGCTGAAATAAGATAGGATCACCTCCGCCAGCCAGGTAGAAAAAAGTAGTATTAAGATTGCAGTCAGTTAACAATATACTGATGCCGGCGGCTAGGACTCGGAGACAAAGGAGTAGAAGAACTGCTGTAATTAGGACTAATCAGATGAAGAGGGGTGTGTGATATTGGGACATGGCTGGGGGTTTTATATTAACAATTGTGGTAATAAAGTTAATAGCCCCTGAAGTAGAAGAAACACCTGTCAAGTGGAGTGAAAAGATAGTGAAATCTACAGAGGCGCCTGCATGTGTTAGGTTTCCTGCTAAGGGAGGAGAGACTGTTCAGCCGGTTCCAGTGCCGGCTTCTACTATAGTGGATGCAAGTAATAAAAGGAAGGAGGGTGGGAGGAGTCAGAAGCTCATATTATTTATGCAGAGAAATGCTATATCGGGGGCGCCAATTATCGGGGGACTAATCAGTTGCCAAGACCTCCAATTATAGTATTACTATAAAGAAAATTATGACAAATGCATAGGCTGTAACAATGACATAAATTTGATCATCTAGTAGAGTTCAGCTCGAATAAGGCTTAAAGCTGTACTGACTATCCCTGCTCATGTGCCAAATAATAAATATAATGTCTCGATATCTTTATGGTTGGTTGAGAATAGTCAACTGTCAGCCAACATAAATGAAGTGAGAAAAAAGGGTAAAATGACTGAGTAGGGCATTAGACTGTACATCTAAAAACAGAGGTCAACGCCTGTTTTTACCAGTCCCAAGGTGATTTTATTGTTGAATTGTAAATTCAAAGAAGCAGCTTCAATACTGCTTCTCTCACCTTTTTTCCCCCAGCGGCTGGAGAAGTAGATTCAAACCAGTTGACTAGGGAGTTTAGCTGTTAAGTTTTCATGGGTTTAAGTCTCATCAATTTAGTAAGGACTTAGCTTACTTAAAGTGATTGATCTGTATTCAATTGACCAAGGGTGTTCTGTATCTGAGAAAGTACATTTCAGGGTCACCATACAACAACTGTTCAAAAAGGCCTCCAATATGGGACAGTCCTATTTATTATCTCAGAAATATTCCTCTTCGCTGGATTCTTTTGAGCATTCTACCATTCTAGCCTAGCCCCTACTCCAGAATTAGGAGGGCATTGACCCCCAACAGGTATTTCTCCCCTTGACCCCCTGGAAGTACCTCTCCTGAATCCATCTGTATTACTTGCATCAGGAGTTTCAATTACTTGAGCCCATCACAGCCTAACAAAAAATAATCAAAAACATACAATCCAAGCACTACTTGTTACAATTATATTAGATATTTACTTCACCCTCCTACAAGTCTCAGAATACTTCAAAGCTCTCTTTGCTATTTCTGATGGTATTTATGGCTCAACATTTTTTTATAGCTACAGGCTTTCACAGAATTCACGTCATTATTGGATCAACATTCCTCAGTCTGCCTTCTCCGCCAATTAAAATACCACTTTACATCTAGTCATCACTTTGCCTTTGAAGCCGCTGCCTGATATCGACACTTTGTAGATGTAGTATGACTATTCTTGTATGTTTCTATTTATTGATGAGGATCTTACTCTTTTAGTATAAATAGTACCATGATTTCCAAAGTTTTGATAGCATCCGAAAAACAGTAATTCACCTAACATTAACCCTAGTAATCAACACCCTATTAGCCCTGTTACTAATAATTATTACATTTTGGCTCCCACAACTTAATATATATATGTAGAGAGAGAGAAAAATATATATATATATGTATAAAATAAATATATATATATGTATAAAATAAATATATATAGAAAAATCTAGCCCTTATGAATGCAGATTTGACCCTCTATCCTCTGCCCACATTCCCTTCTCCATAAAATTCTTTCTAGTAGCCATCACATTTCCCCTATTTGAGTTAGAACTCGCCCTACTACTACCCTTACTGTGAGCCCTTCAAACAATCTGATACTAATAATCCCTGCGATATGTGTAGTGACTTCATACTTCACCCCCCCCCCCGGATATTACGGCCAATATCAGAGTGGAGTGTGCACCCCCTGCAATATGGGGAGTGATATCATCCTCTCCCCACTGGATGTTATGGACAATATCACAGGAGGTTTACTTTCTCTGGGTTATGGGGAAAAATATCCTCCTGTCCCCGCCTGGATGTTAGACATATTTAGAGGGGGGTGTCCACCCCCTGTGATATGGGGAGTAGTAATATCCTCTCCTGCCCTGGATGTTATGGACAATATATAGGGAGATATACAATCCCTTCGATATGGGGAGTAATATCATCCTCTTCCCCCTAAACGTTACGAACAGTATCACAGGGGGGTGTACACCCCCTGCAATATCTGGAGTAGTATCATCCCCTTCTTCCCTAAATGTTACAGAGACTATCACAGGGGTGTGTACACCTTCTGAAACATGGGAATAATATTCTCTTCCCCTCTGGATGTTATTATGGACAACATTACAGCCGTGTGCACCCTCTATGATATGCAGAGTAATATCATCCTCTCCCCCCCGGATGTAAGTGACAATACCACAAACGGGTTTACATCCCCCGTGATATGGGGAGTAATATCATCCTCTTTCCCACTGGATATTAACAATATCACTTGGGGTGTACAACCCCTGTGATATTCTGGATAATATCTTCTAATCCACTGAAAATTATAAACAATATCACCAGTGTACACTCCCTGTGATATTGGAAGTAATATCATCCTCTAATCCCCTAAAAATTATGAACAGTATCACAGGGGAGTGTATACTTCCTACTATATTGGGAGTAATATCATCCTGTCGTCTTCTAAATATTATGAACAATATTACAGGGGATGTAACACTCCCTGCGATATGTGGAGTAATATCATCCTCTCCTTCCCTAAATATTGTGAACAATATCACAGGAGGTTGTACACAATCTGCGATATTGTTTGTAGTATCCAGTGGGAAAGAGGATGCTATTACTCCCCATATCACAGGGGGTGTACACCCCCACTGTGATATATTCAATAACATCCAGAAGTAATATTACTGACAAAATTGCAGGGGGTGTAAACCCCACCTGTGATAACGTTCCTAATATCCCTGGGAAGAGAGGATGATATTATTCCCAATATTGCAGGGAGTGTACACCCACCCTATGATATTGTTATTAATACCCAGGAGGGGAGACAATGGTATTACTCACAGTATCAAAGAGGTTGTACAGCCCCCCTGTGATAGTTTCTAATATCCAGGGGGTGTATACCACCCTTGTGATATTGTTTCTAATATGTAGGGGGAAGGACAATGATATTACTGTCCGTATCACAGGGTGTGTACAACAAGCCCCCCGGGATATCATTCCTAATATCCATGGGAAGAAAGAATATTATAATATCACAGAAGTTGTACACCCCCTCTGTGATATTGTTCCTAATATCAAAGACAGAAGGGTATGATGTTCTTCCCAAAATCACAGGAAGTGTATACACACCCTGTGCTATTTTTCCTAATATCGAGAGTGAGAGACAATGATACTTCCAATATCGTAAGGAGTGTACACTCTCCCCGTGATACCAGGTGGGGAAATGTTGATATTACTCCAAATGTCACAGTGGGTGTACACACGTTTTGTGATATTGTTCCTAATAGCAAGTGGGGAGGAGGATTGTATTACTCCCACCATATTACTCCCCACACCCCATTATACTGTTCTTAATATCCAGATTTGGAGAGGATGATATTACTCCCAAAATCTCAGGAGGTGTAGACCCCTTCTGTGATACTGTTTCTTATATCCAGGGGAAGACTAGATGATAGTACTCCCAACAGTGCAGGGTGTTACACGCCACCCCCCATGATATTGTCTCTAATATCAAGTTGGGGAGAGGGTGATATTGCTCCAAATAGTGTAAAGGGTGCACACCAGCACTGTGATATTATTCCTAGTATCCAGAGAAGGAGAGAATGGTATTATTTTTAATATCACAGAGGGTGCACACCCCCCTTGTGATACTGCTCCTAACATCCAAGGGGTAGAGGATGAAATTACTCCCAATATCACAGTGGGTATACACCCCCCGTGGTATTGTTCCTAATATCCAGGGGGTATAGGATGATAGTACTATAAATATCGCAAGGGGTGTACACCCCTTCTGATATTGTTACTAATATCCGTGGGGGGAGTCGATGATATTACTTCCAATATCACAGGGCATGTACACCCCCCTTGTGATATCGTTCCTAATATCCATGGGGGAAAAGGATGATATTACTCTAAATGTCGCAGGAGGTGTAAACCGCCCCTGTGATATTGTTCTCAATATCCATGGGGGGAGAGAATGATATTACTCCCAATATCACAGGTGGTGTACACCCCTCCTGTTATATTATTCCTAATATCCAGGTTGGGAGAGAATAATATTACAGGTAAAATAGCAGGGGGTGTACACTCCGCCTGTGATATTGTTCCTAATATCTCGGGGAAGAGTGGACAATATTACTCTCAATATCGCAGGATGTGTACACCCCCTTTGTGATATTGTTCCTAATATCCATAGGGGGAGAGGGTGATACCACTCCCAATAATGCAGAAAAGGTACAGCCCCGCTGTGATATCATTCCTAATATCCAGAGGGGACAGGATGATATTACTCCCAATATCACAGAGGGCATACACTCCCTCCCCAT
The DNA here is from genome assembly GCF_000001405.40 of Homo sapiens. Lineage (NCBI taxonomy): Eukaryota > Metazoa > Chordata > Mammalia > Primates > Hominidae > Homo > Homo sapiens. Next base: position 286,308 of record NW_021159991.1, on the reverse strand, counting down.
GATATTGTTCATAATACCCAGGGGATAGAGGATGATATTACTCCCAATATCGCAGTGGGTGTACAACCACCCTGTGATATTGTTCCTAATATCCATGTGGAAAGGGTATAAAGTTACTCCCAATATCACAGGGGTTGTACAACCCCCTTGTGATATTGTTCCTTATATTCGGGGGAGAGACAATGATATAGCTGTCCATATTGCAGGTGGTGTACAACCCCCTGGGAATTTGTTCCTAATATTCAGTGGGGAAGATGATATTAATTAAAATGTCACGGGGGGTATACAACCCCTTTGTGATATTATTCCTAATATCCAGGGAAAGAAAGAATATTATTCCCAATATCGCAGGGGATGTACACCCCTCTCTGATACTCTTTCTAATATCCCTGGGGGGAGTCTATAATATTACTGGCAATATCATAAGGAGTGTATACCCCCCGTTATATTGTTCCTTATGTCCAGCAAGGGAGAAAATATTAATCCCAATATGGAACAGGGTGTAGACACCCATGAGTTATTGTTCCTAATATCCAGGGAGGGAAAGGATGATATTACTCCCAATGTTGCAGTGGTGTATAACCCCCCGTGATATTGTTCCTAATATCTAGGTGGGGAAAGTACAGTATTACTCCCAATATAGCAGGGGTTGTACACCACCTTTGTGATATTGTTCTACATATCCATGGGGAAAGAAAATGATAGTACTCCCCAATATCACAGGTGGTGTACAACCCCTTGTGATACTGTTTCTAATATCCATGTTGGGGGAGGATATTATTCCCAATATTGCACGTGTTGCACAGACCCCCTTTGATATTGCTTGTACTATGCAGGGTGTGGGGGGAGAGGATGATATTGGGAGTAATATCACCCTCTCTCCCCGGATATTAAAAGCAACATTCAGGGTGGTCGACACTTCCTGCAATATTGAGTATAATATCCTCTCCCAACCTGGATATTAGGAACAATATCACAGGGGCATGTACACTCCCTTCCTTTCACCATATACAAAAATCAACTCAAGATGGATGAAGGACTTATGTAAGACCCAAAACTATATAAACCCTAGAAGAAAACTTAGGAAATATCATTCTGGACATAGGCGCAGGCAAATATTTCATGATGAAGATTCCAAAAGCAATTGCAACAAGAAGAATTGACGAGTGGGACCTAATGAAACTAAAGAGCTTCAGCACAGCAAAAGAAACTATCAACAGAGAACACCCTACAGAACAGAAGAAAATATTTTCAAATTACATATCTGAAAAAGGTCTAATACTTAGCATGTATAAAGAATCAATAAGCAAAAAACAAACCCACTACAAATAGGCAAAGAACATGAACCCCCACATCCACCATCCTCAAGTCCATGTGCAACTTCTTTCTGGATGCTGGACAAGGACTTGGGTACCAAGAGGGCACTGAACGGGTTAACACTTAAGCCGTCTGTGGATTCTTTTTTCAAAAGACAACGTATGTATGGCAAACAACCATATGAAAAAATACTCAACATCACTAATCATCAGAAAATCAGAACCATGAGATACCATATCACACCGGTCAGAATGGCTATAATTAAAAAATCAAAACATAACAGACGGTGCCGAGTTTGTGGAAAAAAGGGAATGCTTATACACTGCTGGTGGTGATATAGAAAGGAGACAGGGAAATGCTGGGTAGAAGAGAGTGGTTCCCTGGCAAAGCCCTGCCCACAAGCCTGGAAACCCATGGCCCTAAATGGGAACAGGCATTCCTGCTTTTGCACCCAAAAGTTGTCTTTCAGCTCACCATGCACCCCCTGTCCTGTACCCATATATGCCCCAGACCCCAGGCTCCAGAAGCAGACAAGCAGATGAGGAGATGAACAGAAGAGCAGAATTGCAGAATGATGTGGCAGAAAGAAGAGAAGGAGCATCTGAATGCCAAGAGGAGTTTGGCTGGCAGTGGTTGGAGAGATCAGCCTCTGGATGGCAAAGCTCCCGGGGAAGATCATCTTCCCATTCCATCCCCTTTCCAGCTTCCCATCCATCCCATTGAGTGCCACCTCCACCACTCAATAAAACCCCCACATTCACCATCCTCAAGTCTGTGTGCAACTTAATTCTTTCTGGATGCTGGACAAGGAACTGGGTACCAAGAGCGCACTGAACAGGTTAACACTTAAGCTGTCTGTGGATGGCAAAGCTAAAAGAGTGCACTGTAACACATGCCCACTTGGGCTGTGGGAGTCGCAGGAACCCACCCCTAGACAGTACCATGGCCACTTGCCCTGCCTATTGCACCTGCCTGTCTGCATGCTTCCCTGCCCAGTAAGGGGTTTGACAGCACACACGGTGGCCAGACAAGCCACACCCCTGTTGCACATCCTGCCAAGGGGAGTCAGGGAAGTCTCCAGTTTCATCAGGAATGTAAATTTGTTCAGCCATTGTGGAAAGCAGTTTGGAGATTTCTGAAATAACTTAAAACAGAACTACCATTCAACCCAGCAATCCCATTATTGGGTATATACCCAAAGGAATATAAATCATTCTGTCATAGACATATGCACGCATATTTTCATTATAACACTATTCACAATAGCAAAGACACGGAATCAACTTAGATGCCTGTTAACAGAAGACTGGATTAAAAAAATGCAGCGTACATACACCATGGAATACTACACACCTATAAAATAGGATGAAATAATGTCTTTTGCAGCAACATGAATGGAGCTGGATACCATTATTCTAAGTGAATTAATGCAGGAACAGAAAACCAAACAAACACTGCATGTTCTCACTTATAAGTGGGGGCTAAACATTGAGTCCACATGGACACAGAGAAGGGAACAATAGACACAAGGTCTACTGTGGGTGGAGGGTGGGGGTAGAGTGAGGATCAAAAAACTCCCTATTAGATACTACGTTCACTACCTGGATGACTACGTAATCTGTACACCAAATCCCATTGACACACATTTTACCCACATAATAAACCTGCACATGTACCCGCTGAACCTAAAATAAATGTTGGAAGGAAATAAAGTTACAACCAACTCTTGTACTATTGTGAGGAAACAATCATATGTGTTGACAAAAAAATCAGCTACTAATAGATTTATAATAGTATATATGTAGCAGAAAAATATCAGATATAACTTATATACCCAAAAGTATGACTTAAAAACAGCATGACAATCTTTATGATGGGATATTGTGCAACTACTAGAAGCACATTTTCAGAGATTATTAACATATGATAATGACTACATTGAGTGGTTTTTAGAAGCATGAATTGAAACCATGTATAAGCATGACTTTATTGAACTTAAATATAACATTACACACACATTTACATAATTATAAAATAAGTATGCTCATGTTCATAATATGTATTTATTTATATTCATATGTAAGGCCAATAGGAAGTAATCTCTGTATCTGAGTTATTATTTCATAAATAATTTATGCTTGTTCTGTGAAAATAAAAACACTGCTATGGATCTTCCAAGTATCCTGAAAGGATACCGTTTATAATTAAACAATAACAATTTTAGAAATAATTATTTTAAATAAGGCTATGATAAATCTGGTTTCATTGCACACTTTAACTTTGGAACATTTCATGAAACGTCCCTTGATCACGACTCTCATATTCAGGAGTTTTTTGAGATCAAAATGGGACAATCAGTATGAATCTATTTTTTAGACATGCAAATGGATAACTTTAAATAGCAGTAGCGATATAATCAGAGTGCACAGTTGCTCTGGGACAAAACTTGGAAATGAGCATATTTTTAGATTCTTAATGTTTTACACACTTTAGCATTCCACAGCACCATTACATACTCATTTTTCTACTAGAATACCTTGGTAAAAATTCACAGTAGAGATCAGGCTTGTCCTTCATACATTAACTAATCAAGTAGGAAAGTGCAAATGAGAACACAGTGCCAAACATAGGCACCACATGGAAACAAGCATGGAACTGCCAGGAAGCCATTTTTGTAGATTTGTAGCCCAATTATATTTTTCCTAATGTATTGCACACAAAACTTGGGGGAAAAAAAAGAGGCAGAGAGAAAACAGGTTATATCAGCCCTATCTCACAATCCACAAGTTCATCCTGTTAGAGGAGTAACTATGTAAAACAAATTTTATCTGTTGAATGTCCTATTTAGTTAATCGCAAAACTGTATGAGAACACACTTGTGACTTATTTAGCAGCTTGTTTGTTCGCTTTCCACTGGCTTCACAAATGTCCTTTGGAAATAGAATGTACATTTGGAACCTTGTACACCTTTTCTTTCTCCAGTACCCTCTTGTCACTTCCATCACTAAGGTGACAGAAGCAACTAGGGGCAATGCATTTGTAGCACACCTGGGTCAGAGGTATCCTCCAGGGGAAGGATCAGACCTGCTTGAAAGCATGTCGTTGGAATTGGGAGGCTTCTAGTAGCTATAACATAAGCACTGATGTTTACTCTTCCCTGCCCTCCACTTTGATCACTCTGGGAAACGTTTTTTTTTCTTAAAAAATCAATTGTATTGAAAGATAATTTACATAAAATAAATACTATTTTAAAGTGCACAGTTTGCTGAGTTTTGCCAGATGTAACCATCCAGGTGAATAAAATTGATTAAACTGATCTTTCAAATAATAAATTAACTTTGCAATCTTGCTAGAAATTTAATTTGTTCACAGTTTATTATCCATTCTATGTACTGCTACATTCAATTGGTTATTATGTTTTAAGGACTTTTGAGTCTATGTTTATGAGGGATAAACATCAAAGTTGTATAATGCCTTTGTCTCGATTTGGAATCGGCAATACTGGGTTCATAAAATAAGATAGGAAATGTCCCTTTAAATTTTCTTTTTCTTTTTTTTTTTTTTTTTTTTGAGACGGAGATTCACTCTTGTTGCCCAGGCTGGAGTGCAATGGCACAATTTCGGCTCTCCACAATCTCTGCCTCCCAGATTCAAGCTATTCTCCTGCCTCTGTCTCCCGAGGAGCTGGGATTACAGGTAAGCGCCACCATGCCCTGCTAATTATGTACTTTTAGTAGAGATGGGGGTTTCTCCATGCTGGTCAGGTTGGTCTCAAACTCCTGACCCCAGGTGATCTGCCCGTCTTGGCCTCTCAAAGTGCTGGGATTACAGGTGTGAGCCACTGTGTCCGGCCCTTAAATTCTATTTCTTAAAAAGAGTCCGTTCAAGATTGATGTTATAGATACTCCTCAACTTACAATTGTTTTATGTCTTAATGAACTCATCCTAAATTGAAAATATTGTAAGTCTAAAACGCATTTAATATATTTAACCTACTGAATATCATGACTTAGCCTCGCCTACCTTAAACTTGCTCAGAACACTTACATTATCCTACAATTGGGCAAAATCATCTACCACAAGGCCCATTTTAAAATATTGAGTTTCTCATGAAATTTATTGAAAACTATACTGATAGTGAAAAACTGGTCATATTGATGCTCATCATTAACGTACACAGATGAAAGCACCATTATCAAGTAAGAAGAGCACAAGTCAAACCACTGTAAGTTGAGGACTCTCTGTACTTTCTTAAATGTTTGATAGAATTCACCTGAGAAAGCATGTAGCCTGTAATTATAGAAATCTTTTTAAATTAAAAAAATTCTTCAATACATAGAGAAGCTATTACTTTTTCTATTTCATTTTGCATTAGTTTTAAGAATTAGTTTTACAAATAATTTCCCATGTTATTTTAATTGTCAAATGTATTGGCCTAAAGTTTTCATAATTATATTGATGTCTGTAGGTTCTGTAGTTACATCCTCTATTTAATTCCCATTATCTACATTATGTAGCTTCTCTAATTTTTTTCGAGATAAATCTTGCTAGCCATTGTTTATTAAAAAAATTTTTTTCAAAGAACCAATTTGTGGGTATATTAATTAGCTCCACCTTTTGTTATTTGCTATGTTGTTGGTTTACATTTTTATCTTTATCATCTTCCTTCTTCTTAATTTGGATATACTTTGCTTATTTTTTAGCCTCTTAAAAAAGAACTTAAAGGTCATTGATTGAAGCCTTTTATTTTCAATATATTACATCTATAAATGTACCTTTAAGAAACGATTTATCTGCATCCCACATTTTATTAAGTTTTTAAAAAATTTTATTTCAGTTTAAACTATTTTTTTTGTGTGTGAAACTTTTCTTGGCCAATGGGTTTTTCTGAAGTATTTTGTTTAATGTTCAAATGTTGGGGTGTTATTGTACATATCCTACTGTTGTCCATCTCTGGTTCATGATACAATGCATGTTCTCCATTGCACTTAGATAACATGCCTCCATGTCTCTGGAGAATTCCTCAGTCTTTCTAAAATGCTTTTGATGAATACTGGCCGTTATTTTGTAGAATGTCCTGCCTCAATTTCAGTTAGTCTGATGTTTTCTCACGGTTAGGACTAAAGTTATACATTTTGTCTAAGAATACCATAGAATTGATGTTTTGTCCTACTCAGTGCATCATATAAGAAATTACATGAAGTTCATTTATCTTATTATTAGTAATGTTAACTATGATCACTTGGCTAAGTTGACATCTCCACTTTGAAGTTACTATTCTATAATTATCTTGTGGGAAGATACTTTCATATTATGCAAATATGTTCTTTCCCAACATATATTCACCACTAATCTTAGCATTCCTCCAAGGTTCTTTCTTGCAACAATTATTACTATGATATTTGCAAAGTGATGATTCTTATATTTTATGTCTCCTACATTTAATGAAATCTTACTGTAATAAAATACTACCCACTCTCAATCTTTGGTTTATTATTTATGTCAATATGGATTTTTTTTTTGAGTTGGAGTCTTGTTTTGTCATCCAGGCTGGTGTGCAATGGTGCGATTTCCGCTCACTGCACTTCCACCTTCCGGGATTCAAGCCATTCTCCTGCCTCAGCCTCCGGAGTAGCTGGGACTACAGTCATGTGCCACCATGCCCGGCTAATTTTTGTATTTTCAGTAGAGGCAGGGATTCACCACATTGGTCAGGCTGGTCTTGAACTCCTGACCTCAAGTGATCTGCCCGCCTCTGCCTCCCAAAGGGCTGGGAATACAGGCATGAGCAACTGCACCTGGCCTGGATTAATTGAAAATTTTCTCCTGTAGATTGTAATATATTATTATTGTTATCTATTTTATTGCCCCAATTTTCTCAAATTTGGCTATGGAAGTTTATTCAAAGTGGATCTGTTTCCCTTTCACATTTTCCCCATTTTGTGAGCATTTCCTTACTTCCTAACATGACAAAATATTTCAAACTAATCTTGTATTTTCCCTGCCCAATCCTGATATCAAATATGTCCCCAAGGAGCCTTGGTTCCTTTAATTGGAGAATGGTGTTCTCATTGTTACTGGGATGATGTTGTTTCTAGGCCCTTTTGTTAGAGGAGCTAGAAAATATATGTATGTATACTCACACATTTATACACATCTGTACTTATTTATACAATTATCCATCTGTACGTATACTAAAAACAATGATTTCATGAAACTTTTGATCCCAATCCAACACTAGATAAAGACTATATAGGCCCATTTATTTGCAAATCAGCACATAAACATAGAAGAATTATTAACAATATAAGCTGTAGCTTATGCTAAATGTTGGTTGGAACAGACAATAAGTTATGGAGAACTTCAGAGGACACTAAGGTTGGATGGGATTTTGGAAGTTGTACAGGTCAATGCCACTCCATCTATTGGCGAGTTTCACTAGGTTAATACATGAACAACAACAAAAATAACCTAGATCAGAAGTTAAAGGTCATTTTATTGACTATCTGCCGTGTCTGTGCCATTGCAGTGTACTAGGTGCACTTACGAGTCCTCTACTTACAAACTGCTTTTCACAAAATATGAAACTCCAGGCAAAGGTTCAGACATATGACGTTTGTTTTTAAAATCTTTCTACAGCCTTGTATCCTTTTTCCTTTCCTTCCTTTTACCCTTTTTAAAATGTGTTATGAGTTTTATCTTAGACTAACATCATCTGTAATGTTGCTATACGCCAGTATTCAGTTGCTGTGTTTGATGAATCATAAAATGGTGTAAAACTTCAATTAATGTACTTTTTAAATAAAGTATCTATGAATGCATCCAGCAAAATGTTTATGATTTGAGTATTCACACAATATTACTTTTCTCTGGATCTAACAATAATGTGAAAACGCAAAATGAATATAAAATATTAGCTAATAATAGATTTCAAAGTATTGTACAAGTATGAAAAATATATGATATTGTTACTTTCATATATGTAAAACATTAATAATTTTTGTCAACATAAACATCATCTTTACACCTAAACTTGTATTAATTCAATTAAGAGTTAATATAGTATCCTAAAGTCATCAAATATTCAAAAATAGGATGTATTCTGAGTTGGAATATACATAAAATTAACTATTTTCAGCTGAGCAGAGTGGCTCATGCCTGTAATTCCAGCACTTTGGGAGGCTGAGGTAGGCAGATTGCTTGAGATCAGGAGTTTCAGACCAGCCTGGCCAACATGGTGAAACCCTGTCTCTACCAAAAATACAAGTTAGCCAGGCATGGTGGAACCTGCCTGTAATCCCAACTACTCTGAAGGCTGAGGCAGGAGAATCACTTGAACCCAGGAGGCAGAGGATGCAGTGAGCCAAGATTGCGCCACTGCACTCCAGCCTGGGTGACAGAGTGAGGCTCCATATCAAAATAATAATAATAATAATAAGAGTAATAATAATAATAACAATATTCTGTGAGTCCAAAGATAAAATAGCATTACAAAATACCTAATAATCCTGAGTTTGGTTTTCTTGGTTTTATTTTTTCATTTAGTTTTGTTCACTTTGACCAGTGGGCTGGTGGTTCTTAGGTGCACCAAGGTTTTCATTTTTCAGTTCAAGATTTTAAAACCTTAATGTGGTAATTTCTCTAATTTTTTTGACAGTTACGTCCCAGGTTGCAAGTTAAAATAAAATTCCCATTTTACTAAAGTCCTTGGTTTATTAATTATTTTATAATGACTTAATATATAATTTAATAAGTAATGAGGGGTACTACATTTCAGAAATCAACACTGAAGAACTTATTCATGGAACCAAACACCACCTGTTTCTCAAACACCTATTAAAATAAAAATACATATAAATAATTTCTAAAAATAAACACTAAAAATAAAGTGAAAATGAAAAAATATATATCCAGGTTAAAAAAAAAACTACTTCAGTTAAACAATAAATACTTTTTGGGGGGACTCTACTGCAAAATTATTCGTTGTTTATTATAATCAATAATACAGGTAAAAGAATAAGTTTTTAAAAATGGAAAAATTGTAAAAAATAAAACGATATTAACAAATATTGGTATACTGGTGAAGGCCGGGCTCAGTGGCTGCTTTCCAAAGTGGTTACACCAGTCGGGCATGGTGGCACACACCTGTAATCTCAGCACTTCCGGAAGCTGAAGCAGGCAGATCACTTGAGCTCAGGAGTTTGACACAAACCTGGGCTACATGACAACACCCCATTTCTACCAAAAACTGTAAAAATCAGCTGCACATGATAGCATGCACCTGTAAGTCCCAGCTACTTAGGAGGCTGAGGTGAGAGGATCACTTGTGCCTGGAAGGTCACAGCTGCACTGGCCATGTTCATGTCACTGCACTCCAGCCTGTGCAACAGAGCAAGATTTTGTCTCAAAAAAAAAAGTTGGTGACAATTGGAATAATTGGAACTCACATACATTACTGGTGGGAACATAAAATGGTGTAATCAATTTGGGTGTTTTCTTGGCATTTGATTTTTTTAAAAAATCAAGACATTGTTTCCCTATGTTGCCCAGGGTTGTCCTGAACTCCTGAGCTAAGAAAATCCTCCAAACTCAGCGTCTCAAATACCTGAGATTAAAGGTGTGAGCCACTGTGCCTGACCAGTGTAACCACTTTGAAAAACAACGTGGCAGTTTCTCAAAGACTAAATGTATAGTAATCACATAATGCAACAATTTCACTCCTGAGTGTAAATCCAAGAGAAATAAAAATATATGTTCACACTAAAACTTACGTACGAGTGTTCATAGCAGCCTGACTCATGATGGTGAATACGCAAAAACAACACAAATGTCCATCAACTAATGAATGGATAAACATACGTACCCTATGAACATGGGGTACGTAGGAGGTAGTGGCTAAGAGGTGAGGGTTTCTCACTCATAAGTGGGTAACTCACAAGTGGGTAATCACTTCTAAGAAAGACTGTGGTGATGGATGCACAGCTCCTTGAATATTCTAAAAACCACTCAATTGTATACTTTCTTTTTTCTTTAGTTATTTAAAGACAGGGTCTCCTTTTGTTACCCATGCTGTAGTGCAGTGGTGCCATCTGGTCTCACTGCAACCTATGGCTTCCGGGCTCAAGTGATCATCCAGTCTCATGTCCCCAAGTAGTTGGGACTACAGGCATGAGCCACCACACCCAGCTAATTTTTGTATCTTTGCTAGAGATGCTGTTTTGCCATGTTGCCCAGGCTAGTCGCAAACTCCTGAACACAAGCGATCCACCTGCCTCAGCTGCCCAAAGTCTTAGCGTTATAGGAATTAGCCACTGCACCTGGCCTGAATTGCGTACTTTGATAAATGAATTGCATGATACGTTAATCATATTTCAATAACGTTATTATTTTAAAAATGGCTGGGCATGGCGTGGTGACTCACGCCTCTGATCTCAGCACACTGGGAGGCCAAGGTGGGTGGATTGCCTGATTTCAGGAGTTCGAGACCAGTCTGGCCAACATACTGAAACTCTGTCTCTACTAAAAATACAAAAATATTAGCTGAGAGTGGTGACATGGGCCTGTAATTCCAGCTAGTCGGGAGGCTGAGGCAGGGGAGTTGCTTGAACCAGGGAGGTGGAGGTTGCAATCAGCTGAGATCACACCACTGCATTCCAGCCTGCATGACAGAGTGAGAGTCCGTCTCCAAAAGAAAGAAAGAAAAAGAAAATGGGCATTGAACACAGGTGGCTCCCACCTACATATAATCCAAGCACTTTGGGAAGCTGAGGCAGAAGGATCACTTGAGGCCAGGAGTCTGACAACATCCTGAGCAACACAGCAAGATCCCATCTGTACAATAAAAAATAAAGAAGTTAGCTGGGCATAGGGGCAAATGTATGTAGTCCCAGCTACTTGGGAGGCTGAGGTGGGAGGACTGTTTGAGTCCGGGGTTTCAGGCTGCAGTGAACCATGATCATGCCACCGCACTGCAGCCTGGGTGACAGAACAAAACCCTGTCTCTAGAAAAAAAAAAAAAGAAATCCAAGTTTTTATCACCTTCTGAGAGTAATCAACATTCAGGAGGAACAGAGAAGAACAAAAGACCACTGAATGGTTGAGGGTGGGTTGCTGGTTAGGTTCAGTGGCCAGCTGAGTAGTATCTGAAAAATTCATTAGTAAAATTATGGCACTAGGGGTGAGTCATGCAGTCGAAGGATGAATACTAAATCCAGTACAAACACCCATGGTCTTTCTTTACATGAATTCCATTGAAAAATTTCTAAGTGCCTAAAATAGCAAGCGGTCTGAAATGATGGCAGCAGTTTATTAAAGACTGAAAAAAGAGGCCAGGCACGGTGGCTCACACCTGTAATCCCAGCACTTTAGGAGTCCAAGACCAGTGGATCACAAGGTCAGGAGTTCAAGACCAGCCTGTCCAACATGCTGAAACCCCGTATCTACAGAAAATACAAAGCTTAGCCGGGCATGGTGACATGTGCCTGTAGTCCCAGCTACTTCAGAGGCTGAGGCAAAAGAAATGCTTGAACCCGGGAGGCAGAAGTTGCTGTGAATTGAGATTGTGCCACTGCACTCGAGCCTGGTGACAGAGGAAGATGCTGTCTCAAAAAAAAAAAAAAAAAAAGAAACGGCATCTTCAAGAACCACAAGAACCACAAGAGAGTTCCACGCTGAAGAAGCTCTGATTCTGCATTTGCTGAACTACTGATTTGAGTTAGCCAATATAACACTATCTTAGATAAAGTGTACAAACAACTCAATTTCATCTCCTCATTAATAACTGATTGGTCTAATATCAATTCTGATTTTTAAAAAGCTAATTAGAAAAAGAATTAATTATAGAACCAATAAGAGGTTTGAATAGTTACAAGCTATTCAAAGGAGAATTCAAAAAACCATTCAGGTATGAGGCCATAAAGTATGATGAAATAAATTTCATTAATATATTTTAAAATAAACTGATTAGACAGGCAACAACACCTGGGCACGGGTCTCCTCACCTCCAGCAACACAAACCCAATCGCGCAGCTATGGGGTTGCAAAGGCTGCATAGTGACAAACAGACTGCTCTGAGCTGAGATTTCTTTACTTGTATCTGTATTCTGAGACCGGGTCTCACTCTGTCACTCTGGCTGCAATGCAGGGGTGCACTCATAGCTAACTGCAGCCGTGACCTCCTGGGCTCCGGGGATCCTCTTGCCTCACCCTCACCATAGCTATGGCTACAGATGAACACCAAAACACCCAGCTAATTTTTTTTTTTTTTTTTTGTAGAAAGAGGAGCCTTGCTATGTTGCCCAAGCTGGCCTCAAACTCCCACCCTCAAGAGATCTGCCCACCTCAACAACCTAAGTAACAGGTTCTACAGGAAAATACCACTATGCCGGGATAATTATATTTTATTAATTTTTATTTGCATAGACAGGAGGTCTTGCTGTGTTGCCCAGGGTGGTCTAAAACTCCTGGACTCAAACCATTCTCCCATCTCTGCCTCCCAAAGTGCTGAAGCTACGGGCATAAGCCACTGCACCTGGCCCGACTTAAGATTTCTGTAATCTAGCATCCCATACTTCATATAATTGGGAAAAGCAGTAGTGGTTTTTTTTTAATTACTTACTATTTCAACAAGAATCAACCATCTCTCACCATTGCCAGGGCCCTGGTCAGAACCATTATCATCTCCCACCTGGAGGTTGCCACAGCATGGCCTCCCTGCTTCTACCCAAATCTTCCCACAATCTTTCTCAACTCAGCTGCCATGGGATGCTTTTAAATCAGTAGACAGTTCGCGTCACCTCTCTGCTCAGAACCCTTCCTCATCTCCCATCTCAGACAGAATAAAAACCAAAGCCCCAGCAATAACCTCCCAGGGCTTACACAATCTGCACTGATCTGAGTCCAACAACTCCCTGGCCTCCTTCCCTACTTCTCTCCCTCTCTCTACTCCACAGACCTCTTTCCTGAGCTTCAGACACACCACGGAGTTCCCTCTTAGCATCTTTATTCTGTTGTTTCTGCCTACAATGCTCTTCCCTCAGTACCTTGGCCAGCTCCTTCCCCTCCTTCAAGTCTTTGCTCAATTTTCACTTAGGAGGCCAACCCTGACCACTTTATTTAATATTGCTATCTGTCCCTATTCCTGCCATGCTCACTCATTTCTTTTTTCTTTTTTTTTCTAAGATATAATCTCGCTGTGTCACTCAGACTGGGGTGCCATGGCATGATCACAACGCACTGAGACCTGGAGCTCTTAGGTCAAGAAATTGTCCTGCCTCAGGGCCAGACTTATCGTGAACTGCTGGGCCAAAGAAACCATCCTGCCTCAACCTCCTAAATAGCTGGAATTATAGGTGTGGGCCACCAATTCTGGCTTCATGTTCATTTCTTCTTGCCGCTGTTACAAACTACCCTACATTGAGTGGCTTAATACACCACAAATCTACTAACTAAGAGGTCTGGGGGCCAGAAGTCCAAAATAGGTCTATTAAGGCTAAAGTCAAGGTGCCAGCAGGACTGCATCCCTTCTGGAGGTTCTGGAGAGAATATGTTCCCTTGCCTTTCCCAGTTGCTAAAGCCACTGCTATTCTTTGGCTCATGGCTCCTAACTGCATCTTCAAAGCCAGAAGCAAAGCATATTCGAATCTCCCTCTGTGACCTGTGCTTCCATCATCAAATCTCCTTCAATTCGGACTCTCTTACCTCCCTCTTTCACTTATAAAGACCTCTTGTGATTGCTGGACACAGAGGCCGTGGCTCACAACCATAATCCCAACAGTTTAGGAGGTCAAAGCAGGAGAAACGCTTGAGGCCAAAACTTCAGGACCAGCCTGGGAAACACGGCGAGACCCCCTCAATTAAACAACAAAAAGAAATAAGAAAAAATTAGCTGGGCATGGTAGTATGCATCTGTAGTTTCAGCTACTTGAGAGGTTGTGGTGAAAGGATCGCTTTAGCCCCAGAGTTCAAGACCAGCCTCGGCAATATAACAAGATCCCATCTCTACAAAAAAAAATACAAAAATTAGCTGGGCATGGATGGTGTGCACCTGTAGTCCCAGATGCTTGGAAGGCTGAGGTGGGAGAATTGCTTGAGCACAGGTGGTTGAGACTGCAGTTAACTACAACACCATCACTGCACTCCAGATTGGGTGAAACAGAGACTCTGTGTTCAAAAGAAAAAGAAAAGAAATACACATTTGGTTTCTGCCCCTCATCCTGGCACAGAGCTTCTCAAGCTCTTATAAAGGCCTTGGTGATGAAAGTGATGGGGCATCTTCTGTTTCAATATTTGGTCTTAGTCCCAGGTTTCTAACACAAGAGCCTCTAAGACCTTTGGGATCACCATAGTAAGAATGCATTTGGTGATGTTACTGAGATGACTGGGTGACTGAAAGCTCCTAGACAGCTTCAGAAAAAGGGGTGGTTGTTGTCAGAAGAACAAACCATGTGATTAGAGGCTTGGAACTGTCAGCCTCACCCCCTGGGCTCCAGGAAGAAATAGTGGCCGAAGACTGACTTAATTACCAATGGTCAATGATTTCATCAATCATGCCTGCATAATGAAGCGTTCATAAGCGCCCTTAACAACTGGAGTTGGAGAATGTCTGGGTTGCTGAACACAAGGGAGATACCAGGAAGGTAACATGCACAATAGAGGACATGGAAGTTCTGTACCCCTCTCGACATACCTTGCCCTGTGTGTGTTTTTTTTTTTTTTTGAGACAGAGTCTGGCTCTGTCTCCCAGCCTAGAGTGCCATGGCACAATCGTGGCTCACTGCGAACTATGCCTCCCTATCTCAAGCCCCATCCTCTCATCCTCTCACCTCAGCCTCCTGAGTAGCTAGAATTATAGGCACTGAGTAGCTAGAACTATAGATAACTGTGCCTGGCTAATTTTTAGAAAAATCTTTTTGTAGAGATGCATTTTCACCTTGTTACCCAGGCTGGTCTTAATCTCCTGAGCACTTAAGCGATGCTCCCGCCTCAGTCTCCCAAAGTGCTGAAATTACAGGCATGAGCCACTGTGCCCAGCATGTACATCTCTTTCACTGGCTGTTTCTGAGATTTAGCCTTTAAAATGAACCAGTAAAAGAAAATAAATTGGTGAGATGCAGTGGTTCATGCCCATAATCCCAGCATTTTGTGAAGTTGAGGTGGGAGGATCATGTGAGCCCAGAAATTTGAGACCAGCCTGGGCAACATAACAAGACCCCCCCATCTCTACAAAAAGTAAGAGAACATAGCCAGATATGCTGGTACAGGCCTATAATCTCAGCTATTTGGGAGGCTGAGGTGGGAGGATCACTTGAGCCCAGGAGTCCCATGCTACAGTGAGCTTTGATCACACCACTGCATTCCAGCCTGGCAACAGACTGAGACCCTGTATCTCAGAAAAAAAGAAAACAATCTGTTTTTCTGAGTTCTGCAAGCTGTCCGAGCAAATGATTCCACCCACCAATGGGGGTCATGAAACTCTGTTTTCTAACTGGTTGGTCAAAACTACATGTAACAACCCAAGACTTGCAATTGGCATGTGGAGTGAGGGTAGACTCCTGGGACTGAGCTCCCATCCTGCGGGGTCTGCACTAACTCCAGGGAGTGTCAGGATGGAATTGTGGGATACCCAGTTGGGATCCAGATTGTCTGAAAATCAGTGTAGAAACTCCACATGCACATTTGGTCAGAGGTGTTTGACCGTAACTACTATTCATGAAAAAGGTCTACTCATTAGAACTAAAAATCACAAAATTGTAAGTTCTACAAAAACAAATCAACCTTATCTACCGCCCAGTCCTACTGAACTACAGAATGTGAGAACAGAAGGTCTGACCATGGAGTCGAGAGCTGACAGGAATGTCACCATCATCCTGCTCTCCAAGGACTCCTCATCTTCAACAGACTCCTCATCTTCAATGGGCAGGGTGGAAACTGCAACTTGTGCCATGATCCTTGCACAAGAAAAGTAGTAAGAAAATGAGTGGTAGAAATCCAGTGTCCTAAACTCACATCCGGAGCTGTGAGAGTTTTTTACTGGCTGGATAATTCACAGTTTTCTTGAATCAGGGGAAAAATAAGACTCAGAAACTAGGAGTTTTGCCCAAAACTCTCATCAGATACAGAATCCATCCGCTAACTATCTAGTATTATTTCCATAAGTTAGATCAATTATCACTCCCAAAACAAATGCACATGGCACCCAGAATCTGTGCATTTCTCCCAAGTAAAAGAGGAGGTGGACGGGCGCAGTGTCTCATGCCTTTAACCCCAGCACTTTGGGAGGCCAAGGTGGGTGGATCACCTGAAGTCAGGAGTTCAAGACCAGCCTGGCCAACATGGTGATACCCTGTCTCTACTAAAAATAAAAAAAATTAGCCAGGTGTGGTGGCATGTGCCTGTAGTCCCAGCTTCTTGGGAGGCTGAGGCAGGAGAATCACTTGAACCCAGGAGGCTGAGGTTGCAGTGAGCAGAGATCACACCACTGCACCTCAGCCTGGATGACAGAGTGAGACTCTGTCTCAAAGAAAAAGGAGGGGAGGAAAGGAGGCAAGGCACTTTACAACCCAGTGATGGGCTACCACAACTCAACACAGCAAAGAGTTGCCAAGCTCCCTTTCTCCCGTGCACAACCCGACACAGAAGAGTTGGTGCAGTGGAATGAGGCTGGATGGAGAGAAGTTCCTCTTCTTTCTTTCCTTTTTTTTTTTCTTTTGAGATGGACTCTCGCTCTGTCACACAGCCTGGGGTGCAGTGGTGCAATCTCGGTCCCTGTAACCTCTGCCTTATGGGTTTAATCAATTCTCTGCCTCAGCCTTCCGAATACCTGGGATTAGAGTCACCCCCCCACCACACCCAGCTAATTTCTTTTTTTTTTTTTTTTTTTTTTTTTTTTTTTTTTTTTTAGTGGAGACTGGGTTTCGCTATGTTGGCCAGGCTGGTCTTGAACTCCTGACTTTAGGTGATCTACCCACCTCGGCCTCCAAAAGTGCTAGGATTACAGGCATGAGCCGCTGTGCCCAGCCAAGAAGTTCCTCTTCTTACTTAGAAAACAGATCACAGGGCATCAAGTAACACGTAAAATCCTTTATAATAAGCAGTATTATTTTTGGAAAACCTTTCCTAATATTTTGGTATCAGCAAAAAGCCTCAGATTAATTTCAAACACTATAAAAATACAATACATAAACAGAAAATATTAACTGTCAGCAAGGCTATAGAGAAATTGGAAGCTGTATGCATTGCTTTTTGGAATGTAAAATGGTACAGCCCACTGTGGAAAATGGTTTAGCAGCTCCTTAAAAATATGAAGCATAGAATTATATGATCCATCAACACCCTTTAAGCGTATATACCCAAAAGAACTGAGAGCAGGGACTCAAACAGGTATTTGTACACCCGATTAACAGCAGCATTATTCACAGTGGCCAAAAGGTAGCCCAAACCTAATGCCCATCAGTAGGTGAATAGATAAAGAAAATGTAATATATACATACACAGAGTATTATTCAGCCATAAAAAGAAAAATATCTGGCCAGATTCAGGGGCTTACACCTGTAATCCCAGTATTTTGGGAGGCCAAGGTGGGCAGGTCTCTTGAGCCCCATATTTTGAGACCAGACTGGACAACATGGCACTTTTGGTTAGAAGTGTTTGACCATAACTACTATTCCAGAAAAAGATCTACTCATTAGAACTACAAATCATAAAATTATAAGTTCTACAAAAACAAATCAACCTTATCTACCACCCAGTTCTACCCAATTATATCATATTAGAACAGAAGGTCTCACCGTGGACTTGAGAGCTGATACGAGAAATGTCACCACCATCCTGCTCTCCACGGAATCATCTTCAACAGACTCCTCATCTTCCATGGACTCCTCATCTTCCATGGGCAGGGTGGAAACTGCAACTTGTGCCATGATCCCTGTGCAAAAAAGTAGTAAGAAATTGAATGGTAGAAATGCAGTGTCCTAAACTCACATCCAGAGCTGTGAGAGTTTCTCACCGGCTGCCAAATTGTTTTTTGGGTCAGAGAAAAAAATAAAACTTGGTAACCTGGTACTCGACTTGCCCCAAACTCTCATCAGATAGAGAATCTATCTGCTAACTTTCTATCTAGTATTATTTCCATGAAGTTACATCAATATCACTCCCAAAATAAATCCAGGTGGAAGACTAAATCCAAAGCTAGCAGAAGGAAAGAAATAATAAAGAGCATAATTAGAGCATAAATCAATCAAATAGAAGGTTGGAGAGCAGTAGAATGAAAAAATGTAGATTCTTTGAAAGATCAAGCCTTTCACTATATTGACTGAGCAAAAGATGGAAGACTAATTATTAAAATAATAAATGAAAGCAGAGCCATTACTACCAACTTTACAGAAATACAAAAGGATTATAGGAGTATACTGTGAACAACTGTCTAGCAACAAATTAGGTGCCCTGGATGAAATGGATGAATCGCTAGAAAGACACAAACTACCAAGGTGGCTCAAGAAGAAAGAGAAAATCTGAATAGACCTATAACCTAGGAGATTGAATTAGTAATCGAAAGCGATTAACAAAGAAACATTTATGACCAAATAGCTGCATTAACTGGTGAGTCAACCTAACATTTAAAGAAGAATTAATACCATTTCTTCTCAAACTCTTCTGACAAAATATATGAAGAAGGAATACTTGCTAATTCATTTTTTGATAACAGCATTATCCTTATACCAAAGACAAAGAGAGCACAAAAGAGAGAAATACAGCACTATATCCCTTATGAATATATAAGCAAAAATCTCAGCAAAATACTAGCAATACTAGCAAAATACTAGCAGCAATACTGTATAATCAAAGGATTGTAAACTATCACCCTTTGAGATTTATCCCCAAAATGCAAGGGTGGTTCAACATATAAAAAATCAATCAGTGTAATATGCTGTAACAGTAAAATGAATAAGCACGTGATTATTTCAATTGATGCAGAGAAAACATTGATGAAATACAACACCCTTCTATAATAAAAATACTCAATAAACTAGGCATAGAAGGGATCTTCTGCAACATGACAATGGGATGTACAAAAACCCAACAGTTAATATCATGATCAATGATGAAACACTGAGAGCTGTTTTCCTAATATCTAGAAGAAAAGGATGGTGCATTTGCCACTTGTATTCAACGTAGCACTGGCAGTTCTAGCCAGAGCAATTAGGCAAGACAAAGAAATAAAAGGCATCTAAATTAGAAATAAAAAATAGGTGTAAAATTATATCTACACATGATCTTGTAGGTATAAAGCTCCAAACAAAACACAAAACCGATTATAACTAATAAAAGAGGCAGGATGCAAACAAACATAGGCAAATGAGCTATATTTCTATATAGTTGTAAAGAACTATGAAAACATTTTAAAAATTCCATTTATAATGACATCAAAGAATACGTTATTCAGGCATAAATCTAACCATGGTGGTATACACAAAACATTGCTGCAAAAAACTAAAGAGAGTGGAAATAAGTGGAAAGACATTCTGTGTTCACGGGTTGTAAGACAATATTGTTAAGATGACAATACCATCTAAAGTAATCTACAGATTCAATGCAATACCATCAAAATCCCAAAGGCATTTTTGCAGAAACAAAGAAACTCATTCTAAAATCATACAAAAATTCAAAGGATCTGACAGACAAAACAGTCTTGAAAAAGAACATTGGAAAACTCACATTTTTCAGTTTCACAGCCTACTACAAATCTACAGTAATCAAGAGAGTGTGGTACTGGAATAAGACCAATAGACTTTCAGACAAATACAATAGAACAGATTTGAGATCCTACAAGTTAGTCCTCACATATATGGTCAATGACTGTTCAACAAGGTGGCCAAGTCTAGTCAAGGGAGGAAAGAACAGTCTCTTCAACAGCTGGATGTCAGTGCACAAGAGAGAAGTTAGACCCCTACCTTGCAGTATATACAAAAATTAATTCTAAATTAATAAAAGACTTAAATGTAAGGACTAAAAATATGTAACTCTTAGAAGAAAACACACGGTAAACCTTTATGACCTTTGAGTTTTAAGTGTATTTTGAAATATGACAGAAAAGCACAGATAACAAAAGAAAATACACGAAAATTAGATTTAATCAAAATAAAAAAACCCTTTATGCATCAAAGGATACTATCAAGGGAGTGAAAAGACAACCCATAATATGTGAGAAAATATGTATCTGATAAAATCAAAATGTGTATCTGATAAAAGCTTAATATCCCACAACTCAACAACAGAATTTCTAAGATCCCAATTAAAAAAATAGGCAAAGGACTTGAACAGACATTTCTCCAAAGAAGATACACAAATGTCTAAGAAGGAAAAGAAAAGATGCTAAACACCATTATTCATTAATAAAATGCAAGGCAAAACCCAAATGAGACGCCACTTTGCATCCACTAGTAAGGCTTTCATAACAACGACACAGAAAATCAATGTTGCTAAGGAGGTGGAGAAACTGGAGCCCTCATGAACTGGCTGCTAGGAATAGAAAATGATGCACTTGCTGTGGAAAAGAGTTTGGTGGTTCCTCAAAGAATCACACAGAGAAACAGGCGCCGCTGGCTTGCAGGTTCTCCTGGGCTGGCGCGGGACGTCCCGGAATCGCAGGCGCGCATTCCTTCCCGCCTGAGGGCCCGCCTGGCCGTGACTCCTGCCCCTCTCCTCCTCCGAAGAGAGATCGGGGCCGCCCCAGCGGCCGTCTGCAGCCACCGGGGATGGGGCTGAGGGTCGGTTCCTGCCCCGGTGCAGCCGCCCCTGGGCAGACCGCCTGGCTTGGTCGCAGCCACGGCGACATCTAGCCCCAGTTCTGCGAGGCTGGGCGCGCCAGCCAGCTTGGGAGTCGCCCGGCGCCTGTAGCTGGGTGCCCAGGTGGTGGAGCATGCCCTGGGCCGCCTCTGGATCGCGGGTGCCCCTGGCCTGAGAGCCTGCCAGACCCTGCCCCGGCCCGGCTCCTCCTCTGTCAGAGCTCCAGGTCTCTATCCAGGGGCCCTCTGCAGCCACCGGGGATGGGGCTGAGGGCCGGTTCCCGCCCCTGTGCAGCTGCTGCAGGACAGACCGCCTGGCTTGGCCACAGCCACAGGGACATTTGGCCCTGCTTCCGAGATGTGGGGAGTGTGGGCGAGCTCGGGAGTTGCCTGGAGGCTGCTGCCTGCACGCAGAAGGCGGCTGCAGCTCGGGTGCCCAGGCGGGCTGGAAGTGCATGGCCTGGTCGGCCTTGGGATCGCCAGCGCGCCCAGCCTCAGGGCCCCCAGGCCGTGCCTCCCGACCACTCCTCCACCTGAGGGAGATCGGAGCCGTTTGTATGGGCACTCGGCAGTCACCTCGTGTGGGGTTGAGCGGTGGGTTCTCAGTTCTCGCTCCTGTGCAGCTGCTGCCGCAGGGCAGAATGCCTGGCTTGGCTGCAGCCACTGGGACACGTGGCCCTGCTTCTGTGATGCTAGGAGCGCGAGCGGGCTCGGGGGTTGCCAGGCAGCTGCTGCCTGCACACAGAGGGCGACGGCAGCTTGGGCGCCCAGATGGCGGAGCATGGTTTGGGTGGCCTCTGGAATGCGTGCGCGCCAGGCCTGAGGGTCACCCTGGTGGGGCCACATACCCCGGTCTTCCTCTGCTGGAGCCTGGAGCAGCTGGAATGGCCACTACTCCGTCACAGGGGATAGAGTTAAGTTTTCTTATCCCACCCATGCACACAAAAAGGTGACGATTCTGTGAGGTAATAAACGTGTTAATTGACTACATTCATGCCACTCTGCACCCACAAGTAAGGCTTTCATAACAATGACACAGAAAATAAATGTTGCTAAGGAGGTGGAGAAGTTGGAGCCCTCATGATTTGGCTGCTAGGAATAGAAAATGATGCCCTTGCTGCGGAAAACAATTTGGTTGTTCCTCACAGAATGAGCATTGGGTGAAAAATGAAATCAAGATGGAAATGTAAAAAATTTATTCGAACTGGATGACACAACCTATCAAGACCTCTGGGATACAGCAAAGGCACTGCTAAGAGCAAAGTTTGTAGTCCTAAAAACCTACATCAAAAAGTCTGAAAGAGCACAAACAGACAATCTAAGTTCACATCTCAGGGAACTAGAGAAGCAGGAACAAGCCAAACCCAATCCCAGCAAACACAGGAAATAACAAAGATCAGAGCAGAACTAAATGAAATTGACACAACAACAACAACAACAACAACAAATACAAAACATAAATAAAAGAAAAAGTTGGTTATTTGAAAAGATAAATAAAATTGATAGACCATTAGCAAGATTAACCAAGAAAAGAAGAGAGAAAATCCAAATAACCTCACTAAGAAATGAAACAGGGGATATTACAACTGACACCACTGAAATACTAAAGATTATTCAAGGGTACTATGAACACCTTTTGGCACATAAACTACAAAGCCTAGAAAAGTTGGATAAATTCCTGGAAAAATACAACTCTCCTAGCTTAAATCAGGAAGAATTAGATACCCCAAGCCGACCAATAAAGCAAGCAGCAAGATTGAAATGGTAATTTTAAAATTACCAGCAAAAAAAGCTGAGGGCCAGACAGATTCACAGCAGAGTTCTACCAGACATTCAAAGAATGTCTTCTTTCATTCAAGGAAGAAATGATACCAATCTTTTCATACTATTCCACAAGACAGAGAAAGAAGAAACCCTCCCTTATTCATTCTATGAAGCCAGCATCACCCTAATACCAAAACCATGGAAGGACATAACCAAAAAAGAAAACTACAGACCAATATCCTTGATGAACGCAGATGCCAAAATCCTTAACAAAATACTATCTAACTGAATCCGACAACATATCAAAAAATAATCCACCATGATCAAGTGGGTTTTATACCAATGATATAGGAGTGGTTTCACATATGCAAGTCAATAAGTGTGATACACCAAATAAACAGAATTAAAAAAAATCTAATATGATTATATCAACAGGTGCAGAAAAAACATTTGACAAAATCTAGCATTGCTTTATGATTAAAGCTCTCAGCAAAATAGGCATACAAGGGACATACCTTAATGTAATAAAAGCCATCTATGACAAACCCACAGCCAACATAATACTGAATGGGGAAACGGTGAAAGCATTCCCTTTGAGAACTGGAACAAGACGAGGAGCCTACTCTCACCACTCCTCTTCAACATAGTACTGGAAATCCTAGCCAGAGCAATCAGACAAAAGAAGGAAATAGAGGAAATCCAAATCGGTAAAGAGGAAGTCAAACTGTCACTTGTTGCTGATGATATAATCTTTTGCCTAGAAAACCCTACGGACTCCTCTAGAAACCTCCTAGAACTGATAAAAGAATTCAGCAAAGTTTCCAGATACAAGATTAATGGACACAAATCAGTAGCTCTTCCATACATCAACAGCTACCAAGCAGAGAATCACATCAAGAACTCAACCCCTTTTACAATAGCTGCGACAAACAACAACAACAAAAAAACAAAACTTAGGAATATACCTAGCAAAGGAATCAAAGGACCGCTACAATGAAAATTACAAAACGCTACTGAAAGAAATCATAGATGGAGCCAAGCACGGTGGCACATGCCTATAATCCGAGCTACTCGGGAAGCTGAGGCAGGAGAATCGCTTGAACCCGGGAGGCAGAAGTTGTAGTGAGCCGAGATCACACCATTGCTCTCCCACCTCAGCGACAAGAGCGAAACTCCTTCTGAAAAAAAAAAAAAAAAAAAAAAAAAAAAAAAAAAAAAAAAAACAAGAAAGAAAAGAAGTCATAGATGACACAAACAAATGGAAATGCATCCCCATGCTCATGGATGGGTAGAACCAATATTGTGAAAATTACCATTCTGTTAAAGGCAATCTACAAATTCAATGCAATCCCCATCTGAATGCCACCATCATTCTTCACAGAATTACAAAAACAATTCTAAAATTAATATGGAACCAAAAGAGAGCCATGTAACCAAACCAAGCCTAAGCAAAAAGAACCTGGAGGTATCACACTACTTGATTTCAAACTGTACAATAAGGCCATAGTTACCAAAACACCAACGTACTGGTTTAAAAATAGGAACATAGACCAATGGAACAGAAGAGAGAACCCAGAAATTAACCCAAATACTTACAGCCAACTGATCTTCGACAAAGTAAACAAAAACATAAAGTGGGGAAAGGACCCCCTTTTCAACACATGATGTTGGGATAATTGGCGAGCCACATGTAGGGGAATAAAACTGGATTCTCATCTCTCATCTTATACAAAAATCTACTCAAGATGGATTAAGAACTTAAATCTAATTCCTGAACTATAAAAATTCTAGAAGATAACACTGGATAAACCCTTCTAGACATTGACGTACGCAAGGATTTCATGACCAAGAACCCAAATTCAAATGAAATAAAAACAAAGATTAATAGCTGGGACTTAATTAAACTAAACAGCTTTTGCATGGCAAAAGGAACAGTCAGCAGACTAAATGGACAACTCAGAGTGGGACCCCTGAACCTGACCCTGACCCCTGACCCTGATCCCTAACCCCTGACCCTGACCCCTAACCCCTGACCCTAACCCTAACCCTTAACCGTAACCCCTAAGCCTAACCCCTAACCACAACCCTCACCCTCACACTAATCCAACCCTAACCCCTTATCCCTAACCCCTAACCTCTCTTAACCTCTAACTCTAAACGTTGACTCTTAACTCTTAACTCTGACCCCAACCCCTATCTCCAACCCCTAACCCTAAACTTAACCCCTAACCCCTAACCCTAACACCAACCTTAACCCTAGGTTCGTTACTACGTTTGTACTATGTCAATGTTGATTATTATGATCTCTGTCTTAGGACTGCATGGCAGCAAGGGGATTGCGGATCTTATATTAATATTTTTGTATTGAGGCAGTGCATTAGCATTACAGGTGCTTGTTACATGAGCAATGGGAGTGTCATAATTTGGGTGTCATGTCTGCATTAGGAATGCTGCATTTGTCTTCCGAGTCTGCGGTGTGGATCTCGCACTGTGGCCGCCTCGGCTTGGCTGGGGAGAACCTCGGTTGGCAGGATTCAGAGGGGCTTTTGGTTTCCCTTTTCCACACTGAGCCCTTCTAACTGGTCTCTGGCCCTGATTATTCAGGGCTGCAAAAGGGAAGGATTTTATTCACCGTCTATGCGGTCCCGAGTTGTCCCAAAGCGAGGCAGTGCCCCAAAGGTCTGTGCTGAGGAGAACGCTGCTCTGCCTTAGCGGTGTCCCCCGGGTCTGTGCTGAGCAGAACGCAGCTCCGCCCTCGCGGTGCCCCCGGCCCGCCTGGGTCTGTGCTGAGGAGAACACTGCTCCGCCTTCGCTGTATCTCTGAAGTCTGTGCAGAGGAGAACTCAGCTCCGCCCTGGCGATGCTCTCCTTGGCTGTGCTGGGAAGAACGCAGCTCCGCCCTCGCAAAGGCGCACAGCGCGGGCGAAAGGCGCAGAGAGGCCCACAGCGCCGGGGCAGGCGCAGAGAGGCCCACAGCGCCGGGGCAGGCGCAGAGAGGCCCACAGCGCCGGCGCAGGCGCAGAGAGGCAGAAGGCCCATGAGGGGAAGGTGAGACACCTGGGGCAAAGAAGAAAAAAAAATGCGCCGCGAAGCAGTGTCTGGGTCATCCAGGGACGAAAGTTTTTTCCCATCAGGCCTTGCGCTGGGCCCCAGGGACCCTGGCATCCCTGGTTCACGCCCGGGGTGTGCCTCAGGCGACTAGGGGTACCCCAACTTGGACAGAAGGCCCATGAGTGGAAGTTGAAGTTTGTGGGAGGAGAGGTGAGGCACCAGGGGCAGAAAAAATAAAAAAAGAGGACCGCGTCTCAGAGAAGCGGGGCCTGGGTCCCCCACGGATGAAAGTGCCTTCCCATCAGGCCCTATGCTGGGCCTGGTGGACCCTGGCGACCCTGGTTCGAGCCCAGGGTGCGCCTCGGGACAGCTTGGGGTACCACAAAGCAAAGAAAAGGTCCATGAGGGGAAGGTGAGGCACCTGAGGCAGAGAAAAAAAAAATGCTCAGCCGAGAAGCAGTGCCTGGGTCCCCCACGGATGAAAGTGCCATCCCATCAGCCCCTTCGCTGGGCCCTGGGGACCCTGGCGTCCCTGGTTTGACCCTGGGGTACGCCTCGGGACAGTAGGGGTACCCCAAGGTGGGCAGAAAGCCCCTAAGGGGAAGGTGAGGCACCTAGGGCAGAGAAAAAAAAAAACTTCACCACGGAGAAACACGGCCTGGGAGCCCCACAGACGAAAGTGTCTTCCCATCAGTCCCTGCACTGGGACCCAGGGACCCTGGTGTCCCTCGTTCGAGCTCAGGGTGTGCCTCGGCCGCTAAGTGCACCCCAAGGGGGCTTTGGGGACACAAAACCCGTGAGGGGAAGGTGAGTTTTGAGGGAGGAGAGGTGAGGCACCTGTCACAGAAAAAGAAAAAAAAGAAACCCGCACCGCGGAGAGGTGGGGCCTGGGTACCCCACGGATGAAAGTGCCTTCCCATCAGCCCCTGCGCTGGGCCCCGGGGAACCTAGAGTCCCTGGTTGGAGCTCAGGGAGAGTCTCGGGCCACTAGGGATACCCCAACACGGTGGAAAGCCCATGAGAGGAAGGTGAGCTGTGAGGGAGGAGAGGTGAGGCACTTGTGGCAGAAAAGAAAAAGAAACCGCGCCACGGAAAAGTGGGGCCTGGGTCTCCCATGGAAAAAAAGTGCCTTCCCATCAGTCCCTGAGCTGGGCCACGTGGACCCAGGCGACCCTGGTTCTAGGCCTGGGTGCACCTCGGGCCCGCTAGGTGTACCCCAAAACGGGCAGAAGGCCCATGAGGGGAAGGTGAGGTTTGAGGGAAGAGAGGTGAGGCACCTGCGGCAGAAAAAAAAAAAAACCGTGCGGAAGAGAAGCGGGGCCTGGGTCTCCCACGGACGAAAGTGCCTTCTCATCAGCCCCTGCGCTGGGCCCCCTGGACTCTGGCGACCCTAGTTCAAGGACCAGAAGAGACTCCGGCATGCTAGGGTACCCTAAGGAAGCCAGAAAGCCCATGAGGGGAAGGCGAGATTTAAGGGAGGAGAGGTGAGTCACCTGTGGCAGAAAAATATATATATATATATATATATATCAGCACCTCGGAGAAGCCGGGCCTGGGTCCCCACTGATGAAAGTGCCTTCCCATCAGCCCCTGCGCTAGCCCCGAGAACCTGGCGACCCTGATTGGAGACCCGGGAGCGCCTCGGGCCTGCTCGTGGTACCCCAAAGCAGGCAGAAGGCCAGTGAGGGGAAGGTGAGGCACCAGGGGCGGAGAAAAAAAACCGCAGCTTTGAGAAGCGGGGCCTGGGTACCCACGGATGAAGGTACATTCCCATCAGCCCCTGCGCTAGGCCCCGGCGACCCTGGCATCCATGGTTCGAGTCCAGGGAGAGCCTTGGGCCGGAAGGGGTACCCCAAGTAGAGCAGAAAGCCCATGATGGGAAGTTGACGTTTGAGGGAGGAGAGGTGAGGAAACTGTGGCAGAAAAAAAAAAGAAAACAAGCCGCGCCTAGGAGAAGCTGGGCCTGGGTACCCCAAGGATGAAAATGCCTTCCCATCAGTCCCTGCGCTGGGCCCTGTGGACGCTGGAGACCCCAGTTCGAGCCCCGGGTGCGCCCCGGGCCTGCTAGGGGTATCACAAGGAGGGCAGAAATCCCATGAGGGGCAGTTGAGGTTTGAGGAAGGAGAGGTGAGGCACCTGTGGCAGAAAAAAAAAAACTGCACCACGGAGAAGCGGAGCCTGGATCCCCAACGGAAGAAAGTGTCTTCCCATCAGCCCTTGCGCTGGGCACAGGGGACCCTGGCATTCCTGGTTCGAGACCAGGGTGCGATTCAGGCCGCTAGGGGTACCCCAAGACAGACAGAAGGCCCATGAGGGAAAGGTGAGACACCTGGGGCAGAGAACAAAATAAAAAACTGCGCCCACCAGAAGTGGGGCCTGGGTTCCCCATGGACGAACGTCCCTACCCATAAGCCCTACACTGGGCCCCGGAGACCCTAGCATCCCTGGCTCAAAACAAGGGTGCGCCTCGGGCCGGCTAGGGGTACCTCAAGGCGGGCAGAAAGCCCATGACGGGAAAGTGAGGCACCTGTGGAAAAGAAAAGAAAAAAAAACGCCACAGAGAAGCAGAGCCTGGGTCCCCGAGGAAGAACGTGTCTTATCATCAGCCACTGCGCTTGACCCTGTGGAACCTGGCTTCCATGGTTCAAGCCCAGGGTATGCCTTGGGCCGCTAGGGGTACCCCAAAGCTTGCAAAAAGCACAAGAGGGGAAGGTGAGGCACCTGGGGCAGAGAAAAACAAACACAGCCGCGGAGAAGCGGGGACTGGGTCCTCCAAACGGACGAAAGTATCTTCCCATCAGGCCTCGTGCTGGGCCTCAGGGACCCTGGAGTCCCTGGTTCGATCCCACAGTGCACCTCGGGCCGCTAGGTGTACCCCAAGGCAGACAGAAGCCACATGAGGGGAAGGTGAGATTTGAGGAAGGAGAGGAAAGGCATCTATCGTAGCAAAAAAAAAAAAAACCGCGCAAAGGAGAAGCAGGGAATGGGTCCCCCACAGACGAAAGTGCCTTCCCATCAGGCCCTGAGGGATTGAAACAGAATGAGGAGTGACTAATGTCTACAGAGTTTTTCTCTGGTCGGGGGTGATAAGACGTTCTACAATGGATTGCGAATTAAAATTGAATGTGCACAACCACAGGTATACTAAAAGCCACTCAATTCATGACTTTTAATGGGGGAATCTTATGTGGCGCACTCTCATGGAGACCACGGCAGACATAGTGAGAGAGAAAAAGGTGAGTAAATATCTGAAACGGAGGCAGAAACAGAGAGAATGAAAAGCCCTGTGAATGGAAGGGAGAGCGAAAAGGGAAAATGGTCCTATTTACAAATGACAGATGTGAAACTGGGGTTCACATCAACAGTGTCAATGCCAGGAAGGAGGGTGATGCTAGCCATGTCACGGGCAGTGTGTCCCACAGGGACGCCGACCTGCTGGAGCGTCTTGCCAGCATGGGCTCTGGCAGCCACGTGGGCCAGCAGGAGGGTCCCGCTGCACAGCTGTGGGGTGAGGATAGACTGGGTGGTGATATCGGCCATGACAGGGGCCTCTTCTGCTGGCAAGAGTGTGCCAGTAGCAAGTAGATGGACAGGCCTGCGTGTGAGGACGGAATGCAGGAGGGGCTCTTGTGAGGCTGGGTGTGGGGCCCTCACGGGAACCGTGGAGTAATGGCCAGGTAACTGCGTCATGTGGGCTAGTAGATTGGCCAGGACTTCGAACTGAAGGACAATAACGGGGAGTAGCTGTCAGGCCCTGGGAGTGTCTGAGTGTAAGTGGAGATGGGTTTTGTGTCACTGAGGGATGCGTGGGAGCCATCCCTGCATAGGTACAGGTCATAGGGAGATACTCTCGTGAGGCCTGTGAGTGTCTAGGGTTGTCCTGGGTGCCTGGGGCTGACTGTGGCAGAAATCTGGGGAAGGCTGGAGAGAAGCTGGGAGACCCAGGAGAGTCCCTGAAGGCAGGGGGTGAAGAGGTGAAAGAAATGGTGGAGGGTTGCAGTAAGGTCCGTGAGTTTGTAGGTGATTCCTGGGTGCAGGAAGCTGACTCCAGGTGATATCTGGAGATGGTTGGAGAGTAGCTGAGAGAGACAGAAGAGTCCCTGAGGGCTGGGGGTGAGAACATGAGGGAGACTGGGGAGTAAGTCAGTGAAATTCGTGAGTTCGGTGGTGTATCGTGGGTGCCTGGAACTGACTCCAGCTGGAATCTAGAGAAGTTTTGAGAGTAGCTGAAAGAGACACGAGAGTCCCTGTGGGCTGAGGGCAAAGACCTGAGAGAGACCAGGGAGGACCTCAGTGAAGTCTGTGAGTCCGTAGGTGATTCTGGAGTGTGGGAGGCTGACTCCCGCTGAAATCTGGGCGTGGTGGGAGAGTAGCTGGGACAGACAGGAGAGTCCCAGGGGGCTGGGGGTGAAGACATGAGAGAGACTGGAGAGTAACTCAGTGAAACTGCTGAGTTTGTAGGTGATACCTGGGTGCCTGGAACTGACTCCCGCTGAAATCTGGGCATGGTTGGAGAGTAGCTGGGACCCACCGGAGAGTCCCTGAGGGCTGGGGGTGAAGACATGAGAGAGACCGGGGAGTAACTGAGTGAAACTGGTGAGTTTGGTGGTGACTCCGGGGTGTCTGGAACTGACTCCAGCTGCAATGTGGGCGTGGTTGGAGAGTAGCTGGGACAGATGGGAGAGTCCCTGAGGGATGGTGAAGACATGAGAGAGACTGGGGAGTAACGCAGTGAAATTGGTGAGTTTGGTGGTGATTTCTGGGTGCCTGCAACGGACTCCCACTGAAGTGTGGGCGTGTTTGGAGAGTAGCTGGGACAGACAGGCGAGTCCCTGAGGGTTGGAGATAAAGACGTGCTAGAGACTGGGGAGTAACTCAGTGAAAGTGGTGGGCTTGGCGGTGATCCCTGGGTTCCTGGAACTGACCCGCGCTGAAATGTGGGCGTGGTTGGAGAGTAGCTGGGACAGACTGGAGGGTCCGTAAGGGCTGGGGGTGAAGACGTGAGAGAGACTGGCCAGGATCTCACTGAGGTCTGTGAGTTTGTAGGTGTTTCTGGGGTGTGGGGTACAGACTCCCGCTGAAATGTGGGCGTGGTTGGAGAGTAGCTGGGACAGACAGGAGAGTCATGGGTGGCTGGGGGTGAGCTGCTGGATGATGGCAGTAAGAACATATGGTATATTATTGATGAATGAGGTGACTGTGAAGAATCTCCAGAGGAGGACACGGGAGAACACAATGACATGAGTGACTGTCCTGCTTGGTTAGGAAATGGAAACGTAAAGCTGTGGAATTCTGTTGATGATGGATGTGAGAGTGGTGAAGCCCTGCGGGATGATGTAGAGTACTTCCACATCCCTGGTGAGGAGCTGCCCCTTGGGTCTGAGTTTCTGGGAGGGGAGAGGGAGAAGCTGGGTGAGGCAGGCATGAATCTTGAGGAGTCAGGGCTGGGGGACCGCTCATATTCTCCCGAGACCTGTGAGTCTCTGGGGGACTCCTGGGTGCATGCGACTGAATCCCGCAGGAACCTGGGGATGGCTGGATAGTAACTGGGAGCCACGGGAGAGTCCCTGAGGCCTGGGGGTGAAGAGATGAAAGACACAGGGGTGGAGCACCGTGAGGCTCGTGAGTTTGTAGGTGATTCCTGGGTGTGGGGGGCTGACTCCAGCTGAAATCTGGGGTTGTTTGGAGAGTAGCTGGGAGACACAGGAGACCCCCCGAGAGCTGGGGGTGAGCTGCTGGGTGATGGCAGTAAGAACATGTGGTATATTATTGATGAACCTGGGGACTCTGAGGAATCCTCAGAGGAGGACAGAGGAGAGCCCGATGACTTCATTGATTGCCCATCACGGTCAGGACAGGGAAATGGGAGCTTGTGGGATTCTGGTGATGACAGAGGTGAGTGTGGTGAAGCCCTAGGGGATGGTGAATGGTAGCTCCGGATCCCTGGTGAGGAGCTTCCCCTTAAGCCTGAGTTTCTGAGATGGGAGAGGGAGAAGCTGGGTGAGGCTCGCATGGACCTTGGGGAGTCCGGGCTGTGGGACCGTTCATAAGAAGAGCCAGACAAGACCCTACTGTTCTTAGGAGCAGACATGATTAGGAAACCTGCAGCTCCCAGGGGCCCCTACTAATTTTCTAACTCGCAGAAGGAAGGAGTGTGTGTGCGTGTGTGTGAGCGTGTGCGTGTGTGTGCGTGTGTGTGTGTCTGTGTGTGTGCGGTGTGAGGTATGTGCCCCTTAAGAAAATGGAAATCAACCAACCAATGGGACAGACACACAAACAGACAGACAGACAGACAGACAGACAGACAGACAGAGATTCACTTGCCCAAGTGTTCTGTCCTGTCCTCGGAATCCGCTTCCAAGTCGCAAGACGCCGTGAGCTCCAAGTCGACGCAGAGTCCGCCAAAGGCTCCGGCCGCCGATCCCCTCCGCGAAGATCTGAGTACAGGCCAGCCAGGGTGGGTTTAAATAGCCTCCTGCGCAGCCTAGCAGCAGAAAGGGCGGAGCTTCACTCCTCCTTTCCGTCAGTCACCCCCAACTTTCCCAGGCGTAGGAAACTGTTCTCCTGCTTTGATTTCATGCGCCACCTTTGGGACAATCTAAGAACTTCCAAGTTTTCTTGGCCAGATATATTAGGAATTGTATGCACTGAAACACTGTAAACCAACTAGTGGTTCTGTGGTTCTCCACGTTGTGTTTTTGACACCAGCAGCATCCTTGCCACAATCAAACCCCGGAGATCCACAGATCTGTGTTGTAACAAGACCTCCCCCTGACCCTGATGCATGGCAGTTTAAGAAGTCTTTCCGTGTAAGCGAAAAGACTTTGAAGAAAAGGTGGAGATATGCGTTGTATAAACATTCTTTTGCTCTGGAACCACGTGGAGACTTGGGAGCCAGTTGGGTGGAGCATTCGTTGGATGAGGGTGCTCGGGTTCGGAATATCAAGGTGTGGCTCCAGATAATCCAATCATCTAATTAAGATTCCAGTTGTGCTCATCTGTTTTAAAATTCCGTTTGGGTAAATTCTTTTATTCAGACTGAGAATGGCAAAGCCTCAACCCCAATTTCCAGGGAGGGTTGAGAGCCTCAGGTGGAGTTGATCACCAATAGCCTATGGTTTAACCCATCATGCCTATAGAATGAGGTCTCCATAAAAACCCAAAAGGACTGGGTTCAGAGAGGTTCTGGATAACACTTCCTGGAAGGTAGTGCGCCCCTCCCCACATGCCGGGCCCCACATTTATTTCTGAACTTTTTGCAATGTCCGCTAAAATACAACGGCAAATGTAAGTGTTTCCCTGAGTGCCGTGAGCTCTTCCAGCAAATGAATGCAACTGAATCTGGGAGTGGTGGCAACCTGATTTATAGCCAGTTGCTGAGAAGCACAGGTAAAACAACGTAGGGCTTCCCGTTGTTATTAGTGTGGGAGGCCTGCCTGGCGGGACTCGGCCCTTTGGAATCTAATGCTATGTCCCGGTAGATAGCGTCACCATTGAATTAGAAGACACACATATGTTGAGAATAATCTTTCTGGTCATTTGCTGCATGTCTTATTTACAATATGTAATCAAATTCTTTATCCTGACCTTATGGCACCTGGGTTGAGAACCATGATTTGAACCAAACATTGGTCTGTCACTTTCTGAGTTTGAAACTTTATTTTGCCTTTAGCGTTTTGCTATTGCTTTTTCGTTTTCTTTTGTTTCGTTTCGTTTCTAAGTTCTGGGGTGTATGTGCAGGATGGGCAGATTTGTTACTAAGGTAAACGTGTGCCATGGTGGTTTGCTGCACCTGTCAACCCATCACCTAGGTATTAAGCCAAGCATGCAGTAGCTGTTTTCCTTAAGGCTCCGCCTCCCGAAAGGCCCCAGTGTGTGTTGTTCCCCTTCCTGTGTCCATGTGATCTCATTCTTCAGCTCCCATTATAAGTGAGAATGTGGCGTTTGGTTTTCTTTCCCTGGATTAGTTTGCTGAGGATAATGACCACACGTCACCTCTGTTTTTGTTTTTTAGTATAGAGTAGCATTTTATTGAATAAGATTTGCTCACAGAAAAATAGGCTTAAATCTACAATGAATGCCAGACTCTACAGCAGAAAGCAATTTTCTCACTTTTCCACACACAATGGTTCCTACTAAGTGAAAAAAAGCCATAAAATTTCATTCACAAATGTACTAATCTGTCTCAAAACATCTCACATAATCATGCACTGCACTAAAGCCATTAGATCAGTTCTTCAGTGAGGTTAAAGAAGTATCCCTCTAATAACTGACTTTTATAATGCTATCAATATCCACTCCCAATCAGTATGCCATTGTTAATGGTGTACAGCATTACTGTATACAATGGAATTGATGACACCCATATCCACGGACAAACCGTGACTTATGATGGTTTGATTCATGATTTTTCAACGTTATGATGGGTTTATTGGAATATGAGATGCGGTTCTGAGTTACACTGGGTTTATGAGTATGCGACCCTATACTCCAGAAACAGCTGTATAAGGAAAAACAGGTGTACCTAATAAAAATATGCTTAGTGACTTGGGATAAACCAATAGATGTTCACAACTGATGGAGAGCCGTGAAAGAGAGATAGCGGTAAATAGTTACAATAACACAATTTTCCTGCACCTGTCGAGGATTTCCCCAAAAAAACGCAGAATGTGTGATGCACCTAAGGCATATGAAAGAGAGAGGGCAGAAGGAGTAAGAGAGTAATAGGAGGAAGGAAGGAAGGAAGGAAAGAAGGAAGGTAGGAAGGAAGGAAGGAAGGAAGGAAGGAAGGAAGGAAGGAAAGAAGGACGAAAGGAAGGATAAAACACCCGGTGTTACTAAAACCCCCCAAAAATATGGTTTTCCCCTGTGGGTAAGCCTACAATGTGGATGAATCTTGAAAATATTGTGCTACGTGTTATGTCAGTCATAACAGCTCACCTATTGTGCAATTCTGTTTATAGGACATGTCCACAATATGGAAATCTATGCATATGGGGTTGATCGCACTAGGTAGTTGCTACCTAGGGCTGAGGGTCAGGGAGAGGGTTTGAGACAGAATGAGGAGTGACTAATGCCTACAGGGTTTTTCTCTGGTCGGGGGTGATAAGACGTTCTACAACGGATTGCTAATTAAAATTGAATGTGCACAACCACTGGTATACTAAAAGCCACTCAATTCATGACTTTTAATGGGGGAATCTTATGTGGCGCACTCTCATGGAGACCACGGCAGACATAGTGAGAGAGAAAAAGGTGAGTAAATATCTGAAACGGAGGCAGAAACAGAGAGAATGAAAAGCCCTGTGAATGGAAGGGAGAGCGAAAAGGGAAAATGGTCCATTTACAAATGACAGATGTGAAACTGGGGTTCACATCAACAGTGTCACTGCCAGGAAGGAGGGTGATGCTAGCCATGTCACCGGTAGTGTGTCCCGCAGGGACGCCGACTTGCTGGAGCGTCTTGCCAGCATGGGCTCTGGCAGCCACGTGGGCCAGCAGGAGGGTCCCGCTGCACAGCTGTGGGGTGAGGATAGACTGGGTGGTGATATCGGAAATGACAGGGGCCTCTTCTGCTGGCAAGAGTGTGACAGTAGCAAGTAGGTGGACAGGCCTGCGTGTGAGGACGGAATGCAGGAGCGGGTCTTGTGCGGCTGGGTGTGGGGCCCTCACGGGAACCGTGGAGTAATGGCCAGGTAACTGCGTCATGTGGGCTACTAGACTGGCCAGGGCTTCGTGCTGAAGGACAATAACGGGGAGTAGCTGTCAGGCCCTCGGAGTGTCTGAGTGTAAGTGGAGATGGGTTTGGGGTCACTGAGGGATGCGTGGGAGCCATCCCTGTATAGGTACAGGTCATAGGGAGATAGTCTCGTGTGGCCTGTGAGTTTCTAGGGTTATCCTGGGTGCCTGGGGCTGACTGTGGCAGAAATCTGGGGAAGGCGGGAGAGAAGCTGGGAGACCCAGGAGAGTCCCTGAAGGCAGGGGGTGAAGAGGTGAAAGAAATGGTGGAGGGTTGCAGTAAGGTCCGTGAGTTTGTAGGTGATTCCTGGGTGCGGGAAGCTGACTCCAGGTGAAATCTGGAGATGTTTGGAGAGTAGCTGAGAGAGACAGAAGAGTCCCTGAGGGCTGGGGGTGAGAACATGAGGGAGACTGGGGTGTAAGTCAGTGAAATTCGTGAGTTCGGTGGTGTATCGTGGGTGCCTGGAACTGACTCCAGCTGGAATCTAGAGAAGTTTTGAGAGTAGCTGAAAGAGACACGAGAGTCCCTGTGGGCTGAGGGCAAAGACCTGAGAGAGACCAGGGAGGACTTCAGTGAAGTCTGTGAGTCCGTAGGTGATTCTGGAGTGTGGGAGGCTGACTCCCGCTGAAATCTGGGCGTGGTGGGGGAGTAGCTGGGACAGACAGGAGAGTCCCAGGGGGCTGGGGGTGAAGACATGAGAGAGACTGGGGAGTAACTCAGTGAAACTGCTGAGTTTGTAGGTGATACATGGGTGCCTGGGACTGACGCCCGCCGAAATCTGGGCATGGTTGGAGAGTAGCTGCGACACACAGGAGAGTCCCTGAGGGTTGAAGATAAAGACGTGCTAGAGACTGAGGTGTAACTGAGTGAAATAGGTGAGTTTGGTGGTGATTCCGGGGTGCCTGGAACTGACTCCAGCTGCAATGTGGGCGTGGTTGGAGAGTAGCTGGGACAGATGGGAGAGTCCCTGAGGGATGGTGAAGACATGAGAGAGACTGGGGAGTAACGCAGTGAAATTGGTGAGTTTGGTGGTGATTTCTGGGTGCCTGCAACGGACTCCCACTGAAGTGTGGGCGTGTTTGGAGAGTAGCTGGGACAGACAGGCGAGTCCCTGAGGGTTGGAGATAAAGACGTGCTAGAGACTGGGGAGTAACTCAGTGAAAGTGGTGGGCTTGGCGGTGATCCCTGGGTTCCTGGAACTGACCCTCGCTGAAATGTGGGCGTGGTTGGAGAGTAGCTGGGACAGACTGGAGGGTCCCTGAGGGCTGGGGGTGAAGACATGAGAGAGACCGGGGAGTAACTGAGTGAAACTGGTGAGTTTGGTGGTGACTCCGGGGTGCCTGGAACTGACTGCAGCTGAAATGTGGGCATGGTTGGAGAGTAGCTGGGACAGACAGGAGAGTCCCTGAGGGCTGGTGAAGACATGAGAGAGACTGGAGAGTAATTGAGTGAAATTGGGGAGTTTGGTGGTGATTCCTGGGTGCCTGGAACTGACTCCTGCTGAAATCTGGGCATGGTCGGAGAGTAGCTGGGACCCACAGGAGAGTCCCTGAGGGCTGGGGGTGCAGACGTGAGAGAGACCGGGGAGTAACTGAGTGAAACTGGTGAGTTTGGTGGTGACACTGGGGTGCCTGGAACTGACTCCAGCTGAAATGTGGGCGTGGTTGGAGAGTAGCTGGGACAGACAGGAGAGTCCTTGAGGGCTGGGGGTGCAGACATGAGAGAGACCGGGGAGTAACTGAGTGAAACTGGTGAGTTAGGTGGTGACTCCGGGGTGCCTGGAACTGACTCCAGCTGAAATGTGGGCGTGGTTGGAGAGTAGCTGGGACAGACAGGAGAGTCCCTGAGGGTTGGAGATAAAGACGTGCTAGAGACTGGGGAGTAATGGAGTGAAATTGGTGAGTTTGGAGGTGATTCCGGGGTGCCTGTAACTGACTCCAGATGCAAAGTGGGCGTGGTTGGAGAGTAGCTGGGACAGACGGGAGAGTCCCTGAGGGATGGTGAAGACATGAGAGAGACTGGGGAGTAACGCAGTGAAATTGGTGAGTTTGGTGGTGATTTCTGGGTGCCTGCAACGGACTCCCGCTGAAGTGTGGGCGTGTTTGGAGAGTAGCTGGGACAGTCAGGCGAGTCCCTGAGGGTTGGAGATAAAGACGTGCTAGAGACTGGGGAGTAACTCAGTGAAAGTGGTGGGCTTGGCGGTGATCCCTGGGTTCCTGGAACTGACCCGCGCTGAAATGTGGGCGTGGTTGGAGAGTAGCTGGGACAGACTAGAGGGTCCGTAAGGGCTGGGGGTGAAGACGTGAGAGAGACTGGCCAGGATCTCATTGAGGTCTGAGAGTTTGTAGGTGTTTCTGGGGTGTGGGGTACAGACTCCCGCTGAAATGTGGGCGTGGTTGGAGAGTAGCTGGGACAGACAGGAGAGTCATGGGTTGCTGGGGGTGAGCTGCTGTATGATGGCAGTAAGAACATATGGTATATTATTGATGAATGAGGTGACTGTGAAGAATCTCCAGAGGAGGACACGGGAGAACACAATGACATGAGTGACTGTCCTGCTTGGTTAGGAAAGGGAAACGTAAAGCTGTGGAATTCTGTTGATGATGGATGTGAGAGTGGTGAAGCCCTGCGGGATGATGTAGAGTACTTCCACATCCCTGGTGAGGAGCTGCCCCTTGGGTCTGAGTTTCTGGGAGGGGAGAGGGAGAAGCTGGGTGAGGCAGGCATGAATCTTGAGGAGTCAGGGCTGGGGGACCGCTCATATTATCCCGAGACCTGTGATTCCCTGGGGGACTCCTGGGTGCATGGGGCTGACTCCCGCAGGAACCTGGGGATGGCTGGAGAGTAACTGGGAGCCACAGGAGAGTCCCTGAGGCCTGGGGGTGAAGAGATGAAAGACACAGGGGTGGAGCACCGCGAGGCTCGTGAGTTTGTAGGTGATTCCTGGGTGTGGGGGACTGACTCCAGCTGAAATCTGGGGTTGTTTGGAGAGTAGCTGGGAGACACAGGAGACCCCCCGAGAGCTGGGGGTGAGCTGCTGGGTGATGGCAGTAAGAACATGTGGTATATTATTGATGAACCTGGGGACTCTGAGGAATCCTCAGAGGAGGACACGAGAGAGCCCGATGGCTTCATTGATTGCCCATCACGGTGAGGACAGGGAAATGGGAGCTTGTGGGATTCTGGTGATGACAGAGATGAGTGTGGTGAAGCCCTAGGGGATGGTGAATGGTAGCTCCGGATCCCTGGTGAGGAGCTTCCCCTTAAGCCTGAGATTCTGAGAGGGGAGGGGGAGAAGCTGGGTGAGGCTAGCATGGACCTTGGGGAGTCCAGGCTGGGGGACCGTTCATAAGAAGAGCCAGACAAGACCCTACTGTTCTTAGGTGCAGACATGATTAGGAAACCTGCAGCTCCCAGGGGCCCCTACTAATTTTCTAACTCGCAGAAGGAAGGAGTGTGTGTGCGTGTGTGTGCGTGTGTGTGTGTGTGTGCGTGTGTGTGTTTCTGTGTGTGCGGTGTGAGGTATGTGCCCCTTAAGAAAATGGAAATCAACCAACCAATGAGACAGACAGACAGACAGACAGACAGACAGACAGACAGACAGAGATTCACTTGCCCAAGTGTTCTGTCCTGTCCTCTGAATCCGCCTCCAAGTCGCAAGACGCCGTGAGCTCCAAGTCCACGCAGAGTCCGCCAAACGCTCCGGCCGCTGATCCGCTCCGCGAAGATCTGAGTATAGGCCAGCCAGGGTGGGTTTAAATTGCCTCGGGCGCAGCCTAGCAGCAGAAAGGGCGGAGCTTCACTCCTCCTTTCCATCAGTCACCCCTAACTTTCCCAGGCTACACCTGGTAGGAAACTGTTCTCCTGCTTTGATTTCATGCGCCAACTTTGGGACAATCTAAGAACTTCCAAGTTTTCTTGGCCAGATATATTAGGAATTGTATGCACTGAAACACTGAAAACCAACCAGTGGTTCTGTGGTTCCCACGTTGTGGTTTCGACACCAGCAGCATCCTTGCCACAATCAAATCCCGGAGATCCACAGATCTGTGTTGCAACAAGACCTCCCCCTGACCCTGATGCATGGCAGTTTAAGAAGTCTTTCCGTGTAAGCGAAAAGACTTTGAAGAAAAGGTGGAGATATGCGTTGTATAAACATTCTTTTGCTCTGGAACCACGTGGAGACTTGGGAGCCAGTTGGGTGGAGCATTCGTTGGATGAGGGTGCTCGGGTTCGGAATATCAAGGTGTGTGTCCAGACGATCCAATCATCTAATTAAGATTCCAGTTTTGCTCATCTGTTTTAAAATTCCGTTTGGGTAACTTCTTTTATTCAGACTGAGAATGGCAAAGCCTCAACCCCAATTTCCAGGGAGGGTTGAGAGCCTCAGGTGGAGTTGATCACCAATAGCCTATGGTTTAACCCATCATGCCTATAGAATGAGGTCTCCATAAAAACCCAAAAGGACTGGGTTCAGAGAGCTTCTGGATAACACTTCCTGGGAGGTA
Organism: Homo sapiens; assembly: GCF_000001405.40. Lineage (NCBI taxonomy): Eukaryota > Metazoa > Chordata > Mammalia > Primates > Hominidae > Homo > Homo sapiens. The sequence continues at coordinate 246,145 of NW_021159991.1, read as the reverse complement.
GTGCGCCCCTCCCCACATGCCGGGCCCCACATTTATTTCTGAACTTTTTGCAATGTCCGCTAAAATACAACGGCAAATGTAAGTGTTTCCCTGAGTGCCGTGAGCTCTTCCAGCAAATGAATGCAACTAAATCTGGGAGTGGTGGCAACCTGATTTATAGCCAGTTGCTGAGAAGCACAGGTAAAACAACGTAGGGCTTCCCGTTGTTACTAGTGTGGGAGGCCTGCCTGGCAGGACTCGGCCCTTTGGAATCTAATGCTATGTCCCGGTAGATAGCGTCACCATTGAATTAGAAGACACACATATGTTGAGAATAATCTTTCTGGTCATTTGCTGCATGTCTTATTTACAATATGTAATCAAATTCCTTATCCTGACCTTATGGCACCTGGGTTGAGAACCATGATTTGAACCAAACATTGGTCTGTCACTTTCTGAGTTTGAAACTTTATTTTGCCTTTAGCGTTTTGCTACTGCTTTTTCGTTTTCTTTTGTTTCGTTTCGATTCTAAGTTGTGGGGTATATGTGCAGGATGGGCAGATTTGTTACTAAGGTAAACGTGTGCCATGGTGGTTTGCTGCACCTGTCAACCCATCACCTAGGTATTAAGCCCAGCATGCAGTAGCTGTTTTTCTTAACGCTCTGCCTCCCGAAAGGCCCCAGTGTGTGTTGTTCCCCTTCCTGTGTCCATGTGATCTCATTTTTCAGCTCCCATTATAAGTGAGAATGTGGCGTTTGGTTTTCTTTCCCTGGATTAGTTTGCTGAGGATAATGACCACACATCACCACTGTTTTTGTTTTTTAGTATAAAGAGTAGCGTTTTATTCAATAAGATTTGCTCACAGAAAAATAATCTTAAATCTACAATGAATGCCAGACTCTACAGCAGAAAGGAATTTTCTCACTTTTCCACACACAATGGTTCCTACTAAGTGAAAAAAAGCCATAAAATTTCATTCACAAATGTACTACTCTGTCTCAAAACATCTCACATAATCATACACTGTACTAAAGCCATTAGATCAGTGCTTCAGTCAGGTTAAAGAAGTATCCCTCTAATAACTGACTTTTATAATGCTATCAATATGCACTCCCCATCAGTCTGCCATTGTTAATGGTGTACAGCATTACTGTATACAATGGAATTGATGACACCCATATCCACGGACAAACCGTGACTTATGATGGTTTGATTCATGATTTTTCAACGTTATGATGGGTTTATTGGAATATTAGATGCGTTTCTGAGTTACACTGGGTTTATGAGTATGCGACCCTATACTCCAGAAACAGCTGTATAAGGAAAAACAGGTGTACCTAATAAAAATATGCTTAGTGACTTGCGATACACCAATAGATGTTCACAACTGATGGATAGCCGTGAAAGAGAGATAGCGGTAAATAGTTACAATAACACAATTTTCCTGCACCTGTTGAGGATTTCCCCAAGAAAACGCAGAATGTGGGATGCACCTAAGGCATGTGAAAGTGAGAGGGCAGAAGGAGTAAGAGAGAAATAGGAGGAAGGAAGGAAGGAAGGAAAGAAGGAAGGTAGGAAGGAAGGAAGGAAGGAAGGAAAGAAGGAAGGAAGGACGGAAAGAAGGACGAAAGGAAGGAGAAAACACCCGGTGTTACTAAAACCCCCCAAAAATATGGTTTCCCCCTGTGGGTAAGCCTACAATGTGGAGGAATCTTGAAAATATTGTGCTACGTGTTATGTCAGTCATAACAGCTCACCTATTGTGCAATTCCGTTTAAAGGAAATGTCCACAATATGGAAATCTCTGCATATGTGGTTGATCGCACTAGCTAGTTGCTACCTAGGGCTGAGGGTCAGGGAGAGGGTTTGAGACAGAATGAGGAGTGACTAATGTCTACAGGGTTTTTCTCTGGTCGGGGGTGATAAGACATTCTACAATGGATTGCGAATTAAAATTGAATGTGCACAACCACAGGTGTACTAAAAGCCACTCAATTCATGACTTTTAATGGGGGAATCTTATGTGGCGCACTCTCATGGAGACCACGGCAGACATAGTGAGAGAGAAAAAGGTGAGTGAATATCTGAAACGGAGGCAGAAACAGAGAGAATGAAAAGCCCTGTGAATGGAAGGGAGAGCGAAAAGGGAAAATGGTCCTATTTCCAAATGACAGATGTGAAACTGGGGTTCACATCAACAGTGTCACTGCCAGGAAGGAGGGTGATGCTAGCCATGTCACCGGTAGTGCGTCCCGCAGGGACGCCGACCTGCTGGAGCGTCGTGCCAGCATGGGCTCTGTCAGCCACGTGGGCCAGCAGGAGGGTCCCGCTGCACAGCTGTGGGGTGAGGATAGACTGGGTGGTGATATCGGCCATGACGGGGGCCTCTTCTGCTGGCAAGAGTGTGACAGTAGCAAGTAGATGGACAGGCCTGCGTGTGAGGACGGAATGCAGGAGCGGCTCTTGTGCGGCTGGGTGTGGGGCCCTCACGGGAACCGTGGAGTAATGGCCAGGTAACTGCGTCATGTGGGCTAGTAGATTGGCCAGGGCTTCGAACTGAAGGACAATAACGGGGAGTAGCTGTCAGGCCCTGGGAGTGTCTGAGTGTAAGTGGAGATGGGTTTGGGATCACTGAGGGATGCGTGGGAGCCATCCCTGTATAGGTACAGGTCATAGGGAGATACTCTCGTGAGGCCTGTGAGTGTCTAGGGTTGTCCTGGGTGCCTGGGGCTGACTGTGGCAGAAATCTGGGGAAGGCTGGAGAGAAGCTGGGAGACCCAGGAGAGTCCCTGAAGGCAGGGGGTGAAGAGGTGAAAGAAATGGGGGAGGGTTGCAGTAAGGTCCGTGAGTTTGTAGGTGATTCCTGGGTGCGGGAAGCTGACTCCAGGTGAAATCTGGAGATGGTTGGAGAGTAGCTGAGAGAGGCAGAAGAGTCCCTGAGGGCTGGGGGTGAGAACATGAGGGAGACTGGGGAGTAAGTCAGTGAAATTCGTGAGTTCGGTGTTGTATCGTGGGTGCCTGGAACTGACTCCAGCTGGAATCTAGAGAAGTTTTGAGAGTAGCTGAAAGAGACACAAGAGTCCCTGTGGGCTGAGGGCAAAGACCTGAGAGAGACCAGGGAGGACCTCAGTGAAGTCTGTGAGTCCGTAGGTGATTCTGGAGTGTGGGAGGCTGACTCCCGCTGAAATCTGGGCGTGGTGGGGGAGTAGCTGGGACAGACAGGAGAGTCCCAGGGGGCTGGGGGTGAAGACATGAGAGAGACTGGGGAGTAACTCAGTGAAACTGCTGAGTTTGTAGGTGATACCTGGGTGCCTGGAACTGACTCCCGCTGAAATCTGGGCATGGTTGGAGAGTATCTGGGACACACAGGAGAGTCCCTGAGGGCTGGGGGTGAAGACATGAGAGAGTCCGGGGAGTAACTGAGTGAAACTGGTGAGTTTGGTGGTGACTCCGGGTTGCCTGGAACTGACTCCAGCTGAAATGTGGGCGTGGTTGGAGAGTAGCTGGGACAGACAGGAGAGTCCCTGAGGGCTGGTGAAGACATGAGAGAGACTGGAGAGTAATTGAGTGAAATTGGTGAGTTTGGTGGTGATTCCTGGGTGCCTGGAACTGACTCCCGCTGAAGTGTGGGCGTGGTTGGAGAGTAGCTGGGACACACAGGAGAGTCCCTGAGGGTTGGAGATAAAGACGTGCTAGAGACTGAGGAGTAACTGAGTGAAACTGGTGAGTTTGGTGGTGATTCCGGGGTGCCTGGAACTGACTCCAGCTGCAATGTGGGCGTCGTTGGAGAGTAGCTGGGACAGACGGGAGAGTCCCTGAGGGATGGTGAAGACATGAGAGAGACTGCGGAGTAACGCAGTGAAATTGATGAGTTTGGTGGTGATTTCTGGGTGCCTGCAACGGACTCCGGCTGAAGTGTGGGCGTGTTTGGAGAGTAGCTGGGACAGACAGGCGAGTCCCTGAGGGTTGGAGATAAAGACGTGCTAGAGACTGGGGAGTAACTCAGTGAAAGTGGTGGGCTTGGCGGTGATCCCTGGGTTCCTGGAACTGACCCGCGCTGAAATGTGGGCGTGGTTGGAGAGTACCTGGGACAGACAGGAGAGTCATGGGTGGCTGGTGGTGAGCTGCTGGATGATGGCAGGAAGAACATGTGGTATATTATTGATGAATGAGGTGACTGTGAAGAATCTCCAGAGGAGGACACGGGAGAACACAATGACATGAGTGACTGTCCTGCTTGGTTAGGAAAGGGAAACGTAAAGCTGTGGAATTCTGTTGATGATGGATGTGAGAGTGGTGAAGCCCTGCGGGATGATGTAGAGTACTTCCATATCCCTGGTGAGGAGCTGCCCCTTGGGTCTGAGTTTCTGGGAGGGGAGAGGGAGAAGCTGGGTGAGGCAGGCATGAATCTTGAGGAGTCAGGGCTGGGGGACCGCTCATATTCTCCCGAGACCTGTGAGTCTCTGGGGGACTCCTGGGTGCATGTGGCTGACTCCCGCAGGAACCTGGGGATGGCTGGAGAGTAACTGGGAGCCACAGGAGAGTCCCTGAGGCCTGGGGGTGAAGAGATGAAAGACACAGGGGTGGAGCACCGTGAGGCTCGTGAGTTTGTAGGTGATTCCTGGGTTTGGGGGGCTGACTCCAGCTGAAATCTGGGGTTGTTTGGAGAGTAGCTGGGAGACACAGGACACCCCCTGAGAGCTGGGGGTGAGCTGCTGGGTGATGGCAGTAAGAACATGTGGTATATTATTGATGAACCTGGGGACTCTGAGGAATCCTCAGAGGAGGACAGAGGAGAGCCCGATGGCTTCATTGATTGCCCATCACGGTGAGGACAGGGAAATGGGAGCTTCTGGGATTCTGGTGATGACAGAGGTGAGTGTGGTGAAGCCCTAGAGGATGGTGAATGGTAGCTCCGGATCCCTGGTGAGGAGCTTCCCCTTAAGCCTGAGTTTCTGAGATGGGAGAGGGAGAAGCTGGGTGAGGCTCACATGGACCTTGGGGAGTCCAGGCTTGGGGACCGTTCATAAGAAGAGTCAGACAAGTCCCTACGGTTCTTTGGTGCAGACATGATTAGGAAACCTGCAGCTCCCAGGGGCCCCTACTAATTTTCTAACTCGCAGAAGGAAGGAGTGTGTGTGCGTGTGTGTGCGTGTGTGTGTGTGTGCGTGTGTGTGTTTCTGTGTGTGCGGTGTTAGGAATGTGCCCCTTAAGAAAATGGAAATCAACCAACCAATGAGACAGACACACAGACAGACAGACAGACAGACAGAGATTCACTTGCCCAAGTGTTCTGTCCTGTCCTCTGAATCCGCTTCCAAGTCGCAAGACGCCGTGAGCTCCAAGCCCACGCAGAGTCCGCCAAACGCTCCGGCCGCTGATCCGCTCCGCGAAGATCTGAGTACAGGCCAGCCAGGGTGGGTTTAAATAGCCTCGGGCGCAGCCTAGCAGCGGAAAGGGCGGAGCTTCACTCCTCCTTTCCATCAGTCACCCCCAACTTTCCCAGGCTACACCTCTAGGAAACTGTTCTCCTGCTTTGATTTCATGCGCCACCTTTGGGACAATCTAAGAACTTCGAAGTTTTCTTGGCCAGATATATTAGGAATTGTATGCACTGAAACACTGAAAACCAACCAGTGGTTCTGTGGTTCCCACGTTGTGGTTTCGACACCAGCAGCATCCTTGCCACAATCAAACCCCGGAGATCCACAGATCTGTGTTGCAACAAGACCTCCCCCTGACCCTGATGCATGGCAGTTTAAGAAGTCTTTCCGTGTAAGCGAAAAGACTTTGAAGAAAAAGTAGAGATATGCGTTATATAAACATTCTTTTGCTCTGGAACCAGGTGGAGACTTGGGAGTCAGTTGGGTGGAGCATTCGTTGGATGAGGGTGCTCCGGTTTGGAATATCAAGGTGTGTGTCCAGACGATCCAATCATCTAATTAAGAGTCCAGTTATGCTCATCTGTTTTAAAATTCCGTTTGGGTAAATTCTTTTAGTCAGACTGAGAATGGCAAAGCCTCAACCCCAATTTCCAGGGAGGGTTGAGAGCCTCAGGTGGAGTTGATCACCAATAGCCTATGGTTTAACCCATCATGCCTATAGAATGAGGTCTCCATAAAAACCCAAAAGGACTGGGTTCAGAGAGCTTCTGGAAAACACTTCCTGGAAGGCAGTGCGCCCCTCCCCACATGCTGGTCCCCACATTTATTTCTGAACTTCTTGCAATGTCCGCTAAAATACAACGGCAAATGTAAGTGTTTCCCTGCGTGCTGTGAGCTCTTCCAGCCAATGAATGCAACTAAATCTGGGAGTGGTGGCAACCTGATTTATAGCCAGGTGCTGAGAAGCACAGGTAAAACAACGTAGGGCTTCCCGTTGTTATTAGTGTGGGAGGCCTGTCTGGCGGGACTCGGCCCTTTGGAATCTAATGCTATGTCCCGGTAGATAGCGTCACCATTGAATTAGAAGACACACATATGTTGAGAATAATCTTTCTGGTCATTTGCTGCATGTCTTATTTACAATATGTAATCAAATTCTTTATCCTGACTTTATGGCACCTGGGTTGAGAACCATGATTTGAACCAAACATTGGTCTGTCACTTTCTGAGTTGGAAACTTTATTTTGCCTTTAGCGTTTTGCTATTGCTTTTTCGTTTTCTTTTGTGTCGTTTCGTTTCTAAGTTCTGGGGTAGATGTGCAGGATGTGCAGATTTGTTACTAAGGTAAACGTGTGCCATGGTGGTTTGCTGCACCTGTCAACCCATCACCTAGGTATTAAGCCCAGCATGCAGTAGCTGTTTTTCTTAACGCTCTGCCTCCAGAAAGGCCCCAGTGTGTGTTGTTCCCTTTCCAGTGTCCATGTGATCTCATTCTTCAGCTCCCATTATAAGTGAGAATGTGGCGTTTGGTTTCCTTTCCCTGGATTAGTTTGCTGAGGATAATGACCACACATCACCACTGTTTTTGTTTTTTAGTATAAAGAGTAGTATTTTATTGAATAAGATTTGCTCACAGAAAAATAAGCTTAAATCTACAATGAATGCCATACTCTACAGCAGAAAGCAATTTTCTCACTTTTCCACACACAATGGTTCCTACTAAGTGAAAAAAAGCCATAAAATTTCATTCACAAATGTACTACTCTGTCTCAAAACATCTCACATAATCATGCACTGTACTAAAGCTATTAGATCAGTTCTTCAGTCAGGTTAAAGAAGTATCCCTCTAATAAATGACTTTTATAATGCTATCAACATCCACTCCCAATCAGTCTGCCATTGTTAATGGTGTACAGCATTACTGAATACAATGAAATTGATGACACCCATATCCACGGACAAACCGTGACTTATGATGGTTTGATTCATGATTTTTGAACGTTATGATGGGTTTATTGGAATATTAGATGCGTCTCTGAGTTACACTGGGTTTATGAGTATGCGACCCTATACTCCAGAAACAGCTGTATAAGGAAAAACAGGTGTACCTAATAAAAATATGCTTACTGACTTGCGATAAACCAATAGATGTTCACAACTGACGGAGAGCCGTGAAAGAGAGATAGCGGTAAATAGTTACAATAACACAATTTTCCTGCACCTTTCGAGGATTTCCCCCAAAAAACGCAGAATGTGGGATGCACCTAAGGCATATGAAAGAGAGAGGGCAGGAGTAAGAGAGAAATAGGAGGAAGGAAGGAAGGAAGGAAAGAAGGAAGGTAGCAAGGAAGGAAGGAAGGAAGGAAGGAAGGAAAGAAGGACGAAAAGAAGGAGAAAACACCCGGTATTACTAAAAGACCCCAAAAACATGGTTTCCCCCTGTGGGTCAGCCTACAATGTGGATGAATCTTGAAAATATTGTGCTACGTGTTATGTCAGTCATAACAGCTCACCAATTGTGCAATTCCGTTTGTAGGAAATGTCCACAATATGGAAATCTGTGCATATGGGGTTAATCGCACTAGCTAGTTGCTACCTAGGGCTGAGGGTCAGGAAGAGGGTTTGAGAGGGAATGAGGAGTGACTAATGTCTACAGGGTTTTTCTCTGGTCGGGGGTGATAAGACGTTCTACAATGGATTGCGAATTAAAATTGAATGTGCACAACCACAGGTATACTAAAAGCCACTCAATTCATGACTTTTAATGGGGGAATCTTATGTGGCGCACTCTCATGGAGACCACGGCAGACATAGTGAGAGAGAAAAAGGTGAGTGAATATCTGAAACGGAGGCAGAAACAGAGAGAATGAAAAGCCCTGTGAATGGAAGGGAGAGCGAAAAGGGAAAATGGTCCTATTTACAAATGACAGATGTGAAACTGGGGTTCACATCAACAGTGTCACTTCCAGGAAGGAGGGTGATGCTAGCCATGTCACGGGTAGTGTGTCCCGCAGGGACGCCGACCTGCTGGAGCGTCGTGCCAGCATGGGCTCTGGCAGCCACGTGGGCCAGCAGGAGGGTCCCGCTGCACAGCTGTGGGGTGAGGATAGACTGGGTGGTGATATCGGCCATGACAGGGGCCTCTTCTGCTGGCAAGAGTGTGACAGTAGCAAGTAGATGGACAGGCCTGCGTGTGAGGACGGAATGCAGGAGGGGCTCTTGTGCGGCTGGGTGTAGGGCCCTCACGGGAACCGTGGAGTAATGGCCAGGTAACTGCGTCATGTGGACTAGTAGATTGGCCAGAGCTTCGAACTGAAGGACAATAACGGGGAGTAGCTGTCAGGCCCTGGGAGTGTCTGAGTGTAAGTGGATATGGCTTTGGGGTCACTGAGGGATGCGTGGGAGCCATCCCTGTATAGGTACAGGTCATAGGGAGATAGTCTCATGAGGCCTGTGAGTGTCTAGGGTTGTCCTGGGTGCCTGGGGCTGACTGTGGCAGATATCTGGGGAAGGTTGGAGAGAAGCTGGGAGACACAGGGGAGTCACTGAAGGCAGGGGGTGAAGAGGTGGAAGAAACGGGGGAGGTTTGCAGTAAGTTCCGTGAGTTCGTAGGTGATTCCTGGGTGCGGGAAGCTGACTCCAGGTGAAATCTGGAGATGGTTGGAGAGTAGCTGAGAGAGACAGAAGAGTACCTGAGGGCTGGGGGTGAGAACATGAGGGAGACTGGGGAGTAAGTCAGTGAAATTCGTGAGTTCGGGGGTGTATCGTGGTTGCCTGGAACTGACACCAGCTGGAATCTAGAGAAGTTTTGAGAGTAGCTGAAAGAGACACAAGAGTCCCTATGGGCTGAGGGCAAAGACCTGAGAGAAACCAGGGAGGACCTCAGTGAAGTCTGTGAGTCCGTAGGTGATTCTGGAGTGTGGGAGGCTGACTCCGGCTGAAATCTGAGCGTGGTGGGAGAGTAGCTTGGAGAGACAGGAGAGTCCCAGGGGGCTGTGGGTGAAGACATGAGAGAGACTGGGGAGTAACTCAGTGAAACTGCTGAGTTTGTAGGTGATACCAGGGTGCCTGGAACTGACTCCCGCTGAAGTCTGGGCATGGTTGGAGAGTAGCTGGGACCCATAGGAGACTCCCTGAGGGCTGGGGGTGAAGATATGAGAGAGACCGTGGAGTAACTGAGTGAAACTGGTGAGTTTGGTGGTGACTCCGCGGTGCCTGGAACTGACTCCAGCTGAAATGTGGGCGTGGTTGGAGAGTAGCTGGGACAGACAGGAGAGTCCCTGAGGGCTGGAGATAAAGACGTGCTAGAGACTGAGGAGTAACTGAGTGAAATTGGTGAGTTTGGTGGTGATTCCGGGGTGCCTGGACCTGACTCCCTCTGAAGTGTGGGGGTGGTTGGAGAGTAGCTGGGACACACAGGAGAGTCCTGAGGGTTGGAGATAAAGACGTGCTAGAGACTGAGGAGTAACTGTGTGAAATTGGTGAGTTTGGTGGTGATTCCGGGGTGCCTGGAACTGACTCCAGCTGCAATGTGGGCGTGGTTGGAGAGTAGCTGGGACAGACGGGAAAGTCCCTGAGGGATGGTGAAGACATGAGAGAGACTGGGGAGTAACGCAGTGAAATTGGTGAGTTTGGTGGTGATTTCTGGGTGCCTGCAACGGACTCCGGCTGAAGTGTGGGCGTGTTTGGAGAGTAGCTGGGACAGACAGGCGAGTCCCTGAGGGTTGGAGATAAAGACGTGCTAGAGACTGGGGAGTAACTCAGTGAAAGTGGTGGGCTTGGCGGTGATCCCTGGGTTCCTGGAACTGACCCGCGCTGAAATGTGGGCGTGGTTGGAGAGTAGCTGGGACAGACTGGAGGGTCCGTAAGGGCTGGGGGTGAAGACGTGAGAGAGACTGGCCAGGATCTCATTGAGGTCTGAGAGTTTGTAGGTGTTTCTGGGGTGTGGGGTACAGACTCCCGCTGAAATGTGGGCGTGGTTGGAGAGTAGCTGGGACAGACAGGAGAGTCATGGGTGGCTGGGGGTGAGCTGCTGGATGATGGCAGTAAGAACATATGGTATGTTAATGATGAATGAGGTGACTGTGAAGAATCTCCAGAGGAGGACACGGGAGAACACAATGACATGAGTGACTGTCCTGCTTGGTTAGGAAAGGGAAACGTAAAGCTGTGGAATTTTGTTGATGATGGATGTGAGAGTGGTGAAGCCCTGCGGGATGATGTAGAGTACTTCCACATCCCTGGTGAGGAGCTGCCCCTGGGGTCTGAGTTTCTGGGAGGGGAGAGGGAGAAGCTGGGTGAGGCAAGCATGAATCTTGAGGAGTCAGGGCTGGGGGACCGCTCATATTCTCCCGAGACCTGTGAGTCTCTGGGGGACTCCTGGGTGCATGGGGCTGACTCCTGCTGGAACCTGGGGATGGCTGGAGAGTAACTGGGAGCCACAGGAGAGTCCCTGAGGCCTGGGGGTGAAGAGATGAAAGACACAGGGGTGGAGCACCGTGAGGCTCGTGAGTTTGTAGGTGATTCCTGGGTGTGGGGGGCTGACTCCAGCTGAAATCTGGGGTTGTTTGGAGAGTAGCTGGGAGACACAGGACACCCCCCGAGAGCTGGGGGTGAGCTGCTGGGTGATGGCAGTAAGAACATGTGGTATATTATTGATGAACCTGGGGACTCTGAGGAATCCTCAGAGGAGGACAGAGGAGAGCCCGATGGCTTCATTGATTGCCCATCACGGTGAGGACAGGGAAATGGGAGCTTGTGGGATTCTGGTGATGACAGAGGCGAGTGTGGTGAAGCCCTAGGGGATGGTGAATGGTAGCTCCGGATCCCTGGTGAGGAGCTTCCCCTTAAGCCTGAGTTTCTGAGAGGGGAGAAGGAGAAGCTGGGTGAGGCTCGCATGGACCTTGGGGAGTCCGGGCTGGGGGACCGTTCATAAGAAGAGCCAGACAAGACCCTACTGTTCTTAGGTGCAGACATGATTAGGAAACCTGCAGCTCCCAGGGGCCCCTACTAATTTTCTAACTCGCAGAAGGAAGGAGTGTGTGTGCGTGTGTGTGAGTGTGTGCGTGTGTGTGCGTGTGTGTGTGTCTGTGTGTGTGTGGTGTGAGGTATTTGCCCCTTAAGAAAATGGAAATCAACCAACCAATGAGACAGACACACAGACAGACAGACAGACAGACAGACAGAGATTCACTTGCCCAAGTGTTCTGTCCTGTCCTCTGAATCCGCCTCCAAGTCGCAAGACGCCGTGAGCTCCAAGTCCACGCAGAGTCCGCCAAAGGCTCTGGCCGCTGATCCCCTCCGCGAAGATCTGAGTACAGGCCAGCCAGGGTGGGTTTAACACCGGGTGTTTTCTACTTCCTTTCGTCCTTCTTTCCTTCCTTCCTTCCTTCCTTCTTTCCTTCCTTCCTTCCTACCTTCCTTCTTTCCTTCCTTCCTTCCTTCCTCCAATTTCTCTCTTACTCCTTCTGCCCTCTCTCTTTCATATGCCTTAGGTGCATCCCACATTCTGCGTTTTTTTGGGGAAATCCTCCACAGGTGCAGGAAAATTGTGTTATTGTAACTATTTACCGCTATCTCTGTTTCACGGCTCTCCATCAGTTGTGAACATGTATTGGTTTATCGCAAGTCACTAAGCATATTTTTATTAGGTACACATGTTTTTCCTTATACAGCTGTTTCTGGAGTAGAGGGTCGCATACTCATAAACCCAGTGTAACTCAGAAACGCATCTAATATTCCAATAAACCCATCATAACGTTGAAAAATCTTGAATCAAACCATCATAAGTCACGGTTTGTCCGTGGATATGGGTGTCATCAATTCCATTGTATACAGTAATGCTGTACACCATTAACAATGGCAGACTGATTGGGAGTGCATATTGATAGCATTATAAAAGTCAGTTATTAGAGGGATACTTCTTTAACCTGACTGAAGCAGTGATCTAATGGCTTTAGTACAGTGCATGATTATGTGAGATGTTTTGATACAGAGTAGCACATTTGTGAATGAAATTTTATGGCTTTTTTTCACTTAGTAGGAACCATTGTGTGTGGAAAAGTGAGAAAATTCCTTTCTTCTGTAAGGTCTGGCATTCATTGTAGATTTAAGCTTATTTTTCTGTGAGCAAATCTTATTCAATAAAATACTACTCTTTATACTAAAAAACAAAAACAGTGGTGATGTGTGGTCATTATCCTCAGCAAACTAATCCAGGGAAAGAAAACCAAACGCCACATTTTCACTTATAATGGGAGCTGAAGAATGAGATCACATGGACACAGGAAGGGGAACAACACACACTGGGGCCTTTCGGGAGGCAGAGCATTAAGAAAAACAGCTACTGCATGCTGGGCTTAATACCTAGGTGATGGGTTGACAGGTGCAGCAAACCACCATGGCACACGTTTACCTTAGTAACAAATCTGCCCATCCTGCACATATACCCAACAACCTAGAATCGAAACGAAACAAAAGAAAACGAAAAAGCAGTAGCAAAACGCTAAAGGCAAAATAAAGTTTCCAACTCAGAAAGTGACAGACCAATGTTTGGTTCAAATCATGGTTCTCAACCCAGGTGCCATAAGGTCAGGATAAAGAATTTGATTACATATTGTAAATAAGACATGCAGCAAATGACCAGAAAGATTATTCTCAACATATGTGTGTCTTCTAATTCAATGGTGACGCTATCTACCGGGACATAGCATTAGATTCCAAAGGGCCGAGTCCCGCCAGGCAGGCCTCCCACACTAGTAACAACGGGAAGCCCTACGTTGTTTTACCTGTGCTTCTCAGCAACTGGCTATAAATCAGGTTGCCACCACTCCCAGATTTAGTTGCATTCATTTGCTGGAAGAGCTCACGGCACTCAGAGAAACACTTACATTTGCCGTTGTATTTTAGCGGACATTGCAAAAAGTTCAGAAATAAATGTGGGGCCCGGCATGTGGGGAGGGGCGCACTACCTTCCAGGAAGTGTTATCCAGAAGCTCTCTGAACCCAGTCCTTTTGGGTTTTTATGGAGACCTCATTCTATAGGCATGATGGGTTAAACCATAGGCTATTGGTGATCAACTCCACCTGAGGCTCTCAACCCTCCCTGGAAATTGGGGTTGAGGCTTTGCCATTCTCAGTCTGACTAAAAGAAGTTACCCAAACGGAATTTTAAAACAGATGAGTACAACTGGAATCTTAATTAGATGATTGGATTATCTGGAGCCACACCTTGATATTCCGAACCCGAGCACCCTCATCCAACGAATGCTCCACCCAACTGGCTCCCAAGTCTCCACCTGGTCCCAGAGCAAAAGAATGTTTATACAACGCATATCTCCACCTTTTCTTCAAAGTCTTTTCGCTTACACGGAAAGACTTCTTAAACTGCCATGCATCAGGGTCAGGGGGAGGTCTTGTTACAACACAGATCTGTGGATCTCCGGGGTTTGATTGTGGCAAGGATGCTGCTGGCGTCAAAACCACAACGTGGGAACCACAGAACCACTAGTTGGTTTTCAGTGTTTCAGTGCATACAATTCCTAATATATCTGGCCAAGAAAACTTGGAAGTTCTTAGATTGTTCCAAAGGTGGCGCATAAAATCAAAGTAGGAGAACAGTTTCCTACGAGGTGTAGCCTGGGAAAGTTGGGGGTGACTGACGGAAAGGAGGAGTGAAGCTCCACCCTTTCCGCTGCTAGGTTGCGCCCGAGGCTATTTAAACCCACCCTGGCTGGCCTATACTCAGATCTTCGCGGAGCGGATCAGCGGCCGAGCCTTTGGCGGACTCTGCGTGGACTTGGAGCTCACGGCGTCTTGCGACTTGGAGGCGGATTCAGAGGACAGGACAGAACACTTGGGCAAGTGAATCTCTGTCTGTCTGTCTGTCTGTGTGTCTGTCTCATTGGTTGGTTGATTTCCATTTTCTTAAGGGGCACATACCTCACACCGCACACACACAGACACACACACACGCACACACACGCACACACTCACACACACGCACACACACTCCTTCCTTCTGCGAGTTAGAAAATTAGTAGGGGCCCCTGGGAGCTGCAGGTTTCCTAATCATGTCTGCACCTAAGAACAGTAGGGTCTTGTCTGGCTCTTCTTATGAACGGTCCCCCAGCCCGGACTCCCCAAGGTCCATGCGAGCCTCACCCAGCTTCTCCTTCTCCCCTCTCAGAAACTCAGGCTTAAGGGGAAGCTCCTCACCAGGGATCCGGAGCTACCATTCACCATCCCCTAGGGCTTCACCACACTCACCTCTGTCATCACCAGAATCCCACAAGCTCCCATTTCCCTGTCCTCACCGTGATGGGCAATCAATGAAGCCATCGGGCTCTCCTCTGTCCTCCTCTGAGGATTCCTCAGAGTCCCCAGGTTCATCAATAATATACCACATGTTCTTACTGCCATCACCCAGCAGCTCACCCCCAGCTCTCGGGGGGTGTCCTGTGTCTCCCAGCTACTCTCCAAACAACCCCAGATTTCAGCTGGAGTCAGCTGCCCACACCCAGGAATCACCTACAAACTCACGAGCCTCACGGTGCTCCACCCCTGTGTCTTTCATCTCTTCACCCCCAGGCCTCAGGGACTCTCCTGTGGCTCCCAGTTACTCTCCAGCCATCCCCAGGTTCCTGCAGGAGTCAGCCCCATGCACCCAGGAGTCCCCCAGAGACTCACAGGTCTCGGGAGAATATGAGCGGTCCCCCAGCCCTGATTCCTCAAGATTCATGCCTGCCTCACCCAGCTTCTCCCTCTCCCCTCTCAGAAACTCAGACCCAAGGGGCAACTCCTCACCAGGGATGTGGAAGTACTCTACATCATCCCACAGGGCTTCACCACTCTCACATCCATCATCAACAGAATTCCACAGCTTTACGTTTCCCTTTCCTAACCAAGCAGGACAGTCACTCATGTCATTGTGTTCTCCCGTGTCCTCCTCTGGAGATTCTTCACAGTCACCTCATTCATCAATAATATACCATATGTTCTTACTGCCATCATCCAGCAGCTCACCCCCAGCCACCCATGACTCTCCTGTCTGTCCCAGCTACTCTCCAACCACGCCCACATTTCAGCGGCAGTCTGTACCCCACACCCCAGCAACACCTACAAACTCACAGACCTCAGGGAGATCCTGGCCAGTCTCTCTCACGTCTTCACCCCCAGCCCTTACGGACCCTCCAGTCTGTCCCAGCTACTCTCCAACCACGCCCACATTTCAGCGCGGGTCAGTTCCAGGAAGCCAGGGATCACCGCCAAGCCCACCACATTCACTGAGTTACTCCCCAGTCTCTAGCACGTCTTTATCTCCAACCCTCAGGGACTCGCCTGTCTGTCCCAGCTACTCTCCAAACACGCCCACACTTCAGCCGGAGTCCGTTGCAGGCACCCAGAAATCACCACCAAACTCACCAATTTCACTGCGTTACTCCCCAGTCTCTCTCATGTCTTCACCATCCCTCAAGGACTCTCCCGTCTGTCCCAGCTACTCTCCAACCACGCCCACATTGCAGCTGGAGTCAGTTCCAGGCACCCCGGAAACACCACCAAACTCACCAGTTTCACTCAGTTACTCCTCAGTCTCTAGCACGTCTTTATCTCCAACCCTCAGGGACTCTCCTGTGTTTCCCAGCTACTCTCCAACCACGCCCACACTTCAGCGGGAGTCAGTTCCAGGCACCCAGGAATCACCACGAAACTCACCAATTTCACTCAATTACTCTCCAGTCTCTGTCATGCCTTCACCAGCCCTCAGGGACTCTCCTGTCTGTCCAAGCTACTCTCCAACCACGCCCACATTTCAGCTGGAGTCAGTTCCAGGCAACCCGGAGTCACCACCAAACTCACCAGTTTCACTCAGTTACTCCCCGGACTCTCTCATGTCTTCACCCCCAGCCCTCAGGGACTCTCCTGTGTGTCCCAGATACTCTCCAACCATGCCCAGATTTCAGCGGGAGTCAGTTCCAGGCACCCAGGTATCACCTACAAACTCAGCAGTTTCACTGAGTTACTCCCCAGTCTCTCTCATGTCTTCACCCCCAGCCCCCTGGGACTCTCCTGTCTGTCCCAGCTACTCCCGCACCACGCCCAGATTTCAGCGGGAGTCAGCCTCCCACACTCCAGAGTCACCTACGGACTCACAGACTTCACTGAGGTCCTCCCTGGTCTCTCTCAGGTCTTTGCCCTCAGCCCACAGGGACTCTTGGGTCTCTTTCAGCTACTCTCAAAACTTCTCTAGATTCCAGCTGGAGTCAGTTCCAGGCACCCACGATACAACACCGAACTCACGAATTTCACTGACTTACTCCCCAGTCTCCCTCATGTTCTCACCCCCAGCCCTCAGGGACTCTTCTGTCTCTCTCAGCTACTCTCCAACCATCTCCAGATTTCACCTGGAGTCAGCTTCCCGCACCCAGGAATCACCTACAAACTCACGGACCTTACTGCAACCCTCCCCCATTTCTTTCACCTCTTCACCCCCTGCCTTCAGGGACTCTCCTGGGTCTCCCAGCTTCTCTCCAGCCTTCCCCAGATTTCTGCCACAGTCAGCCCCAGGCACCCAGGACAACCCTAGACACTCACGGGCCACACGAGACTATCTCCCTATGACCTGTACCTATACAGGGATGGCTCCCATGCATCCCTCAGTGACCCCAAACCCATCTCCACTTACACTCAGACACTCCCAGGGCCTGACAGCTACTCCCCGTTATTGTCCTTCAGTTCGAAGCCCTGGCCAATCTACTAGCCCACATGACGCAGTTACCTGGCCATTACTCCACGGTTCCCGTGAGGGCCCCACACCCAGCCGCACAAGAGCCGCTCCTGCATTCCGTCCTCACACGCAGGCCTGTCCATCTACTTGCTACTGTCACACTCTTGCCAGCAGAAGAGGCCCCCGTCATGGCCGATATCACCACCCAGTCTATCCTCACCCCACAGCTGTGCAGCGGGACCCTCCTGCTGGCCCACGTGGCTGACAGAGCCCATGCTGGCACGACGCTCCAGCAGGTCGGCGTCCCTGCGAGACACACTACCGGTGACATGGCTAGCATCACCCTCCTTCCTGGCAGTGACACTGTTGATGTGAACCCCAGTTTCACATCTGTCATTTGGAAATAGGACCATTTTCCCTTTTCGCTCTCCCTTCCATTCACTGGGCTTTTCATTCTCTCTGTTTCTGCCTCCGTTTCAGATATTCACTCACCTTTTTCTCTCTCACTATGTCTGCCGTGGTCTCCATGAGAGTGCGCCACATAAGATTCCCCCATTAAAAGTCATGAATTGAGTGGCTTTTAGTACACCTGTGGTTGTGCACATTCAATTTTAATTCGCAATCCATTGTAGAATGTCTTATCACCCCCGACCAGAGAAAAACCCTGTAGACATTAGTCACTCCTCATTCTGTCTCAAACCCTCTCCCTGACCCTCAGCCCTAGGTAGCAACTACCTAGTGCGATCAACCACATATGCAGAGATTTCCATATTGTGGACATTTCCTTTAAACGGAATTGCACAATAGGTGAGCTGTTATGACTGACATAACACGTAGCACAATATTTTCAAGATTCCTCCACATTGTAGGCTTACCCACAGGGGGAAACCATATTTTTGGGGGGTTTTAGTAACACCGGGTGTTTTCTCCTTCCTTTCGTCCTTCTTTCCTTCTTTCCTTCCTTCTTTCTTTCCTTCCGTCCTTCCTACCTTCCTTCTTTCCTTCCTTCCTTCCTTCCTCCTATTTCTCTCTTACTCCTTCTGCCCTCTCACTTTCACATGCCTTAGGTGCATCCCACATTCTGCGTTTTCTTGGGGAAATCCTCGACAGGTGCAGGAAAATTGTGTTATTGTAACTATTTACCGCTATCTCTCTTTCACGGCTCTCCATCAGTTGTGAACATCTATTGGTTTATCGCAAGTCACTAAGCATATTTTTATTATGTACACCTGTTTTTCCTTATACAGCTGTTTCTGGAGTATAGGGTCGCATACTCATAAACCCAGTGTAACTCGGAACCGCATCTAATATTCCAATAAACCCATCATAACGTTGAAAAATCATGAATCAAACCATCATAAGTCACGGTTTGTCCATGGATATGGGTGTCATCAATTCCATTGTATACAGTAATGCTGTACACCATTAACAATGGCAGACTGATTGGGAGTGCATATTGATCGCATTATAAAAGTCAGTTATTAGAGGGATACTTCTTTAACCTGACTGAAGCACTGATCTAATGGCTTTAGTACAGTGCATGATTATGTGAGATGTTTTGAGACAGAGTAATACATTTGTGAATGAAATTTTATGGCTTTTTTTCACTTAGTAGGAACCATTGTGTGTGGAAAAGTGAGAAAATTCCTTTCTGCTGTAGAGTCTGGCATTCATTGTAGATTTAAGATTATTTTTCTGTGAGCAAATCTTATTCAATAAAATGCTACTCTTTATACTAAAAAACAAAAACAGCGGTGATGTGTGGTCATTATCCTCAGCAAACTAATCCAGGGAAAGAAAACCAAACGCCACATTCTCACTTACAATGGGAGCTGAAAAATGAGATGACATGGACACAGGAAGGGGAACAACACACACTGGGGCCTTTCGGGAGGCAGAGCGTTAAGAAAAACAGCTACTGCATGCTGGGCTTAATACCTAGGTGATGGGTTGACAGGTGCAGTAAACCACCATGGCACACGTTTACCTTAGTAACAAATCTGCCCATCCTGCACATATACCCCACAACTTAGAATCGAAACGAAACAAAAGAAAACGAAAAAGCAGTAGCAAAACGCTAAAGGCAAAATAAAGTTTCAAACTCAGAAAGTGACAGACCAATGTTTGGTTCAAATCATGGTTCTCAACCCAGGTGCCATAAGGTCAGGATAAGGAATTTGATTACATATTGTAAATAAGACATGCAGCAAATGACCAGAAAGATTATTCTCAACATATGTGTGTCTTCTAATTCAATGGTGACGCTATCTACCGGGACATAGCATTGGATTCCAAAGGGCCGAGTCCCGCCAGGCAGGCCTCCCACACTAGTAACAACGGGAAGCCCTACGTTGTTTTACCTGTGCTTCTCAGCAACTGGCTATAAATCAGGTTGCCACCACTCCCAGATTTAGTTGCATTCATTTGCTGGAAGAGCTCACGGCACTCGGGGAAACACTTACATTTGCCGTTGTTATTTAGCGGACATTGCAAAAAGTTCAGAAATAAATGTGGGGCCCGGCATGTGGGGAGGGGCGCACTACCTTCCAAGAAGTGTTATACAGAAGCTCTCTGATCCCAGTCCTTTTGGGTTTTTATGGAGACCTCATTCTATAGGCATGATGGGTTAAACCATAGGCTATTGGTGATCAACTCCACCTGAGGCTCTCAACCCTCCCTGGAAATTGGGGTTGAGGCTTTGCCATTCTCAGTCTGAATAAAAGAATTTACCCAAACGGAATTTTAAAACAGATGAGCACAACTGGAATCTTAATTAGATGATTGGATTATCTGGAGCCACACCTTGATATTCCGAACCCGAGCACCCTCATCCAACGAATGCTCCACCCAACTGGCTCCCAAGTCTCCACCTGGTCCCAGAGCAAAAGAATGTTTATACAACGCATATCTCCACCTTTTCTTCAAAGTCTTTTCGCTTACACGGAAAGACTTCTTAAACTGCCATGCATCAGGGTCAGGGGGAGGTCTTGTTACAACACAGATCTGTGGATCTCCGGGGTTTGATTGTGGCAAGGATGCTGCTGGCGTCAAAACCACAACGTGGGAACCACAGAACCACTAGTTGGTTTTCAGTGTTTCAGTGCATACAATTCCTAATATATCTGGCCAAGAAAACTTGGAAGTTCTTAGATTGTTCCAAAGGTGGCGCATGAAATCAAAGTAGAACAGTTTCCTACGAGGTGTAGCCTGGGAAAGTTGGGGGTGACTGACGGAAAGGAGGAGTGAAGCTCCGCCCTTTCCGCTGCTAGGTTGCGCCCGAGGCTATTTAAACCCACGCTGGCTGGCCTGTACTCAGATCTTCGCGGAGCGGATCAGCGGCCGGAGCCTTTGGCGGACTCTGCGTGGACTTGGAGCTCACGGCGTCTTGCGACTTGGAGGCAGATTCAGAGGACAGGACAGAACACTTGGGCAAGTGACTCTCTGTCTGTCTGTCTGTCTGTCTGTCTGTCTGTGTGTCTGTCTCATTGGTTGGTTGATTTCCATTTTCTTAAGGGGCACATACCTCACACCGCACACACACAGACACACACACACGCACACACACTCCTTCCTTCTGCGAGTTAGAAAATTAGTAGGGGCCCCTGGGAGCTGCAGGTTTCCTAATCATGTCTGCACCTAAGAACAGTAGGGTCTTGTCTGGCTCTTCTTATGAACGGTCCCCCAGCCCGGACTCCCCAAGGTCCATGCGAGCCTCACCCAGCTTCTCCTTCTCCGCTCTCAGAAACTCAGGCTTAAGGGGAAGCTCCTCACCAGGGATCCGGAGCTACCATTCACCATCCCCTAGGGCTTCACCACACTCACCTCTGTCAGCACCAGAATCCCACAAGCTCCCATTTCCCTGTCCTCACCGTGATGGGCAATCAATGAAGCCATCGGGCTCTCCTCTGTCCTCCTCTGAGGATTCCTCAGAGTCCCCAGGTTCATCAATAATATACCACATGTTCTTACTGCCATCACCCAGCAGCTCACCCCCAGCTCTCAGGGGGTCTCCTGTGTCTCCCTGCTACTCTCCAAACAACCCCAGATTTCAGCTGGAGTCAGCCCCCCACACCCAGGAATCACCTACAAACTCACGAGCCTCACGGTGCTCCACCCCTGTGTCTTTCATCTCTTCACCCCCAGGCCTCAGGGACTCTCCTGTGGCTCCCAGTTACTCTCCAGCCATCCCCAGGTTCCTGCGGGAGTCAGGCACATGCACCCAGGAGTCCCCCAGAGACTCACAGGTCTCGGGAGAATATGAGCGGTCCCCCAGCCCTGACTCCTCAAGATTCATGCCTGCCTCACCCAGCTTCTCCCTCTCCCCTCCCAGAAACTCAGACCCAAGGAGCAGCTCCTCACCAGGGATGTGGAAGTACTCTACATCATCCCGCAGGGCTTCACCACTCTCACATCCACCATCAACAGAATTCCACAGCTTTACGTTTCCATTTCCTAACCAAGCAGGACAGTCACTCATGTCATTGTGTTCTCCCGTGTCCTCCTCTGGAGGTTCTTCACAGTCACCTCATTCATCAATAATATACCATATGTTCTTACTGCCATCATCCAGCAGCTCACCCCCAGCCACCCATGACTCTCCTGTCTGTCCCAGCTACTCTCCAACCACGCCCACATTTCAGCGGCTGTCTGTACCCCACACCCCAGCAACACCTACAAACTCACAGACCTCAGTGAGATCCTGGCCAGATTCTCTCACGTCTTCACCCCCAGCCCTTACGGACCCTCCAGTCTGTCCCAGCTACTCTCCAACCACGCCCACATTTCAGCGCGGGTCGGTTCCGGGAACCCAGGGATCACCGCCAAGCCCACCACTTTCACTGAGTTACTCCCCAGTCTCTAGCACGTCTTTATCTCCAACCCTCAGGGACTCGCCTGTCTGTCCCAGCTACTCTCCAAACACGCCCACACTTCAGCTGGAGTCCGTTGCAGGCACCCAGAAATCACCACCAAACTCACCAATTTCACTGCGTTACTCCCCAGTCTCTCTCATGTCTTCACCATCCCTCAGGGACTCTCCCGTCTGTCCCAGCTACTCTCCAACCACGCCCACATTGCAGCTGGAGTCAGTTCCAGACACCCCGGAATCACCACCAAACTCACCTGTTTCACTCAGTTACTCCTCAGTCTCTAGCACGTCTTTATCTCCAACCCTCAGGGACTCTCCTGTGTGTCCCAGCTACTCTCCAACCACGCCCACACTTCAGCGGGAGTCAGTTCCAGGCACCCAGGAATCACCACCAAACTCACCAATTTCACTCAATTACTCTCCAGTCTCTCTCATGTCTTCACCAGCCCTCAGGGACTCTCCTGTCTGTCCCAGCTACTCTCCAACCACGCCCACATTTCAGCTGGAGTCAGTTCCAGGCAACCCGGAGTCACCACCAAACTCACCAGTTTCACTCAGTTACTCCCCGGACTCTCTCATGTCTTCACCCCCAGCCCTCAGGGACTCTCCTGTGTGTCCCAGATACTCTCCAACCATGCCCAGATTTCAGCGGGAGTCAGTTCCAGGCACCCAGGTATCACCTACAAACTCAGCAGTTTCACTGAGTTACTCCCCAGTCTCTCTCATGTCTTCACCCCCAGCCCCCTGGGACTCTCCTGTCTGTCCCAGCTACTCCCGCACCACGCCCAGATTTCAGCGGGAGTCAGCCTCCCACACTCCAGAATCACCTACGGACTCACAGACTTCACTGAGGTCCTCCCTGGTCTCTCTCAGGTCTTTGCCCTCAGCCCACAGGGACTCTTGTGTCTCTTTCAGCTACTCTCAAAACTTCTCTAGATTCCAGCTGGAGTCAGTTCCAGGCACCCACGATACAACACCGAACTCACGAATTTCACTGACTTACTCCCCAGTCTCCCTCATGTTCTCACCCCCAGCCCTCAGGGACTCTTCTGTCTCTCTCAGCTACTCTCCAACCATCTCCAGATTTCACGTGGAGTCAGCTTCCCGCACCCAGGAATCACCTACAAACTCACGGACCTTACTGCAACCCTCCCCCATTTCTTTCACCTCTTCACCCCCTGCCTTCAGGGACTCTCCTGGGTCTCCCAGCTTCTCTCCAGCCTTCCCCAGATTTCTGCCACAGTCAGCCCCAGGCACCCAGGACAACCCTAGACACTCACGGGCCACACGAGACTATCTCCCTATGACCTGTACCTATACAGGGATGGCTCCCACGCATCCCTCAGTGATCCCAAACCCATCTCCACTTACACTCAGACACTCCCAGGGCCTGACAGCTACTCCCCGTTATTGTCCTTCAGTTCGAAGCCCTGGCCAATCTACTAGCCCACATGACGCAGTTACCTGGCCATTACTCCACGGTTCCCGTGAGGGCCCCACACCCAGCCGCACAAGAGCCGCTCCTGCATTCCGTCCTCACACGCAGGCCTGTCCATCTACTTGCTACTGTCACACTCTTGCCAGCAGAAGAGGCCCCCGTCATGGCCGATATCACCACCCAGTCTATCCTCACCCCACAGCTGTGCAGCGGGACCCTCCTGCTGGCCCACGTGGCTGACAGAGCCCATGCTGGCACGACGCTCCAGCAGGTCGGCGTCCCTGCGGGACACACTACCGGTGACATGGCTAGCATCACCCTCCTTCCTGGCAGTGACACTGTTGATGTGAACCCCAGTTTCACATCTGTCATTTGGAAATAGGACCATTTTCCCTTTTCGCTCTCCCTTCCATTCACTGGGCTTTTCATTCTCTCTGTTTCTGCCTCCGTTTCAGATATTCACTCACCTTTTTCTCTCTCACTATGTCTGCCGTGGTCTCCATGAGAGTGCGCCACATAAGATTCCCCCATTAAAAGTCATGAATTGAGTGGCTTTTAGTACACCTGTGGTTGTGCACATTCAATTTTAATTCGCAATCCATTGTAGAATGTCTTATCACCCCCGACCAGAGAAAAACCCTGTAGACATTAGTCACTCCTCATTCTGTCTCAAACCCTCTCCCTGACCCTCAGCCCTAGGTAGCAACTACCTAGTGCGATCAACCACATATGCAGAGATTTCCATATTGTGGACATTTCCTTTAAACGGAATTGCACAATAGGTGAGCTGTTATGACTGATATAACACGTAGCACAATATTTTCAAGATTCCTCCACATTGTAGGCTTACCCACATGGGGAAACCATATTTTTGGGGGGTTTTAGTAACACCGGGTGTTTTCTCCTTCCTTTCGTCCTTCTTTCCTTCCTTCCTTCCTTCTTTCCTTCCTTCCTTCCTTCCTACCTTCCTTCTTTCCTTCCTTCCTTCCTTCCTCCTATTTCTCTCTTACTCCTTCTGCCCTCTCACTTTCACATGCCTTAGGTGCATCCCACATTCTGCGTTTTCTTGGGGAAATCCTCGACAGGTGCAGGAAAATTGTGTTATTGTAACTATTTACCGCTATCTCTCTTTCACGGCTCTCCATCAGTTGTGAACATCTATTGGTTTATCGCAAGTCACTAAGCATATTTTTATTAGGTACACCTGTTTTTCCTTATACAGCTGTTTCTGGAGTATAGGGTCGCATACTCATAAACCCAGTGTAACTCAGAAACGCATCTAATATTCCAATAAACCCATCATAACGTTGAAAAATCATGAATCAAACCATCATAAGTCACGGTTTGTCCGTGGATATGGGTGTCATCAATTCCATTGTATACAGTAATGCTGTACACCATTAACAATGGCAGACTGATTGGGAGTGCATATTGATAGCATTATAAAAGTCAGTTATTAGAGGGATACTTCTTTAACCTCACTGAAGAACTGATCTAATGGCTTTAGTACAGTGCATGATTATGTGAGATGTTTTGAGACAGAGTAGTACATTTGTGAATGAAATTTTATGGCTTTTTTTCACTTAGTAGGAACCATTGTGTGTGGAAAAGTGAGAAAATTGCTTTCTGCTGTAGAGTCTGGCATTCATTGTAGATTTAAGATTATTTTTCTGTGAGCAAATCTTATTCAATAAAATGCTACTCTTTATACTAAAAAACAAAAACAGTGGTGATGTGTGGTCATTATCCTCAGCAAACTAATCCAGGGAAAGAAAACCAAACGCCACATTCTCACTTATAATGGGAGCTGAAAAATGAGATCACATGGACACAGGAAGGGGAACAACACACACTGGGGCCTTTCGGGAGGCAGAGCGTTAAGAAAAACAGCTACTGCATGCTGGGCTTAATACCTAGGTGATGGGTTGACAGGTGCAGTAAACCACCATGGCACACGTTTACCTTAGTAACAAATCTGCCCATCCTGCACATATACCCCACAACTTAGAATCGAAACGAAACAAAAGAAAACGAAAAAGCAGTAGCAAAACGCTAAAGGCAAAATAAAGTTTCAAACTCAGAAAGTGACAGACCAATGTTTGGTTCAAATCATGGTTCTCAACCCAGGTGCCATAAGGTCAGGATAAGGAATTTGATTACATATTGTAAATAAGACATGCAGCAAATGACCAGAAAGATTATTCTCAACATATGTGTGTCTTCTAATTCAATGGTGACGCTATCTACCGGGACATAGCATTGGATTCCAAAGGGCCAAGTCCCGCCAGGCAGGCCTCCCACACTAGTAACAACGGGAAGCCCTACGTTGTTTTACCTGTGCTTCTCAGCAACTGGCTATAAATCAGGTTGCCACCACTCCCAGATTTAGTTGCATTCATTTGCTGGAAGAGCTCACGGCACTCGGGGAAAGACTTACATTTGCCGTTGTAATTTAGCGGACATTGCAAAAAGTTCAGAAATAAATGTGGGGCCCGGCATGTGGGGAGGGGCGCACTACCTTCCAGGAAGTGTTATCCAGAAGCTCTCTGATCCCAGTCCTTTTGGGTTTTTATGGAGACCTCATTCTATAGGCATGATGGGTTAAACCATAGGCTATTGGTGATCAACTCCACCTGAGGCTCTCAACCCTCCCTGGAAATTGGGGTTGAGGCTTTGCCATTCTCAGTCTGAATAAAAGAATTTACCCAAACGGAATTTTAAAACAGATGAGCACAACTGGAATCTTAATTAGATGATTGGATTATCTGGAGCCATACCTTGATATTCCGAACCCGAGCACCCTCATCCAACGAATGCTCCACCCAACTGGCTCCCAAGTCTCCACCTGCTTCCAGAGCAAAAGAATGTTTATACAACGCATATCTCCACCTTTTCTTCAAAGTCTTTTCGCTTACACGGAAAGACTTCTTAAACTGCCATGCATCAGGGTCAGGGGGAGATCTTGTTACAACACAGATCTGTGGATCTCCGGGGTTTGATTGTGGCAAGGATGCTGCTGGCGTCAAAACCACAACGTGGGAACCACAGAACCACTAGTTGGTTTTCAGTGTTTCAGTGCATACAATTCCTAATATATCTGGCCAAGAAAACTTGGAAGTTCTTAGATTGTTCCAAAGGTAGCGCATGAAATCAAAGTAGGAGAACAGTTTCCTACGAGGTGTAGCCTGGGAAAGTTGGGGGTGACTGACGGAAAGGAGGAGTGAAGCTCCGCCCTTTCCGCTGCTAGGTTGCGCCCGAGGCTATTTAAACCCACGCTGGCTGGCCTGTACTCAGATCTTCGCGGAGCGGATCAGCGGCCGGAGCGTTTGGCGGACTCTGCGTGGACTTGGAGCTCACGGCGTCTTGCGACTTGGAGGCGGATTCAGAGGACAGGACAGAACACTTGGGCAAGTGAATCTCTGTCTGTCTGTCTGTCTGTGTGACTGTCTCATTGGTTGGTTGATTTCCATTTTCTTAAGGGGCATATACCTCACACCGCACACACACAGACACACACACACGCACACACACGCACACACTCACACACACGCACACACACTCCTTCCATCTGCGAGTTAGAAAATTAGTAGGGGCCCCTGGGAGCTGCAGGTTTCCTAATCATGTCTGCACCTAAGAACAGTAGGGTCTTGTCTGGCTCTTCTTATGAACGGTCCCCCAGCCCGGACTCCCCAAGGTCCATGCGAGCCTCACCCAGCTTCTCCTTCTCCCCTCTCAGAAACTCAGGCTTAATGGGAAGCTCCTCACCAGGGATCCGGAGCTACCATTCACCATCCCCTAGGGCTTCACCACACTCACCTCTGTCATCACCAGAATCCCACAAGCTCCCATTTCCCTGTCCTCACCATGATGGGCAATCAATGAAGCCATCGGGCTCTCCTCTGTCCTCCTCTGAGGATTCCTCAGAGTCCCCAGGTTCATCAATAATATACCACATGTTCTTACTGCCATCACCCAGCAGCTCACCCCCAGCTCTCGGGGGGTCTCCTGTGTCTCCCAGCTACTCTCCAAACAACCCCAGATTTCAGCTGGAGTCAGCCCCCCACACCCGGGAATCACCTACAAACTCACGAGCCTCACGGTGCTCCACCCTTGTGTCTTTCATCTCTTCACCCCCAGGCCTCAGGGACTCTCCTGTGGCTCCCAGTTACTCTCCAGCCATCCCCAGGTTCCTGCGGGAGTCAGCCCCATGCACCCAGGAGTCGCCCAGAGACTCACACGTCTCGGGAGAATATGAGCGGTCCCCCAGCCCTGACTCCTCAAGATTCATGCCTGCCTCACCCAGCTTCTCCCTCTCCCCTCCCAGAAACTCAGACCGAAGGGGCAGCTCCTCACCAGGGATGTGGAAGAACTCTACATCATCCCGCAGGGCTTCACCAGTCTCACATCCATCATCAACAGAATTCCACAGCTTTACGTTTCCCTTTCCTAACCAAGCAGGACAGTCACTCATGTCATTGTGTTCTCCCATGTCCTCCTCTGGAGATTCTTCACAGTCACCTCATTCATCAATAATATACCATATGTTCTTACTGCCATCATCCAGCAGCTCACCCCCAGCCACCCATGACTCTCCTGTCTGTCCCAGCTACTCTCCAACCACGCCCACATTTCAGCGGCTGTCTGTACCCCACACCCCAGCAACACCTACAAACTCACAGACCTCAGTGAGATCCTGGCCAGATTCTCTCACGTCTTCACCCCCAGCCCTTACGGACCCTCCAGTCTGTCCCAGCTACTCTCCAACCACGCCCACATTTCAGCGCGGGTCGGTTCCGGGAACCCAGGGATCACCGCCAAGCCCACCACTTTCACTGAGTTACTCCCCAGTCTCTAGCACGTCTTTATCTCCAACCCTCAGGGACTCGCCTGTCTGTCCCAGCTACTCTCCAAACACGCCCACACTTCAGCCGGAGTCCGTTGCAGGCACCCAGAAATCACCACCAAACTCACCAATTTCACTGCGTTACTCCCCAGTCTCTCTCATGTCTTCACCATCCCTCAGGGACTCTCCCGTCTGTCCCAGCTACTCTCCAACCACGCCCACATTGCAGCTGGAGTCAGTTCCAGGCACCCCGGAATCACCACCAAACTCACCTGTTTCACTCAGTTACTCCTCAGTCTCTAGCACGTCTTTATCTCCAACCCTCAGGGACTCTCCTGTGTGTCCCAGCTACTCTCCAACCACGCCCACACTTCAGCGGGAGTCAGTTCCAGGCACCCAGGAATCACCACCAAACTCACCAATTTCACTCAATTACTCTCCAGTCTCTCTCATGTCTTCACCAGCCCTCAGGGACTCTCCTGTGTGTCCCAGATACTCTCCAACCATGCCCAGATTTCAGCGGGAGTCAGTTCCAGGCACCCAGGTATCACCTACAAACTCAGCAGTTTCACTGAGTTACTCCCCAGTCTCTCTCATGTGTTCACCCCCAGCCCCCTGGGACTCTCCTGTCTGTCCCAGCTACTCCCCCACCACGCCCAGATTTCAGCGGGAGTCAGCCTCCCACACTCCAGAATCACCTACGGACTCACAGACTTCACTGAGGTCCTCCCTGGTCTCTCTCAGGTCTTTGCCCTCAGCCCACAGGGACTCTTGTGTCTCTTTCAGCTACTCTCAAAACTTCTCTAGATTCCAGCTGGAGTCAGTTCCAGGCACCCACGATACACCACCGAACTCACGAATTTCACTGACTTACTCCCCAGTCTCCCTCATGTTCTCACCCCCAGCCCTCAGGGACTCTTCTGTCTCTCTCAGCTACTCTCCAACCATCTCCAGATTTCACGTGGAGTCAGCTTCACGCACCCAGGAATCACCTACAAACTCACGGACCTTACTGCAACCCTCTCCCATTTCTTTCACCTCTTCACCCCCTGCCTTCAGGGACTCTCCTGGGTCTCCCAGCTTCTCTCCAGCCTTCCCCAGATTTCTGCCACAGTCAGCCCCAGGCACCCAGGACAACCCTAGACACTCACGGGCCACACGAGACTATCTCCCTATGACCTGTACCTATACAGGGATGGCTCCCACGCATCCCTCAGTGACCCCAAACCCATCTCCACTTACACTCAGACACTCCCAGGGCCTGACAGCTACTCCCTGTTATTGTCCTTCAGTTCGAAGCCCTGGCCAATCTACTAGCCCACATGACGCAGTTACCTGGCCATTACTCCACGGTTCCCATGAGGGCCCCACACCCAGCCTCACAAGAGACCCTCCTGCATTCCGTCCTCACACGCAGGCCTGTCCATCTACTTGCTACTGTCACACTCTTGCCAGCAGAAGAGGCCCCTGTCATGGCCGATATCACCACCCAGTCTATCCTCACCCCACAGCTGTGCAGCGGGACCCTCCTGCTGGCCCACGTGGCTGCCAGAGCCCATGCTGGCAAGACGCTCCAGCAGGTCGGCGTCCCTGCGGGACACACTGCCGGTGACATGGCTAGCATCACCCTCCTTCCTGGCAGTGACACTGTTGATGTGAACCCCAGTTTCACATCTGTCATTTGTAAATAGGACCATTTCCCCTTTTCGCTCTCCCTTCCATTCACAGGGCTTTTCATTCTCTCTGTTTCTGCCTCCGTTTCAGATATTTACTCACCTTTTTCTCTCTCACTATGTCTGCCGTGGTCTCCATGAGAGTGCGCCACATAAGATTCCCCCATTAAAAGTCATGAATTGAGTGGCTTTTAGTATACCTGTGGTTGTGCACATTCAATTTTAATTCGCAATCCATTGTAGAACGTCTTATCACCCCCGACCAGAGAAAAACCTGTAGACATTAGTCACTCCTCATTCTGTCTCAAACCCTCTCCCTGACCCTCAGCCCTAGGTAGCAACTACCTAGTGCGACCAACCCCATATGTATAGATTTCCACATTGTGGACATTTCCTATAAACAGAATTGCACAATAGGTGAGCTGTTATGACTGACATAACACGTAGCACAATATTTTCAAGATTCATCCACATTGTAGGCTTACACACAGGGGGAAACCATATTTTGGGGGGGGTTTGGTAACACCGGGTGTTTTATCCTTCCTTTCGTCCTTCTTTCCTTCCTTCCTTCCTTCCTTCCTTCCTTCCTTCCTTCCTTCCTACCTTCCTTCTTTCCTTCCTTCCTTCCTTCCTCCTATTTCTCTCTTACTCCTTCTGCCCTCTCTCTTTCATATGCCTTAGGTGCATCACACATTCTGCGTTTTTTTGGGGAAATCCTCGACAGGTGCAGGAAAATTGTGTTATTGTAACTATTTACCGCTATCTCTCTTTCACGGCTCTCCATCAGTTGTGAACATCTATTGGTTTATCCCAAGTCACTAAGCATATTTTTATTAGGTACACCTGTTTTTCCTTATACAGCTGTTTCTGGAGTATAGGGTCGCATACTCATAAACCCAGTGTAACTCAGAACCGCATCTCATATTCCAATAAACCCATCATAACGTTGAAAAATCATGAATCAAACCATCATAAGTCACGGTTTGTCCGTGGATATGGGTGTCATCAATTCCATTGTATACAGTAATGCTGTACACCATTAACAATGGCATACTGATTGGGAGTGGATATTGATAGCATTATAAAATTCAGTTATTAGAGGGATACTTCTTTAACCTCACTGAAGAACTGATCTAATGGCTTTAGTGCAGTGCATGATTATGTGAGATGTTTTGAGACAGATTAGTACATTTGTGAATGACATTTTATGGCTTTTTTTCACTTAGTAGGAACCATTGTGTGTGGAAAAGTGAGAAAATTGCTTTCTGCTGTAGAGTCTGGCATTCATTGTAGATTTAAGCTTATTTTTCTGTGAGCAAATCTTATTCAATAAAATGCTACTCTTTATACTAAAAAACAAAAACAGTGGTGACGTGTGGTCATTATCCTCAGCAAACTAATCCAGGGAAAGAAAACCAAACGCCACATTCTCACTTATAATGGGAGCTGAAGAATGAGATCACATGGACACAGGAAGAAGAACAACACACACTGGGGCCTTTCGGGAGGCGGAGCCTTAAGGAAAACAGCTACTGCATGCTTGGCTTAATACCTAGGTGATGGGTTGACAGGTGCAGCAAACCACCATGGCACACGTTTACCTTAGTAACAAATCTGTCCATCCTGCACATATACCCCAGAACTTAGAAACGAAACGAAACAAAAGAAAACGAAAAAGCAATAGCAAAACGCTAAAGGCAAAATAAAGTTTCAAACTCAGAAAGTGACAGACCAATGTTTGGTTCAAATCATGGTTCTCAACCCAGGTGCCATAAGGTCAGGATAAACAATTTGATTACATATTGTAAATAAGACATGCAGCAAATGACCAGAAAGATTATTCTCAACATATGTGTGTCTTCTAATTCAATGGTGACGCTATCTACCGGGACATAGCATTAGATTCCAAAGGGCCGAGTCCCGCCAGGCAGGCCTCCAACACTAATAACAACGGGAAGCCCTACGTTGTTTTACCTGCGCTTCTCAGCAACTGGCTATAAATCAGGTTGCCACCACTCTCAGATTCAGTTGCATTCATTTGCTGGAAGAGCTCACAGCACTCAGGGAAGCACTTACATTTGCCGTTGTATTTTAGCGGACATTGCAAAAAGTTCAGAAATAAATGTGGGGCCCGGCATGTGGGGAGGGGCGCACTACCTTCCAGGAAGTGTTATCCAGAACCTCTCTGAACCCAGTCCTTTTGGGTTTTTATGGAGACCTCATTCTATAGGCATGATGGGTTAAACCATAGGCTATTGGTGATCAACTCCACCTGAGGCTCTCAACCCTCCCTGGAAATTGGGGTTGAGGCTTTGCCATTCTCAGTCTGAATAAAAGAATTTACCCAAACGGAATTTTAAAACAGATGAGCACAACTGGAATCTTAATTAGATGATTGGATTATCTGGAGCCACACCTTGATATTCCGAACCCGAGCACCCTCATCCAACGAATGCTCCACCCAACTGGCTCCCAAGTCTCCACGTGGTTCCAGAGCAAAAGAATGTTTATACAACGCATATCTCCACCTTTTGTTCAAAGTCTTTTCGCTTACACGGAAAGACTTCTTAAACTGCCATGCATCAGGGTCAGGGGGAGGTCTTGTTACAACACAGATCTGTGGATCTCCGGGGTTTGATTGTGGCAAGGATGCTGCTGGCGTCAAAACCACAACGTGGGAACCACAGAACCACTAGTTGGTTTTCAGTGTTTCAGTGCATACAATTCCTAACATATCTGGCCCAGAAAACTTGGAAGTTCTTAAATTGTTCCAAAGGTGGCGCATGAAATCAATGTAGGAGAACAGTTTCCTAAGAGGTGTAGCCTGGGAAAGTTGGGGGTGACTGACGGAAAGGAGGAGTGAAGCTCCGCCCTTTCCGCTGCTAGGTTGCGCCCGAGGCTATTTAAACCCACCCTGGCTGGCCTGTACTCAGATCTTCGTGGAGCGGATCAGCGGCCGGAGCCTTTGGCGGACTCTGCGTGGACTTGGAGCTCACGGCGTCTTGCGACTTGGAGGCGGATTCAGAGGACAGGACAGAACACTTGGGCAAGTGAATCTCTGTCTGTCTGTCTGTCTGTCTGTCTGTGTCTCTGTCCCAATGGTTGGTTGATTTCCATTTTCTTAAGGGGCACATACCTCACACCGCACACACACAGACACACACACACGCACACACACGCACACACTCACACACACGCACACACACTCCTTCCTTCTGCGAGTTAGAAAATTAGTAGGGGCCCCTGGGAGCTGCAGGTTTCCTAATCATGTCTGCTCCTAAGAACAGTAGGGTCTTGTCTGGCTCTTCTTATGAACGGTCCCCCAGCCTGGACTCCCCAAGGTCCATGCGAGCCTCTCCCAGCTTCTCCCTCTCCACTCTCAGAATCTCAGGCTTAATGGGAAGCTCCTCACCAGGGATCCGGAGTTACCATTCACCATCCCCTAGGGCTTCACCACACTCACCTCTGTCATCATCAGAATCCCACAAGCTCCCATTTCCCTGTCCTCACCGTGATGGGCAATCAATGAAGCCATCGGGCTCTCCTGTGTCCTCCTCTGAGGATTCCTCAGAGTCCCCACGTTCATCAATAATATACCACATGTTCTTACTGCCATCACCCAGCAGCTCACCCCCAGTTCTCGGGGGGTCTCCTGTGTCTCCCAGCTACTCTCCAAACAACCCCAGATTTCAGCTGGAGTCAGCCCCCCACACCCAGGAATCACCTACAAACTCACGAGCCTCACGGTGCTCCACCCCTGTGTCTTTCATCTCTTCACCCCCAGGCCTCAGGGACTCTCCTGTGGCTCCCAGTTACTCTCCAGCCATCCCCCGGTTCCTGCGGGAGTCAGCCCCATGCACTCAGGAGTCCCCCAGAGACTCACAGGTCTCGGGAGAATATGAGCGGTCCCCCAGCCCTGACTCCTCAAGATTCTTGCCTGCCTCACCCAGCTTCTCCCTCTCCCCTCCCAGAAACTCAGACCCAAGGAGCAGCTCCTCACCAGGGATGTGGAAGTACTCTACATCATCCCGCAGGGCTTCACCACTCTCACATCCATCATCAACAGAATTCCACAGCTTTACGTTTCCCTTTCCTAACCAAGCAGGACAGTCACTCATGCCATTGTGTTCTCCCGTGTCCTCCTCTGGAGATTCTTCACAGTCACCTCATTCATCAATAATATACCATATGTTCTTACTGCCATCATCCAGCAGCTCACCCCCAGCCACCCATGACTCTCCTGTCTGTCCCAGCTACTCTCCAACCACGCCCACATTTCAGCGGGAGTCTGTACCCCACACCCCAGAAACACCTACAAACTCACAGACCTCAGTGAGATCCTGGCCAGTCTCTCTCACGTCTTCACCCCCAGCCCTTACGGACCCTCCAGTCTGTCCCAGCTACTCTCCAACCACGCCCACATTTCAGCGCGGGTCAGTTCCAGGAACCCAGGGATCACCGCCAAGCCCACCACTTTCACTGAGTTACTCCCCAGTCTCTAGCACGTCTTTATCTCCAACCCTCAGGGACTCGCCTGTCTGTCCCAGCTACTCTCCAAACACGCCCACACTTCAGTGGGAGTCCGTTGCAGGCACCCAGAAATCACCACCAAACTCACCAATTTCACTGCGTTACTCCCCAGTCTCTCTCATGTCTTCACCATCCCTCAGGGACTCTCCCATCTGTCCCAGCTACTCTCCAACCACGCCCACATTGCAGCTGGAGTCAGTTCCAGGCACCCCGGAATCACCACCAAACTCACCAATTTCACTCAGTTACACCTCAGTCTCTAGCACGTCTTTATCTTCAACCCTCAGGGACTCTCCTGTGTGTCCCAGCTACTCTCCAACCATGCCCAGATTTCGGCGGGCGTCAGTCCCAGGCACCCATGTATCACCTACAAACTCAACAGTTTCACTGAGTTACTCCCCAGTCTCTCTCATGTCTTCACCCCCAGCCCCCTGGGACTCTCCTGTCTGTCCCAGCTACTCCCCCACCACGCCCAGATTTCAGCGGGAGTCAGCCTCCCACACTCCAGAATCACCTACGGACTCACAGACTTCACTGAAGTCCTCCCTGGTCTCTCTCAGGTCTTTGCCCTCAGCCCACAGGGACTCTCGTGTCTCTTTCAGCTACTCTCAAAACTTCTCTAGATTCCAGCTGGAGTCAGTTCCAGGCACCCACGATACACCACCGAACTCACGAATTTCACTGACTTACACCCCAGTCTCCCTCATGTTCTCACCCCCAGCCCTCAGGGACTCTTCTGTCTCTCTCAGCTACTCTCCAAACATCTCCAGATTTCACCTGGAGTCAGCTTCCCGCACCCAGGAATCACCTACAAACTCACGGACCTTACTGCAACCCTCCACCATTTCTTTCACCTCTTCACCCCCTGCCTTCAGGGACTCTCCTGGGTCTCCCAGCTTCTCTCCAGCCTTCCCCAGATTTCTGCCACAGTCAGCCCCAGGCACCCAGGATAACCCTAGAAACTCACAGGCCACACGAGACTATCTCCCTATGACCTGTACCTATACAGGGATGGCTCCCACGCATCCCTCAGTGACCCCAAACCCATCTCCACTTACACTCAGACACTCCGAGGGCCTGACAGCTACTCCCCGTTATTGTCCTTCAGTACGAAGCCCTGGCCAGTCTAGTAGCCCACATGACGCAGTTACCTGGCCATTACTCCACGGTTCCCGTGAGGGCCCCACACCCAGCCGCACAAGACCCGCTCCTGCATTCCGTCCTCACACGCAGGCCTGTCCACCTACTTGCTACTGTCACACTCTTGCCAGCAGAAGAGGCCCCTGTCATTTCCGATATCACCACCCAGTCTATCCTCACCCCACAGCTGTGCAGCGGGACCCTCCTGCTGGCCCACGTGGCTGCCAGAGCCCATGCTGGCAAGACGCTCCAGCAAGTCGGCGTCCCTGCGGGACACACTACCGGTGACATGGCTAGCATCACCCTCCTTCCTGGCAGTGACACTGTTGATGTGAACCCCAGTTTCACATCTGTCATTTGTAAATGGACCATTTTCCCTTTTCGCTCTCCCTTCCATTCACAGGGCTTTTCATTCTCTCTGTTTCTGCCTCCGTTTCAGATATTTACTCACCTTTTTCTCTCTCACTATGTCTGCCGTGGTCTCCATGAGAGTGCGCCACATAAGATTCCCCCATTAAAAGTCATGAATTGAGTGGCTTTTAGTATACCAGTGGTTGTGCACATTCAATTTTAATTAGCAATCCGTTGTAGAACGTCTTATCACCCCCGACCAGAGAAAAACCCTGTAGGCATTAGTCACTCCTCATTCTGTCTCAAACCCTCTCCCTGACCCTCAGCCCTAGGTAGCAACTACCTAGTGCGATCAACCCCATATGCATAGATTTCCATATTGTGGACATGTCCTATAAACAGAATTGCACAATAGGTGAGCTGTTATGACTGACATAACACGTAGCACAATATTTTCAAGATTCATCCACATTGTAGGCTTACCCACAGGGGAAAACCATATTTTTGGGGGGTTTTAGTAACACCGGGTGTTTTATCCTTCCTTTCGTCCTTCTTTCCTTCCTTCCTTCCTTCCTTCCTTCCTTCCTTCCTTCCTACCTTCCTTCTTTCCTTCC
The DNA here is from genome assembly GCF_000001405.40 of Homo sapiens. NCBI lineage: Eukaryota > Metazoa > Chordata > Mammalia > Primates > Hominidae > Homo > Homo sapiens. The sequence continues at coordinate 209,600 of NW_021159991.1, read as the reverse complement.
TTCCTTCCTTCCTCCTATTACTCTCTTACTCCTTCTGCCCTCTCTCTTTCATATGCCTTAGGTGCATCACACATTCTGCGTTTTTTTGGGGAAATCCTCGACAGGTGCAGGAAAATTGTGTTATTGTAACTATTTACCGCTATCTCTCTTTCACGGCTCTCCATCAGTTGTGAACATCTATTGGTTTATCCCAAGTCACTAAGCATATTTTTATTAGGTACACCTGTTTTTCCTTATACAGCTGTTTCTGGAGTATAGGGTCGCATACTCATAAACCCAGTGTAACTCAGAACCGCATCTCATATTACAATAAACCCATCATAACGTTGAAAAATCATGAATCAAACCATCATAAGTCACGGTTTGTCCGTGGATATGGGTGTCATCAATTCCATTGTATACAGTAATGCTGTACACCATTAACAATGGCATACTGATTGGGAGTGGATATTGATAGCATTATAAAAGTCAGTTATTAGAGGGATACTTCTTTAACCTCACTGAAGAACTGATCTAATGGCTTTAGTGCAGTGCATGATTATGTGAGATGTTTTGAGACAGATTAGTACATTTGTGAATGAAATTTTATGGCTTTTTTTCACTTAGTAGGAACCATTGTGTGTGGAAAAGTGAGAAAATTGCTTTCTGCTGTAGAGTCTGGCATTCATTGTAGATTTAAGCCTATTTTTCTGTGAGCAAATCTTATTCAATAAAATGCTACTCTATACTAAAAAACAAAAACAGAGGTGACGTGTGGTCATTATCCTCAGCAAACTAATCCAGGGAAAGAAAACCAAACGCCACATTCTCACTTATAATGGGAGCTGAAGAATGAGATCACATGGACACAGGAAGGGGAACAACACACACTGGGGCCTTTCGGGAGGCGGAGCCTTAAGGAAAACAGCTACTGCATGCTTGGCTTAATACCTAGGTGATGGGTTGACAGGTGCAGCAAACCACCATGGCACACGTTTACCTTAGTAACAAATCTGCCCATCCTGCACATACACCCCAGAACTTAGAAACGAAACGAAACAAAAGAAAACGAAAAAGCAATAGCAAAACGCTAAAGGCAAAATAAAGTTTCAAACTCAGAAAGTGACAGACCAATGTTTGGTTCAAATCATGGTTCTCAACCCAGGTGCCATAAGGTCAGGATAAAGAATTTGATTACATATTGTAAATAAGACATGCAGCAAATGACCAGAAAGATTATTCTCAACATATGTGTGTCTTCTAATTCAATGGTGACGCTATCTACCGGGACATAGCATTAGATTCCAAAGGGCCGAGTCCCGCCAGGCAGGCCTCCCACACTAATAACAACGGGAAGCCCTACGTTGTTTTACCTGTGCTTCTCAGCAACTGGCTATAAATCAGGTTGCCACCACTCCCAGATTTAGTTGCATTCATTTGCTGGAAGAGCTCACGGCACTCAGGGAAACACTTACATTTGCCGTTGTATTTTAGCGGACATTGCAAAAAGTTCAGAAATAAATGTGGGGCCCGGCATGTGGGGAGGGGCGCACTACCTTCCAGGAAGTGTTATCCAGAACCTCTCTGAACCCAGTCCTTTTGGGTTTTTATGGAGACCTAATTCTATAGGCATGATGGGTTAAACCATAGGCTATTGGTGATCAACTCCACCTGAGGCTCTCAACCCTCCCTGGAAATTGGGGTTGAGGCTTTGCCATTCTCAGTCTGAATAAAAGAATTTACCCAAACGGAATTTTAAAACAGATGAGCACAACTGGAATCTTAATTAGATGATTGGATTATCTGGAGCCACACCTTGATATTCCGAACCCAAGCACCTTCATCCAACGAATGCTCCACCCAACTGGCTCCCAAGTCTCCACGTGGTTCCAGAGCAAAAGAATGTTTATACAACGCATATCTCCACCTTTTCTTCAAAGTCTTTTCGCTTACACGGAAAGACTTCTTAAACTGCCATGCATCAGGGTCAGGGGGAGGTCTTGTTACAACACAGATCTGTGGATCTCCGGGGTTTGATTGTGGCAAGGATGCTGCTGGTGTCAAAAACACAACGTGGAGAACCACAGAACCACTAGTTGGTTTACAGTGTTTCAGTGCATACAATTCCTAATATATCTGGCCAAGAAAACTTGGAAGTTCTTAGATTGTCCCAAAGGTGGCGCATGAAATCAAAGCAGGAGAACAGTTTCCTACGCCTGGGAAAGTTGGGGGTGACTGACGGAAAGGAGGAGTGAAGCTCCACCCTTTCTGCTGCTAGGCTGCGCAGGAGGCTATTTAAACCCACCCTGGCTGGCCTGTACTCAGATCTTCGCGGAGGGGATCGGCGGCCGGAGCCTTTGGCGGACTCTGCGTCGACTTGGAGCTCACGGCGTCTTGCGACTTGGAAGCGGATTCCGAGGACAGGACAGAACACTTGGGCAAGTGAATCTCTGTCTGTCTGTCTGTCTGTCTGTCTGTCTGTCTGTCTGTTTGTGTGTCTGTCCCATTGGTTGGTTGATTTCCATTTTCTTAAGGGGCACATACCTCACACCGCACACACACAGACACACACACACGCACACACACGCACACGCTCACACACACGCACACACACTCCTTCCTTCTGCGAGTTAGAAAATTAGTAGGGGCCCCTGGGAGCTGCAGGTTTCCTAATCATGTCTGCTCCTAAGAACAGTAGGGTCTTGTCTGGCTCTTCTTATGAACGGTCCCACAGCCCGGACTCCCCAAGGTCCATGCGAGCCTCACCCAGCTTCTCCCTCTCCCATCTCAGAAACTCAGGCTTAAGGGGAAGCTCCTCACCAGGGATCCGGAGCTACCATTCACCATCCCCTAGGGCTTCACCACACTCACCTCTGTCATCACCAGAATCCCACAAGCTCCCATTTCCCTGTCCTGACCGTGATGGGCAATCAATGAAGTCATCGGGCTCTCCTCTGTCCTCCTCTGAGGATTCCTCAGAGTCCCCAGGTTCATCAATAATATACCACATGTTCTTACTGCCATCACCCAGCAGCTCACCCCCAGCTCTCGGGGGGTCTCCTGTGTCTCCCAGCTACTCTCCAAACAACCCCAGATTTCAGCTGGAGTCAGCCCCCCACACCCAGGAATCACCTACAAACTCACGAGCCTCACGGTGCTCCACCCCTGTGTCTTTCATCTCTTCACCCCCAGGCCTCAGGGACTCTCCCGTGGCTCCCAGTTACTATCCAGCCATCCCCAGGTTCCTGCGGGATTCAGTCGCATGCACCCAGGAGTCCCCCAGAGACTCACAGGTCTCGGGAGAATATGAGCGGTCCCCCAGCCCTGACTCCTCAAGATTCATGCCTGCCTCACCCAGCTTCTCCCTCTCCCCTCCCAGAAACTCAGACCCAAGGGGCAGCTCCTCACCAGGGATGTGGAAGTACTCTACATCATCCCGCAGGGCTTCACCACTCTCACATCCATCATCAACAGAATTCCACAGCTTTACGTTTCCATTTCCTAACCAAGCAGGACAGTCACTCATGTCATTGTGTTCTCCCGTGTCCTCCTCTGGAGATTCTTCACAGTCACCTCATTCATCAATAATATACCATATGTTCTTACTGCCATCATCCAGCAGCTCACCCCCAGCCACCCATGACTCTCCTGTCTGTCCCAGCTACTCTCCAACCACGCCCACATTTCAGCGGGAGTCTGTACCCCACACCCCAGAAACACCTACAAACTCACAGACCTCAGTGAGATCCTGGCCAGTCTCTCTCACGTCTTCACCCCCAGCCCTTACGGACCCTCCAGTCTGTCCCAGCTACTCTCCAACCACGCCCACATTTCAGCGCGGGTCAGTTCCAGGAACCCAGGGATCACCGCCAAGCCCACCACTTTCACTGAGTTACTCCCCAGTCTCTAGCACGTCTTTATCTCCAACCCTCAGGGACTCGCCTGTCTGTCCCAGCTACTCTCCAAACACGCCCACACTTCAGTGGGAGTCCGTTGCAGGCACCCAGAAATCACCACCAAACTCACCAATTTCACTGCGTTACTCCCCAGTCTCTCTCATGTCTTCACCATCCCTCAGGGACTCTCCCATCTGTCCCAGCTACTCTCCAACCACGCCCACATTGCAGCTGGAGTCAGTTCCAGACACCCCGGAGTCACCACCAAACTCACCAGTTTCACTCAGTTACTCCCCGGTCTCTCTCATGTCTTCACCCCCAGCCCTCAGGGACTCTCCGGTGGGTCCCAGCTACTCTCCAACCATGCCCAGATTTCAGCGGGAGTCAGTTCCAGGCACCCAGGTATCACCTACAAACTCAGCAGTTTCACTGAGTTACTCTCCAGTCTCTCTCATGTCTTCACCCCCAGCCCCCTGGGACTCTCCTGTCTGTCCCAGCTACTCTCCCACCACGCCCAGATTTCAGCGGGAGTCAGCCTCCCACACTCCAGAATCACCTACGGACTCACAGACTTCACTGAGGTCCTCCCTGGTCTCTCTCAGGTCTTTGCCCTCAGCCCACAGGGACTCTCGTGTCTCTTTCAGCTACTCTCAAAACTTCTCTAGATTCCAGCTGGAGTCAGTTCCAGGCACCCACGATACACCACCGAACTCACGAATTTCACTGACTTACTCCCCAGTCTCCCTCATGTTCTCACCCCCAGCCCTCAGGGACTCTTCTGTCTCTCTCAGCTACTCTCCAACCATCTCCAGATATCACCTGGAGTCAGCTTCCTGCACCCAGGAATCACCTACAAACTCACGGACCTTACTGCAACCCTCCACCATTTCTTTCACCTCTTCACCCCCTGCCTTCAGGGACTCTCCTGGGTCTCCCAGCTTCTCTCCAGCCTTCCCCAGATTTCTGCCACAGTCAGCCCCAGGCACCCAGGACAACCCTAGACACTCACAGGCCTCACGAGAGTATCTCCCTATGACCTGTACCTATACAGGGATGGCTCCCACGCATCCCTCAGTGACACAAAACCCATCTCCACTTACACTCAGACACTCCCAGGGCCTGACAGCTACTCCCCGTTATTGTCCTTCAGTTCGAAGTCCTGGCCAATCTACTAGCCCACATGACGCAGTTACCTGGCCATTACTCCACGGTTCCCGTGAGGGCCCCACACCCAGCCTCACAAGAGCCCCTCCTGCATTCCGTCCTCACACGCAGGCCTGTCCATCTACTTGCTACTGGCACACTCTTGCCAGCAGAAGAGGCCCCTGTCATGGCCGATATCACCACCCAGTCTATCCTCACCCCACAGCTGTGCAGCGGGACCCTCCTGCTGGCCCACGTGGCTGCCAGAGCCCATGCTGGCAAGACGCTCCAGCAGGTCGGCGTCCCTGTGGGACACACTGCCCGTGACATGGCTAGCATCACCCTCCTTCCTGGCATTGACACTGTTGATGTGAACCCCAGTTTCACATCTGTCATTTGTAAATAGGACCATTTTCCCTTTTCGCTCTCCCTTCCATTCACAGGGCTTTTCATTCTCTCTGTTTCTGCCTCCGTTTCAGATATTTACTCACCTTTTTCTCTCTCACTATGTCTGCCGTGGTCTCCATGAGAGTGCGCCACATAAGATTCCCCCATTAAAAGTCATGAATTGAGTGGCTTTTAGTATACCTGTGGTTGTGCACATTCAATTTTAATTCGCAATCCATTGTAGAACGTCTTATCACCCCCGACCAGAGAAAAACTCTGTAGACATTAGTCACTCCTCATTCTGTTTCAATCCCTCAGGGCCTGATGGGAAGGCACTTTCGTCTGTGGGGGACCCATTCCCTGCTTCTCCTTTGCGCGGTTTTTTTTTTTTTTGCTACGATAGATGCCTTTCCTCTCCTTCCTCAAATCTCACCTTCCCCTCATGTGGCTTCTGTCTGCCTTGGGGTACACCTAGCGGCCCGAGGTGCACTGTGGGATCGAACCAGGGACTCCAGGGTCCCTGAGGCCCAGCACGAGGCCTGATGGGAAGATACTTTCGTCCGTTTGGAGGACCCAGTCCCCGCTTCTCCGCGGCTGTGTTTGTTTTTCTCTGCCCCAGGTGCCTCACCTTCCCCTCTTGTGCTTTTTGCAAGCTTTGGGGTACCCCTAGCGGCCCAAGGCATACCCTGGGCTTGAACCATGGAAGCCAGGTTCCACAGGGTCAAGCGCAGTGGCTGATGATAAGACACGTTCTTCCTCGGGGACCCAGGCTCTGCTTCTCTGTGGCGTTTTTTTTTCTTTTCTTTTCCACAGGTGCCTCACTTTCCCGTCATGGGCTTTCTGCCCGCCTTGAGGTACCCCTAGCCGGCCCGAGGCGCACCCTTGTTTTGAGCCAGGGATGCTAGGGTCTCCGGGGCCCAGTGTAGGGCTTATGGGTAGGGACGTTCGTCCATGGGGAACCCAGGCCCCACTTCTGGTGGGCGCAGTTTTTTATTTTGTTCTCTGCCCCAGGTGTCTCACCTTTCCCTCATGGGCCTTCTGTCTGTCTTGGGGTACCCCTAGCGGCCTGAATCGCACCCTGGTCTCGAACCAGGAATGCCAGGGTCCCCTGTGCCCAGCGCAAGGGCTGATGGGAAGACACTTTCTTCCGTTGGGGATCCAGGCTCCGCTTCTCCGTGGTGCAGTTTTTTTTTTTCTGCCACAGGTGCCTCACCTCTCCTTCCTCAAACCTCAACTGCCCCTCATGGGATTTCTGCCCTCCTTGTGATACCCCTAGCAGGCCCGGGGCGCACCCGGGGCTCGAACTGGGGTCTCCAGCGTCCACAGGGCCCAGCGCAGGGACTGATGGGAAGGCATTTTCATCCTTGGGGTACCCAGGCCCAGCTTCTCCTAGGCGCGGCTTGTTTTCTTTTTTTTTTTCTGCCACAGTTTCCTCACCTCTCCTCCCTCAAACGTCAACTTCCCATCATGGGCTTTCTGCTCTACTTGGGGTACCCCTTCCGGCCCAAGGCTCTCCCTGGACTCGAACCATGGATGCCAGGGTCGCCGGGGCCTAGCGCAGGGGCTGATGGGAATGTACCTTCATCCGTGGGTACCCAGGCCCCGCTTCTCAAAGCTGCGGTTTTTTTTCTCCGCCCCTGGTGCCTCACCTTCCCCTCACTGGCCTTCTGCCTGCTTTGGGGTACCACGAGCAGGCCCGAGGCGCTCCCGGGTCTCCAATCAGGGTCGCCAGGTTCTCGGGGCTAGCGCAGGGGCTGATGGGAAGGCACTTTCATCAGTGGGGACCCAGGCCCGGCTTCTCCGAGGTGCTGATATATATATATATATATATATATATTTTTCTGCCACAGGTGACTCACCTCTCCTCCCTTAAATCTCGCCTTCCCCTCATGGGCTTTCTGGCTTCCTTAGGGTACCCTAGCATGCCGGAGTCTCTTCTGGTCCTTGAACTAGGGTCGCCAGAGTCCAGGGGGCCCAGCGCAGGGGCTGATGAGAAGGCACTTTCGTCCGTGGGAGACCCAGGTCCCGCTTCTCTTCCGCACGGTTTTTTTTTTTTTCTGCCGCAGGTGCCTCACCTCTCTTCCCTCAAACCTCACCTTCCCCTCATGGGCCTTCTGCCCGTTTTGGGGTACACCTAGCGGGCCCGAGGTGCACCCAGGCCTAGAACCAGGGTCGCCTGGGTCCACGTGGCCCAGCTCAGGGACTGATGGGAAGGCACTTTTTTTCCATGGGAGACCCAGGCCCCACTTTTCCGTGGCGCGGTTTCTTTTTCTTTTCTGCCACAAGTGCCTCACCTCTCCTCCCTCACAGCTCACCTTCCTCTCATGGGCTTTCCACCGTGTTGGGGTATCCCTAGTGGCCCGAGACTCTCCCTGAGCTCCAACCAGGGACTCTAGGTTCCCCGGGGCCCAGCGCAGGGGCTGATGGGAAGGCACTTTCATCCGTGGGGTACCCAGGCCCCACCTCTCCGCGGTGCGGGTTTCTTTTTTTTCTTTTTCTGTGACAGGTGCCTCACCTCTCCTCCCTCAAAACTCACCTTCCCCTCACGGGTTTTGTGTCCCCAAAGCCCCCTTGGGGTGCACTTAGCGGCCGAGGCACACCCTGAGCTCGAACGAGGGACACCAGGGTCCCTGGGTCCCAGTGCAGGGACTGATGGGAAGACACTTTCGTCTGTGGGGCTCCCAGGCCGTGTTTCTCCGTGGTGAAGTTTTTTTTTTTCTCTGCCCTAGGTGCCTCACCTTCCCCTTAGGGGCTTTCTGCCCACCTTGGGGTACCCCTACTGTCCCGAGGCGTACCCCAGGGTCAAACCAGGGACGCCAGGGTCCCCAGGGCCCAGCGAAGGGGCTGATGGGATGGCACTTTCATCCGTGGGGGACCCAGGCACTGCTTCTCGGCTGAGCATTTTTTTTTTCTCTGCCTCAGGTGCCTCACCTTCCCCTCATGGACCTTTTCTTTGCTTTGTGGTACCCCAAGCTGTCCCGAGGCGCACCCTGGGCTCGAACCAGGGTCGCCAGGGTCCACCAGGCCCAGCATAGGGCCTGATGGGAAGGCACTTTCATCCGTGGGGGACCCAGGCCCCGCTTCTCTGAGACGCGGTCCTCTTTTTTTATTTTTTCTGCCCCTGGTGCCTCACCTCTCCTCCCACAAACTTCAACTTCCACTCATGGGCCTTCTGTCCAAGTTGGGGTACCCCTAGTCGCCTGAGGCACACCCCGGGCGTGAACCAGGGATGCCAGGGTCCCTGGGGCCCAGCGCAAGGCCTGATGGGAAAAAACTTTCGTCCCTGGATGACCCAGACACTGCTTCGCGGCGCATTTTTTTTTCTTCTTTGCCCCAGGTGTCTCACCTTCCCCTCATGGGCCTTCTGCCTCTCTGCGCCTGCGCCGGCGCTGTGGGCCTCTCTGCGCCTGCCCCGGCGCTGTGGGCCTCTCTGCGCCTGCCCCGGCGCTGTGGGCCTCTCTGCGCCTTTCGCCCGCGCTGTGCGCCTTTGCGAGGGCGGAGCTGCGTTCTTCCCAGCACAGCCAAGGAGAGCATCGCCAGGGCGGAGCTGAGTTCTCCTCTGCACAGACTTCAGAGATACAGCGAAGGCGGAGCAGTGTTCTCCTCAGCACAGACCCAGGCGGGCCGGGGGCACCGCGAGGGCGGAGCTGCGTTCTGCTCAGCACAGACCCGGGGGACACCGCTAAGGCAGAGCAGCGTTCTCCTCAGCACAGACCTTTGGGGCACTGCCTCGCTTTGGGACAACTCGGGACCGCATAGACGGTGAATAAAATCCTTCCCTTTTGCAGCCCTGAATAATCAGGGCCAGAGACCAGTTAGAAGGGCTCAGTGTGGAAAAGGGAAACCAAAAGCCCCTCTGAATCCTGCCAACCGAGGTTCTCCCCAGCCAAGCCGAGGCGGCCACAGTGCGAGATCCACACCGCAGACTCGGAAGACAAATGCAGCATTCCTAATGCAGACATGACACCCAAATTATGACACTCCCATTGCTCATGTAACAAGCACCTGTAATGCTAATGCACTGCCTCAATACAAAAATATTAATATAAGATCCGCAATCCCCTTGCTGCCATGCAGTCCTAAGACAGAGATCATAATAATCAACATTGACATAGTACAAACGTAGTAACGAACCTAGGGTTAAGGTTGGTGTTAGGGTTAGGGGTTAGGGGTTAAGTTTAGGGTTAGGGGTTGGAGATAGGGGTTGGGGTCAGAGTTAAGAGTTAAGAGTCAACGTTTAGAGTTAGAGGTTAAGAGAGGTTAGGGGTTAGGGATAAGGGGTTAGGGTTGGATTAGTGTGAGGGTGAGGGTTGTGGTTAGGGGTTAGGCTTAGGGGTTACGGTTAAGGGTTAGGGTTAGGGTCAGGGGTTAGGGGTCAGGGTCAGGGGTTAGGGATCAGGGTCAGGGGTCAGGGTCAGGTTCAGGGGTCCCACTCTGAGTTGTCCATTTAGTCTGCTGACTGTTCCTTTTGCCATGCAAAAGCTGTTTAGTTTAATTAAGTCCCAGCTATTAATCTTTGTTTTTATTTCATTTGAATTTGGGTTCTTGGTCATGAAATCCTTGCGTACGTCAATGTCTAGAAGGGTTTATCCAGTGTTATCTTCTAGAATTTTTATAGTTCAGGAATTAGATTTAAGTTCTTAATCCATCTTGAGTAGATTTTTGTATAAGATGAGAGATGAGAATCCAGTTTTATTCCCCTACATGTGGCTCGCCAATTATCCCAACATCATGTGTTGAAAAGGGGGTCCTTTCCCCACTTTATGTTTTTGTTTACTTTGTCGAAGATCAGTTGGCTGTAAGTATTTGGGTTAATTTCTGGGTTCTCTCTTCTGTTCCATTGGTCTATGTTCCTATTTTTAAACCAGTACGTTGGTGTTTTGGTAACTATGGCCTTATTGTACAGTTTGAAATCAAGTAGTGTGATACCTCCAGGTTCTTTTTGCTTAGGCTTGGTTTGGTTACATGGCTCTCTTTTGGTTCCATATTAATTTTAGAATTGTTTTTGTAATTCTGTGAAGAATGATGGTGGCATTCAGATGGGGATTGCATTGAATTTGTAGATTGCCTTTAACAGAATGGTAATTTTCACAATATTGGTTCTACCCATCCATGAGCATGGGGATGCATTTCCATTTGTTTGTGTCATCTATGACTTCTTTTCTTTCTTGTTTTTTTTTTTTTTTTGTTTTTTTTTTTTTTTTTTTTTTTTTTTTTTTTTTTCAGAAGGAGTTTCGCTCTTGTCGCTGAGGTGGGAGAGCAATGGTGTGATCTCGGCTCACTACAACTTCTGCCTCCCGGGTTCAAGCGATTCTCCTGCCTCAGCTTCCCGAGTAGCTCGGATTATAGGCATGTGCCACCGTGCTTGGCTCCATCTATGATTTCTTTCAGTAGCGTTTTGTAATTTTCATTGTAGCGGTCCTTTGATTCCTTTGCTAGGTATATTCCTAAGTTTTGTTTTTTTGTTGTTGTTGTTTGTCGCAGCTATTGTAAAAGGGGTTGAGTTCTTGATGTGATTCTCTGCTTGGTAGCTGTTGATGTATGGAAGAGCTACTGATTTGTGTCCATTAATCTTGTATCTGGAAACTTTGCTGAATTCTTTTATCAGTTCTAGGAGGTTTCTAGAGGAGTCCGTAGGGTTTTCTAGGCAAAAGATTATATCATCAGCAACAAGTGACAGTTTGACTTCCTCTTTACCGATTTGGATTTCCTCTATTTCCTTCTTTTGTCTGATTGCTCTGGCTAGGATTTCCAGTACTATGTTGAAGAGGAGTGGTGAGAGTAGGCTCCTCGTCTTGTTCCAGTTCTCAAAGGGAATGCTTTCACCGTTTCCCCATTCAGTATTATGTTGGCTGTGGGTTTGTCATAGATGGCTTTTATTACATTAAGGTATGTCCCTTGTATGCCTATTTTGCTGAGAGCTTTAATCATAAAGCAATGCTAGATTTTGTCAAATGTTTTTTCTGCACCTGTTGATATAATCATATTAGATTTTTTTTAATTCTGTTTATTTGGTGTATCACACTTATTGACTTGCATATGTGAAACCACTCCTATATCATTGGTATAAAACCCACTTGATCATGGTGGATTATTTTTTGATATGTTGTCGGATTCAGTTAGATAGTATTTTGTTAAGGATTTTGGCATCTGCGTTCATCAAGGATATTGGTCTGTAGTTTTCTTTTTTGGTTATGTCCTTCCATGGTTTTGGTATTAGGGTGATGCTGGCTTCATAGAATGAATAAGGGAGGGTTTCTTCTTTCTCTGTCTTGTGGAATAGTATGAAAAGATTGGTATCATTTCTTCCTTGAATGAAAGAAGACATTCTTTGAATGTCTGGTAGAACTCTGCTGTGAATCTGTCTGGCCCTCAGCTTTTTTTGCTGGTAATTTTAAAATTACCATTTCAATCTTGCTGCTTGCTTTATTGGTCGGCTTGGGGTATCTAATTCTTCCTGATTTAAGCTAGGAGAGTTGTATTTTTCCAGGAATTTATCCAACTCTTCTAGGCTTTGTAGTTTATGTGCCAAAAGGTGTTCATAGTACCCTTGAATAATCTTTAATATTTCAGTGGTGTCAGTTGTAATATCCCCTGTTTCATTTCTTAGTGAGGTTATTTGGATTTTCTCTCTTCTTTTCTTGGTTAATCTTGCTAATGGTCTATCAATTTTATTTATCTTTTCAAATAACCAACTTTTTCTTTTATTTATGTTTTGTATTTGTTGTTGTTGTTGTTGTTGTGTCAATTTCATTTAGTTCTGCTCTGATCTTTGTTATTTCCTGTGTTTGCTGGGATTGGGTTTGGCTTGTTCCTGCTTCTCTAGTTCCCTGAGATGTGAACTTAGATTGTCTGTTTGTGCTCTTTCAGACTTTTTGATGTAGGTTTTTAGGACTACAAACTTTGCTCTTAGCAGTGCCTTTGCTGTATCCCAGAGGTCTTGATAGGTTGTGTCATCCAGTTCGAATAAATTTTTTACATTTCCATCTTGATTTCATTTTTCACCCAATGCTCATTCTGTGAGGAACAACCAAATTGTTTTCCGCAGCAAGGGCATCATTTTCTATTCCTAGCAGCCAAATCATGAGGGCTCCAACTTCTCCACCTCCTTAGCAACATTTATTTTCTGTGTCATTGTTATGAAAGCCTTACTTGTGGGTGCAGAGTGGCATGAATGTAGTCAATTAACACGTTTATTACCTCACAGAATCGTCACCTTTTTGTGTGCATGGGTGGGATAAGAAAACTTAACTCTATCCCCTGTGACGGAGTAGTGGCCATTCCAGCTGCTCCAGGCTCCAGCAGAGGAAGACCGGGGTATGTGGCCCCACCAGGGTGACCCTCAGGCCTGGCGCGCACGCATTCCAGAGGCCACCCAAACCATGCTCCGCCATCTGGGCGCCCAAGCTGCCGTCGCCCTCTGTGTGCAGGCAGCAGCTGCCTGGCAACCCCCGAGCCCGCTCGCGCTCCTAGCATCACAGAAGCAGGGCCACGTGTCCCAGTGGCTGCAGCCAAGCCAGGCATTCTGCCCTGCGGCAGCAGCTGCACAGGAGCGAGAACTGAGAACCCACCGCTCAACCCCACACGAGGTGACTGCCGAGTGCCCATACAAACGGCTCCGATCTCCCTCAGGTGGAGGAGTGGTCGGGAGGCACGGCCTGGGGGCCCTGAGGCTGGGCGCGCTGGCGATCCCAAGGCCGACCAGGCCATGCACTTCCAGCCCGCCTGGGCACCCGAGCTGCAGCCGCCTTCTGCGTGCAGGCAGCAGCCTCCAGGCAACTCCCGAGCTCGCCCACACTCCCCACATCTCGGAAGCAGGGCCAAATGTCCCTGTGGCTGTGGCCAAGCCAGGCGGTCTGTCCTGCAGCAGCTGCACAGGGGCGGGAACCGGCCCTCAGCCCCATCCCCGGTGGCTGCAGAGGGCCCCTGGATAGAGACCTGGAGCTCTGACAGAGGAGGAGCCGGGCCGGGGCAGGGTCTGGCAGGCTCTCAGGCCAGGGGCACCCGCGATCCAGAGGCGGCCCAGGGCATGCTCCACCACCTGGGCACCCAGCTACAGGCGCCGGGCGACTCCCAAGCTGGCTGGCGCGCCCAGCCTCGCAGAACTGGGGCTAGATGTCGCCGTGGCTGCGACCAAGCCAGGCGGTCTGCCCAGGGGCGGCTGCACCGGGGCAGGAACCGACCCTCAGCCCCATCCCCGGTGGCTGCAGACGGCCGCTGGGGCGGCCCCGATCTCTCTTCGGAGGAGGAGAGGGGCAGGAGTCACGGCCAGGCGGGCCCTCAGGCGGGAAGGAATGCGCGCCTGCGATTCCGGGACGTCCCGCGCCAGCCCAGGAGAACCTGCAAGCCAGCGGCGCCTGTTTCTCTGTGTGATTCTTTGAGGAACCACCAAACTCTTTTCCACAGCAAGTGCATCATTTTCTATTCCTAGCAGCCAGTTCATGAGGGCTCCAGTTTCTCCACCTCCTTAGCAACATTGATTTTCTGTGTCGTTGTTATGAAAGCCTTACTAGTGGATGCAAAGTGGCGTCTCATTTGGGTTTTGCCTTGCATTTTATTAATGAATAATGGTGTTTAGCATCTTTTCTTTTCCTTCTTAGACATTTGTGTATCTTCTTTGGAGAAATGTCTGTTCAAGTCCTTTGCCTATTTTTTTAATTGGGATCTTAGAAATTCTGTTGTTGAGTTGTGGGATATTAAGCTTTTATCAGATACACATTTTGATTTTATCAGATACATATTTTCTCACATATTATGGGTTGTCTTTTCACTCCCTTGATAGTATCCTTTGATGCATAAAGGGTTTTTTTATTTTGATTAAATCTAATTTTCGTGTATTTTCTTTTGTTATCTGTGCTTTTCTGTCATATTTCAAAATACACTTAAAACTCAAAGGTCATAAAGGTTTACCGTGTGTTTTCTTCTAAGAGTTACATATTTTTAGTCCTTACATTTAAGTCTTTTATTAATTTAGAATTAATTTTTGTATATACTGCAAGGTAGGGGTCTAACTTCTCTCTTGTGCACTGACATCCAGCTGTTGAAGAGACTGTTCTTTCCTCCCTTGACTAGACTTGGCCACCTTGTTGAACAGTCATTGACCATATATGTGAGGACTAACTTGTAGGATCTCAAATCTGTTCTATTGTATTTGTCTGAAAGTCTATTGGTCTTATTCCAGTACCACACTCTCTTGATTACTGTAGATTTGTAGTAGGCTGTGAAACTGAAAAATGTGAGTTTTCCAATGTTCTTTTTCAAGACTGTTTTGTCTGTCAGATCCTTTGAATTTTTGTATGATTTTAGAATGAGTTTCTTTGTTTCTGCAAAAATGCCTTTGGGATTTTGATGGTATTGCATTGAATCTGTAGATTACTTTAGATGGTATTGTCATCTTAACAATATTGTCTTACAACCCGTGAACACAGAATGTCTTTCCACTTATTTCCACTCTCTTTAGTTTTTTGCAGCAATGTTTTGTGTATACCACCATGGTTAGATTTATGCCTGAATAACGTATTCTTTGATGTCATTATAAATGGAATTTTTAAAATGTTTTCATAGTTCTTTACAACTATATAGAAATATAGCTCATTTGCCTATGTTTGTTTGCATCCTGCCTCTTTTATTAGTTATAATCGGTTTTGTGTTTTGTTTGGAGCTTTATACCTACAAGATCATGTGTAGATATAATTTTACACCTATTTTTTATTTCTAATTTAGATGCCTTTTATTTCTTTGTCTTGCCTAATTGCTCTGGCTAGAACTGCCAGTGCTACGTTGAATACAAGTGGCAAATGCACCATCCTTTTCTTCTAGATATTAGGAAAACAGCTCTCAGTGTTTCATCATTGATCATGATATTAACTGTTGGGTTTTTGTACATCCCATTGTCATGTTGCAGAAGATCCCTTCTATGCCTAGTTTATTGAGTATTTTTATTATAGAAGGGTGTTGTATTTCATCAATGTTTTCTCTGCATCAATTGAAATAATCACGTGCTTATTCATTTTACTGTTACAGCATATTACACTGATTGATTTTTTATATGTTGAACCACCCTTGCATTTTGGGGATAAATCTCAAAGGGTGATAGTTTACAATCCTTTGATTATACAGTATTGCTGCTAGTATTTTGCTAGTATTGCTAGTATTTTGCTGAGATTTTTGCTTATATATTCATAAGGGATATAGTGCTGTATTTCTCTCTTTTGTGCTCTCTTTGTCTTTGGTATAAGGATAATGCTGTTATCAAAAAATGAATTAGCAAGTATTCCTTCTTCATATATTTTGTCAGAAGAGTTTGAGAAGAAATGGTATTAATTCTTCTTTAAATGTTAGGTTGACTCACCAGTTAATGCAGCTATTTGGTCATAAATGTTTCTTTGTTAATCGCTTTCGATTACTAATTCAATCTCCTAGGTTATAGGTCTATTCAGATTTTCTCTTTCTTCTTGAGCCACCTTGGTAGTTTGTGTCTTTCTAGCGATTCATCCATTTCATCCAGGGCACCTAATTTGTTGCTAGACAGTTGTTCACAGTATACTCCTATAATCCTTTTGTATTTCTGTAAAGTTGGTAGTAATGGCTCTGCTTTCATTTATTATTTTAATAATTAGTCTTCCATCTTTTGCTCAGTCAATATAGTGAAAGGCTTGATCTTTCAAAGAATCTACATTTTTTCATTCTACTGCTCTCCAACCTTCTATTTGATTGATTTATGCTCTAATTATGCTCTTTATTATTTCTTTCCTTCTGCTAGCTTTGGATTTAGTCTTCCACCTGGATTTATTTTGGGAGTGATATTGATGTAACTTCATGGAAATAATACTAGATAGAAAGTTAGCAGATAGATTCTCTATCTGATGAGAGTTTGGGGCAAGTCGAGTACCAGGTTACCAAGTTTTATTTTTTTCTCTGACCCAAAAAACAATTTGGCAGCCGGTGAGAAACTCTCACAGCTCTGGATGTGAGTTTAGGACACTGCATTTCTACCATTCAATTTCTTACTACTTTTTTGCACAGGGATCATGGCACAAGTTGCAGTTTCCACCCTGCCCATGGAAGATGAGGAGTCCATGGAAGATGAGGAGTCTGTTGAAGATGATTCCGTGGAGAGCAGGATGGTGGTGACATTTCTCGTATCAGCTCTCAAGTCCACGGTGAGACCTTCTGTTCTAATATGATATAATTGGGTAGAACTGGGTGGTAGATAAGGTTGATTTGTTTTTGTAGAACTTATAATTTTATGATTTGTAGTTCTAATGAGTAGATCTTTTTCTGGAATAGTAGTTATGGTCAAACACTTCTAACCAAAAGTGCCATGTTGTCCAGTCTGGTCTCAAAATATGGGGCTCAAGAGACCTGCCCACCTTGGCCTCCCAAAATACTGGGATTACAGGTGTAAGCCCCTG
Organism: Homo sapiens; assembly: GCF_000001405.40. Classification (NCBI taxonomy): domain Eukaryota; kingdom Metazoa; phylum Chordata; class Mammalia; order Primates; family Hominidae; genus Homo; species Homo sapiens. The sequence continues at coordinate 192,781 of NW_021159991.1, read as the reverse complement.
AATCTGGCCAGATATTTTTCTTTTTATGGCTGAATAATACTCTGTGTATGTATATATTACATTTTCTTTATCTATTCACCTACTGATGGGCATTAGGTTTGGGCTACCTTTTGGCCACTGTGAATAATGCTGCTGTTAATCGGGTGTACAAATACCTGTTTGAGTCCCTGCTCTCAGTTCTTTTGGGTATATACGCTTAAAGGGTGTTGATGGATCATATAATTCTATGCTTCATATTTTTAAGGAGCTGCTAAACCATTTTCCACAGTGGGCTGTACCATTTTACATTCCAAAAAGCAATGCATACAGCTTCCAATTTCTCTATAGCCTTGCTGACAGTTAATATTTTCTGTTTATGTATTGTATTTTTATAGTGTTTGAAATTAATCTGAGGCTTTTTGCTGATACCAAAATATTAGGAAAGGTTTTCCAAAAATAATACTGCTTATTATAAAGGATTTTACGTGTTACTTGATGCCCTGTGATCTGTTTTCTAAGTAAGAAGAGGAACTTCTTGGCTGGGCACAGCGGCTCATGCCTGTAATCCTAGCACTTTTGGAGGCCGAGGTGGGTAGATCACCTAAAGTCAGGAGTTCAAGACCAGCCTGGCCAACATAGCGAAACCCAGTCTCCACTAAAAAAAAAAAAAAAAAAAAAAAAAAAAAAAAAAAGAAATTAGCTGGGTGTGGTGGGGGGGTGACTCTAATCCCAGGTATTCGGAAGGCTGAGGCAGAGAATTGATTAAACCCATAAGGCAGAGGTTACAGGGACCGAGATTGCACCACTGCACCCCAGGCTGTGTGACAGAGCGAGAGTCCATCTCAAAAAAAAAAAAAAAAAAGGAAAGAAAGAAGAGGAACTTCTCTCCATCCAGCCTCATTCCACTGCACCAACTCTTCTGTGTCGGGTTGTGCACGGGAGAAAGGGAGCTTGGCAACTCTTTGCTGTGTTGAGTTGTGGTAGCCCATCACTGGGTTGTAAAGTGCCTTGCCTCCTTTCCTCCCCTCCTTTTTCTTTGAGACAGAGTCTCACTCTGTCATCCAGGCTGAGGTGCAGTGGTGTGATCTCTGCTCACTGCAACCTCAGCCTCCTGGGTTCAAGTGATTCTCCTGCCTCAGCCTCCCAAGAAGCTGGGACTACAGGCACATGCCACCACACCTGGCTAATTTTTTTTATTTTTAGTAGAGACAGGGTATCACCATGTTGGCCAGGCTGGTCTTGAACTCCTGACTTCAGGTGATCCACCCACCTTGGCCTCCCAAAGTGCTGGGGTTAAAGGCATGAGACACTGCGCCCGTCCACCTCCTCTTTTACTTGGGAGAAATGCACAGATTCTGGGTGCCATGTGCATTTGTTTTGGGAGTGATAATTGATCTAACTTATGGAAATAATACTAGATAGTTAGCGGATGGATTCTGTATCTGATGAGAGTTTTGGGCAAAACTCCTAGTTTCTGAGTCTTATTTTTCCCCTGATTCAAGAAAACTGTGAATTATCCAGCCAGTAAAAAACTCTCACAGCTCCGGATGTGAGTTTAGGACACTGGATTTCTACCACTCATTTTCTTACTACTTTTCTTGTGCAAGGATCATGGCACAAGTTGCAGTTTCCACCCTGCCCATTGAAGATGAGGAGTCTGTTGAAGATGAGGAGTCCTTGGAGAGCAGGATGATGGTGACATTCCTGTCAGCTCTCGACTCCATGGTCAGACCTTCTGTTCTCACATTCTGTAGTTCAGTAGGACTGGGCGGTAGATAAGGTTGATTTGTTTTTGTAGAACTTACAATTTTGTGATTTTTAGTTCTAATGAGTAGACCTTTTTCATGAATAGTAGTTACGGTCAAACACCTCTGACCAAATGTGCATGTGGAGTTTCTACACTGATTTTCAGACAATCTGGATCCCAACTGGGTATCCCACAATTCCATCCTGACACTCCCTGGAGTTAGTGCAGACCCCGCAGGATGGGAGCTCAGTCCCAGGAGTCTACCCTCACTCCACATGCCAATTGCAAGTCTTGGGTTGTTACATGTAGTTTTGACCAACCAGTTAGAAAACAGAGTTTCATGACCCCCATTGGTGGGTGGAATCATTTGCTCGGACAGCTTGCAGAACTCAGAAAAACAGATTGTTTTCTTTTTTTCTGAGATACAGGGTCTCAGTCTGTTGCCAGGCTGGAATGCAGTGGTGTGATCAAAGCTCACTGTAGCATGGGACTCCTGGGCTCAAGTGATCCTCCCACCTCAGCCTCCCAAATAGCTGAGATTATAGGCCTGTACCAGCATATCTGGCTATGTTCTCTTACTTTTTGTAGAGATGGGGGGGTCTTGTTATGTTGCCCAGGCTGGTCTCAAATTTCTGGGCTCACATGATCCTCCCACCTCAACTTCACAAAATGCTGGGATTATGGGCATGAACCACTGCATCTCACCAATTTATTTTCTTTTACTGGTTCATTTTAAAGGCTAAATCTCAGAAACAGCCAGTGAAAGAGATGTACATGCTGGGCACAGTGGCTCATGCCTGTAATTTCAGCACTTTGGGAGACTGAGGCGGGAGCATCGCTTAAGTGCTCAGGAGATTAAGACCAGCCTGGGTAACAAGGTGAAAATGCATCTCTACAAAAAGATTTTTCTAAAAATTAGCCAGGCACAGTTATCTATAGTTCTAGCTACTCAGTGCCTATAATTCTAGCTACTCAGGAGGCTGAGGTGAGAGGATGAGAGGATGGGGCTTGAGATAGGGAGGCATAGTTCGCAGTGAGCCACGATTGTGCCATGGCACTCTAGGCTGGGAGACAGAGCCAGACTCTGTCTCAAAAAAAAAAAAAAAACACACACAGGGCAAGGTATGTCGAGAGGGGTACAGAACTTCCATGTCCTCTATTGTGCATGTTACCTTCCTGGTATCTCCCTTGTGTTCAGCAACCCAGACATTCTCCAACTCCAGTTGTTAAGGGCGCTTATGAACGCTTCATTATGCAGGCATGATTGATGAAATCATTGACCATTGGTAATTAAGTCAGTCTTCGGCCACTATTTCTTCCTGGAGCCCAGGGGGTGAGGCTGACAGTTCCAAGCCTCTAATCACATGGTTTGTTCTTCTGACAACAACCACCCCTTTTTCTGAAGCTGTCTAGGAGCTTTCAGTCACCCAGTCATCTCAGTAACATCACCAAATGCATTCTTACTATGGTGATCCCAAAGGTCTTAGAGGCTCTTGTGTTAGAAACCTGGGACTAAGACCAAATATTGAAACAGAAGATGCCCCATCACTTTCATCACCAAGGCCTTTATAAGAGCTTGAGAAGCTCTGTGCCAGGATGAGGGGCAGAAACCAAATGTGTATTTCTTTTCTTTTTCTTTTGAACACAGAGTCTCTGTTTCACCCAATCTGGAGTGCAGTGATGGTGTTGTAGTTAACTGCAGTCTCAACCACCTGTGCTCAAGCAATTCTCCCACCTCAGCCTTCCAAGCATCTGGGACTACAGGTGCACACCATCCATGCCCAGCTAATTTTTGTATTTTTTTTTGTAGAGATGGGATCTTGTTATATTGCCGAGGCTGGTCTTGAACTCTGGGGCTAAAGCGATCCTTTCACCACAACCTCTCAAGTAGCTGAAACTACAGATGCATACTACCATGCCCAGCTAATTTTTTCTTATTTCTTTTTGTTGTTTAATTGAGGGGGTCTCGCCGTGTTTCCCAGGCTGGTCCTGAAGTTTTGGCCTCAAGCGTTTCTCCTGCTTTGACCTCCTAAACTGTTGGGATTATGGTTGTGAGCCACGGCCTCTGTGTCCAGCAATCACAAGAGGTCTTTATAAGTGAAAGAGGGAGGTAAGAGAGTCCGAATTGAAGGAGATTTGATGATGGAAGCACAGGTCACAGAGGGAGATTCGAATATGCTTTGCTTCTGGCTTTGAAGATGCAGTTAGGAGCCATGAGCCAAAGAATAGCAGTGGCTTTAGCAACTGGGAAAGGCAAGGGAACATATTCTCTCCAGAACCTCCAGAAGGGATGCAGTCCTGCTGGCACCTTGACTTTAGCCTTAATAGACCTATTTTGGACTTCTGGCCCCCAGACCTCTTAGTTAGTAGATTTGTGGTGTATTAAGCCACTCAATGTAGGGTAGTTTGTAACAGCGGCAAGAAGAAATGAACATGAAGCCAGAATTGGTGGCCCACACCTATAATTCCAGCTATTTAGGAGGTTGAGGCAGGATGGTTTCTTTGGCCCAGCAGTTCACGATAAGTCTGGCCCTGAGGCAGGACAATTTCTTGACCTAAGAGCTCCAGGTCTCAGTGCGTTGTGATCATGCCATGGCACCCCAGTCTGAGTGACACAGCGAGATTATATCTTAGAAAAAAAAAGAAAAAAGAAATGAGTGAGCATGGCAGGAATAGGGACAGATAGCAATATTAAATAAAGTGGTCAGGGTTGGCCTCCTAAGTGAAAATTGAGCAAAGACTTGAAGGAGGGGAAGGAGCTGGCCAAGGTACTGAGGGAAGAGCATTGTAGGCAGAAACAACAGAATAAAGATGCTAAGAGGGAACTCCGTGGTGTGTCTGAAGCTCAGGAAAGAGGTCTGTGGAGTAGAGAGAGGGAGAGAAGTAGGGAAGGAGGCCAGGGAGTTGTTGGACTCAGATCAGTGCAGATTGTGTAAGCCCTGGGAGGTTATTGCTGGGGCTTTGGTTTTTATTCTGTCTGAGATGGGAGATGAGGAAGGGTTCTGAGCAGAGAGGTGACGCGAACTGTCTACTGATTTAAAAGCATCCCATGGCAGCTGAGTTGAGAAAGATTGTGGGAAGATTTGGGTAGAAGCAGGGAGGCCATGCTGTGGCAACCTCCAGGTGGGAGATGATAATGGTTCTGACCAGGGCCCTGGCAATGGTGAGAGATGGTTGATTCTTGTTGAAATAGTAAGTAATTAAAAAAAAACCACTACTGCTTTTCCCAATTATATGAAGTATGGGATGCTAGATTACAGAAATCTTAAGTCGGGCCAGGTGCAGTGGCTTATGCCCGTAGCTTCAGCACTTTGGGAGGCAGAGATGGGAGAATGGTTTGAGTCCAGGAGTTTTAGACCACCCTGGGCAACACAGCAAGACCTCCTGTCTATGCAAATAAAAATTAATAAAATATAATTATCCCGGCATAGTGGTATTTTCCTGTAGAACCTGTTACTTAGGTTGTTGAGGTGGGCAGATCTCTTGAGGGTGGGAGTTTGAGGCCAGCTTGGGCAACATAGCAAGGCTCCTCTTTCTACAAAAAAAAAAAAAAAAAATTAGCTGGGTGTTTTGGTGTTCATCTGTAGCCATAGCTATGGTGAGGGTGAGGCAAGAGGATCCCCGGAGCCCAGGAGGTCACGGCTGCAGTTAGCTATGAGTGCACCCCTGCATTGCAGCCAGAGTGACAGAGTGAGACCCGGTCTCAGAATACAGATACAAGTAAAGAAATCTCAGCTCAGAGCAGTCTGTTTGTCACTATGCAGCCTTTGCAACCCCATAGCTGCGCGATTGGGTTTGTGTTGCTGGAGGTGAGGAGACCCGTGCCCAGGTGTTGTTGCCTGTCTAATCAGTTTATTTTAAAATATATTAATGAAATTTATTTCATCATACTTTATGGCCTCATACCTGAATGGTTTTTTGAATTCTCCTTTGAATAGCTTGTAACTATTCAAACCTCTTATTGGTTCTATAATTAATTCTTTTTCTAATTAGCTTTTTAAAAATCAGAATTGATATTAGACCAATCAGTTATTAATGAGGAGATGAAATTGAGTTGTTTGTACACTTTATCTAAGATAGTGTTATATTGGCTAACTCAAATCAGTAGTTCAGCAAATGCAGAATCAGAGCTTCTTCAGCGTGGAACTCTCTTGTGGTTCTTGTGGTTCTTGAAGATGCCGTTTCTTTTTTTTTTTTTTTTTTTTGAGACAGCATCTTCCTCTGTCACCAGGCTCGAGTGCAGTGGCACAATCTCAATTCACAGCAACTTCTGCCTCCCGGGTTCAAGCATTTCTTTTGCCTCAGCCTCTGAAGTAGCTGGGACTACAGGCACATGTCACCATGCCCGGCTAAGCTTTGTATTTTCTGTAGATACGGGGTTTCAGCATGTTGGACAGGCTGGTCTTGAACTCCTGACCTTGTGATCCACTGGTCTTGGACTCCTAAAGTGCTGGGATTACAGGTGTGAGCCACCGTGCCTGGCCTCTTTTTTCAGTCTTTAATAAACTGCTGCCATCATTTCAGACCGCTTGCTATTTTAGGCACTTAGAAATTTTTCAATGGAATTCATGTAAAGAAAGACCATGGGTGTTTGTACTGGATTTAGTATTCATCCTTCGACTGCATGACTCACCCCTAGTGCCATAATTTTACTAATGAATTTTTCAGATACTACTCAGCTGGCCACTGAACCTAACCAGCAACCCACCCTCAACCATTCAGTGGTCTTTTGTTCTTCTCTGTTCCTCCTGAATGTTGATTACTCTCAGAAGGTGATAAAAACTTGGATTTCTTTTTTTTTTTTTCTAGAGACAGGGTTTTGTTCTGTCACCCAGGCTGCAGTGCGGTGGCATGATCATGGTTCACTGCAGCCTGAAACCCCGGACTCAAACAGTCCTCCCACCTCAGCCTCCCAAGTAGCTGGGACTACATACATTTGCCCCTATGCCCAGCTAACTTCTTTATTTTTTATTGTACAGATGGGATCTTGCTGTGTTGCTCAGGATGTTGTCAGACTCCTGGCCTCAAGTGATCCTTCTGCCTCAGCTTCCCAAAGTGCTTGGATTATATGTAGGTGGGAGCCACCTGTGTTCAATGCCCATTTTCTTTTTCTTTCTTTCTTTTGGAGACGGACTCTCACTCTGTCATGCAGGCTGGAATGCAGTGGTGTGATCTCAGCTGATTGCAACCTCCACCTCCCTGGTTCAAGCAACTCCCCTGCCTCAGCCTCCCGACTAGCTGGAATTACAGGCCCATGTCACCACTCTCAGCTAATATTTTTGTATTTTTAGTAGAGACAGAGTTTCAGTATGTTGGCCAGACTGGTCTCGAACTCCTGAAATCAGGCAATCCACCCACCTTGGCCTCCCAGTGTGCTGAGATCAGAGGCGTGAGTCACCACGCCATGCCCAGCCATTTTTAAAATAATAACGTTATTGAAATATGATTAACGTATCATGCAATTCATTTATCAAAGTACGCAATTCAGGCCAGGTGCAGTGGCTAATTCCTATAACGCTAAGACTTTGGGCAGCTGAGGCAGGTGGATCGCTTGTGTTCAGGAGTTTGCGACTAGCCTGGGCAACATGGCAAAACAGCATCTCTAGCAAAGATACAAAAATTAGCTGGGTGTGGTGGCTCATGCCTGTAGTCCCAACTACTTGGGGACATGAGACTGGATGATCACTTGAGCCCGGAAGCCATAGGTTGCAGTGAGACCAGATGGCACCACTGCACTACAGCATGGGTAACAAAAGGAGACCCTGTCTTTAAATAACTAAAGAAAAAAGAAAGTATACAATTGAGTGGTTTTTAGAATATTCAAGGAGCTGTGCATCCATCACCACAGTCTTTCTTAGAAGTGATTACCCACTTGTGAGTTACCCACTTATGAGTGAGAAACCCTCACCTCTTAGCCACTACCTCCTACGTACCCCATGTTCATAGGGTACGTATGTTTATCCATTCATTAGTTGATGGACATTTGTGTTGTTTTTGCGTATTCACCATCATGAGTCAGGCTGCTATGAACACTCGTACGTAAGTTTTAGTGTGAACATATATTTTTATTTCTCTTGGATTTACACTCAGGAGTGAAATTGTTGCATTATGTGATTACTATACATTTAGTCTTTGAGAAACTGCCACGTTGTTTTTCAAAGTGGTTACACTGGTCAGGCACAGTGGCTCACACCTTTAATCTCAGGTATTTGAGACGCTGAGTTTGGAGGATTTTCTTAGCTCAGGAGTTCAGGACAACCCTGGGCAACATAGGGAAACAATGTCTTGATTTTTTAAAAAAATCAAATGCCAAGAAAACACCCAAATTGATTACACCATTTTATGTTCCCACCAGTAATGTATGTGAGTTCCAATTATTCCAATTGTCACCAACTTTTTTTTTTTGAGACAAAATCTTGCTCTGTTGCACAGGCTGGAGTGCAGTGACATGAACATGGCCAGTGCAGCTGTGACCTTCCAGGCACAAGTGATCCTCTCACCTCAGCCTCCTAAGTAGCTGGGACTTACAGGTGCATGCTATCATGTGCAGCTGATTTTTACAGTTTTTGGTAGAAATGGGGTGTTGTCATGTAGCCCAGGTTTGTGTCAAACTCCTGAGCTCAAGTGATCTGCCTGCTTCAGCTTCCGGAAGTGCTGAGATTACAGGTGTGTGCCACCATGCCCGACTGGTGTAACCACTTTGGAAAGCAGCCACTGAGCCCGGCCTTCACCAGTATACCAATATTTGTTAATATCGTTTTATTTTTTACAATTTTTCCATTTTTAAAAACTTATTCTTTTACCTGTATTATTGATTATAATAAACAACGAATAATTTTGCAGTAGAGTCCCCCCAAAAAGTATTTATTGTTTAACTGAAGTAGTTTTTTTTTTTAACCTGGATATATATTTTTTCATTTTCACTTTATTTTTAGTGTTTATTTTTAGAAATTATTTATATGTATTTTTATTTTAATAGGTGTTTGAGAAACAGGTGGTGTTTGGTTCCATGAATAAGTTCTTCAGTGTTGATTTCTGAAATGTAGTACCCCTCATTACTTATTAAATTATATATTAAGTCATTATAAAATAATTAATAAACCAAGGACTTTAGTAAAATGGGAATTTTATTTTAACTTGCAACCTGGGACGTAACTGTCAAAAAAATTAGAGAAATTACCACATTAAGGTTTTAAAATCTTGAACTGAAAAATGAAAACCTTGGTGCACCTAAGAACCACCAGCCCACTGGTCAAAGTGAACAAAACTAAATGAAAAAATAAAACCAAGAAAACCAAACTCAGGATTATTAGGTATTTTGTAATGCTATTTTATCTTTGGACTCACAGAATATTGTTATTATTATTATTACTCTTATTATTATTATTATTATTTTGATATGGAGCCTCACTCTGTCACCCAGGCTGGAGTGCAGTGGCGCAATCTTGGCTCACTGCATCCTCTGCCTCCTGGGTTCAAGTGATTCTCCTGCCTCAGCCTTCAGAGTAGTTGGGATTACAGGCAGGTTCCACCATGCCTGGCTAACTTGTATTTTTGGTAGAGACAGGGTTTCACCATGTTGGCCAGGCTGGTCTGAAACTCCTGATCTCAAGCAATCTGCCTACCTCAGCCTCCCAAAGTGCTGGAATTACAGGCATGAGCCACTCTGCTCAGCTGAAAATAGTTAATTTTATGTATATTCCAACTCAGAATACATCCTATTTTTGAATATTTGATGACTTTAGGATACTATATTAACTCTTAATTGAATTAATACAAGTTTAGGTGTAAAGATGATGTTTATGTTGACAAAAATTATTAATGTTTTACATATATGAAAGTAACAATATCATATATTTTTCATACTTGTACAATACTTTGAAATCTATTATTAGCTAATATTTTATATTCATTTTGCGTTTTCACATTATTGTTAGATCCAGAGAAAAGTAATATTGTGTGAATACTCAAATCATAAACATTTTGCTGGATGCATTCATAGATACTTTATTTAAAAAGTACATTAATTGAAGTTTTACACCATTTTATGATTCATCAAACACAGCAACTGAATACTGGCGTATAGCAACATTACAGATGATGTTAGTCTAAGATAAAACTCATAACACATTTTAAAAAGGGTAAAAGGAAGGAAAGGAAAAAGGATACAAGGCTGTAGAAAGATTTTAAAAACAAACGTCATATGTCTGAACCTTTGCCTGGAGTTTCATATTTTGTGAAAAGCAGTTTGTAAGTAGAGGACTCGTAAGTGCACCTAGTACACTGCAATGGCACAGACACGGCAGATAGTCAATAAAATGACCTTTAACTTCTGATCTAGGTTATTTTTGTTGTTGTTCATGTATTAACCTAGTGAAACTCGCCAATAGATGGAGTGGCATTGACCTGTACAACTTCCAAAATCCCATCCAACCTTAGTGTCCTCTGAAGTTCTCCATAACTTATTGTCTGTTCCAACCAACATTTAGCATAAGCTACAGCTTATATTGTTAATAATTCTTCTATGTTTATGTGCTGATTTGCAAATAAATGGGCCTATATAGTCTTTATCTAGTGTTGGATTGGGATCAAAAGTTTCATGAAATCATTGTTTTTAGTATACGTACAGATGGATAATTGTATAAATAAGTACAGATGTGTATAAATGTGTGAGTATACATACATATATTTTCTAGCTCCTCTAACAAAAGGGCCTAGAAACAACATCATCCCAGTAACAATGAGAACACCATTCTCCAATTAAAGGAACCAAGGCTCCTTGGGGACATATTTGATATCAGGATTGGGCAGGGAAAATACAAGATTAGTTTGAAATATTTTGTCATGTTAGGAAGTAAGGAAATGCTCACAAAATGGGGAAAATGTGAAAGGGAAACAGATCCACTTTGAATAAACTTCCATAGCCAAATTTGAGAAAATTGGGGCAATAAAATAGATAACAATAATAATATATTACAATCTACAGGAGAAAATTTTCAATTAATCCAGGCCAGGTGCAGTTGCTCATGCCTGTATTCCCAGCCCTTTGGGAGGCAGAGGCGGGCAGATCACTTGAGGTCAGGAGTTCAAGACCAGCCTGACCAATGTGGTGAATCCCTGCCTCTACTGAAAATACAAAAATTAGCCGGGCATGGTGGCACATGACTGTAGTCCCAGCTACTCCGGAGGCTGAGGCAGGAGAATGGCTTGAATCCCGGAAGGTGGAAGTGCAGTGAGCGGAAATCGCACCATTGCACACCAGCCTGGATGACAAAACAAGACTCCAACTCAAAAAAAAAATCCATATTGACATAAATAATAAACCAAAGATTGAGAGTGGGTAGTATTTTATTACAGTAAGATTTCATTAAATGTAGGAGACATAAAATATAAGAATCATCACTTTGCAAATATCATAGTAATAATTGTTGCAAGAAAGAACCTTGGAGGAATGCTAAGATTAGTGGTGAATATATGTTGGGAAAGAACATATTTGCATAATATGAAAGTATCTTCCCACAAGATAATTATAGAATAGTAACTTCAAAGTGGAGATGTCAACTTAGCCAAGTGATCATAGTTAACATTACTAATAATAAGATAAATGAACTTCATGTAATTTCTTATATGATGCACTGAGTAGGACAAAACATCAATTCTATGGTATTCTTAGACAAAATGTATAACTTTAGTCCTAACCGTGAGAAAACATCAGACTAACTGAAATTGAGGCAGGACATTCTACAAAATAACGGCCAGTATTCATCAAAAGCATTTTAGAAAGACTGAGGAATTCTCCAGAGACATGGAGGCATGTTATCTAAGTGCAATGGAGAACATGCATTGTATCATGAACCAGAGATGGACAACAGTAGGATATGTACAATAACACCCCAACATTTGAACATTAAACAAAATACTTCAGAAAAACCCATTGGCCAAGAAAAGTTTCACACACAAAAAAAATAGTTTAAACTGAAATAAAATTTTTTAAAAACTTAATAAAATGTGGGATGCAGATAAATCGTTTCTTAAAGGTACATTTATAGATGTAATATATTGAAAATAAAAGGCTTCAATCAATGACCTTTAAGTTCTTTTTTAAGAGGCTAAAAAATAAGCAAAGTATATCCAAATTAAGAAGAAGGAAGATGATAAAGATAAAAATGTAAACCAACAACATAGCAAATAACAAAAGGTGGAGCTAATTAATATACCCACAAATTGGTTCTTTGAAAAAAATTTTTTTAATAAACAATGGCTAGCAAGATTTATCTCGAAAAAAATTAGAGAAGCTACATAATGTAGATAATGGGAATTAAATAGAGGATGTAACTACAGAACCTACAGACATCAATATAATTATGAAAACTTTAGGCCAATACATTTGACAATTAAAATAACATGGGAAATTATTTGTAAAACTAATTCTTAAAACTAATGCAAAATGAAATAGAAAAAGTAATAGCTTCTCTATGTATTGAAGAATTTTTTTAATTTAAAAAGATTTCTATAATTACAGGCTACATGCTTTCTCAGGTGAATTCTATCAAACATTTAAGAAAGTACAGAGAGTCCTCAACTTACAGTGGTTTGACTTGTGCTCTTCTTACTTGATAATGGTGCTTTCATCTGTGTACGTTAATGATGAGCATCAATATGACCAGTTTTTCACTATCAGTATAGTTTTCAATAAATTTCATGAGAAACTCAATATTTTAAAATGGGCCTTGTGGTAGATGATTTTGCCCAATTGTAGGATAATGTAAGTGTTCTGAGCAAGTTTAAGGTAGGCGAGGCTAAGTCATGATATTCAGTAGGTTAAATATATTAAATGCGTTTTAGACTTACAATATTTTCAATTTAGGATGAGTTCATTAAGACATAAAACAATTGTAAGTTGAGGAGTATCTATAACATCAATCTTGAACGGACTCTTTTTAAGAAATAGAATTTAAGGGCCGGACACAGTGGCTCACACCTGTAATCCCAGCACTTTGAGAGGCCAAGACGGGCAGATCACCTGGGGTCAGGAGTTTGAGACCAACCTGACCAGCATGGAGAAACCCCCATCTCTACTAAAAGTACATAATTAGCAGGGCATGGTGGCGCTTACCTGTAATCCCAGCTCCTCGGGAGACAGAGGCAGGAGAATAGCTTGAATCTGGGAGGCAGAGATTGTGGAGAGCCGAAATTGTGCCATTGCACTCCAGCCTGGGCAACAAGAGTGAATCTCCGTCTCAAAAAAAAAAAAAAAAAAAAGAAAAAGAAAATTTAAAGGGACATTTCCTATCTTATTTTATGAACCCAGTATTGCCGATTCCAAATCGAGACAAAGGCATTATACAACTTTGATGTTTATCCCTCATAAACATAGACTCAAAAGTCCTTAAAACATAATAACCAATTGAATGTAGCAGTACATAGAATGGATAATAAACTGTGAACAAATTAAATTTCTAGCAAGATTGCAAAGTTAATTTATTATTTGAAAGATCAGTTTAATCAATTTTATTCACCTGGATGGTTACATCTGGCAAAACTCAGCAAACTGTGCACTTTAAAATAGTATTTATTTTATGTAAATTATCTTTCAATACAATTGATTTTTTAAGAAAAAAAAACGTTTCCCAGAGTGATCAAAGTGGAGGGCAGGGAAGAGTAAACATCAGTGCTTATGTTATAGCTACTAGAAGCCTCCCAATTCCAACGACATGCTTTCAAGCAGGTCTGATCCTTCCCCTGGAGGATACCTCTGACCCAGGTGTGCTACAAATGCATTGCCCCTAGTTGCTTCTGTCACCTTAGTGATGGAAGTGACAAGAGGGTACTGGAGAAAGAAAAGGTGTACAAGGTTCCAAATGTACATTCTATTTCCAAAGGACATTTGTGAAGCCAGTGGAAAGCGAACAAACAAGCTGCTAAATAAGTCACAAGTGTGTTCTCATACAGTTTTGCGATTAACTAAATAGGACATTCAACAGATAAAATTTGTTTTACATAGTTACTCCTCTAACAGGATGAACTTGTGGATTGTGAGATAGGGCTGATATAACCTGTTTTCTCTCTGCCTCTTTTTTTTCCCCCAAGTTTTGTGTGCAATACATTAGGAAAAATATAATTGGGCTACAAATCTACAAAAATGGCTTCCTGGCAGTTCCATGCTTGTTTCCATGTGGTGCCTATGTTTGGCACTGTGTTCTCATTTGCACTTTCCTACTTGATTAGTTAATGTATGAAGGACAAGCCTGATCTCTACTGTGAATTTTTACCAAGGTATTCTAGTAGAAAAATGAGTATGTAATGGTGCTGTGGAATGCTAAAGTGTGTAAAACATTAAGAATCTAAAAATATGCTCATTTCCAAGTTTTGTCCCAGAGCAACTGTGCACTCTGATTATATCGCTACTGCTATTTAAAGTTATCCATTTGCATGTCTAAAAAATAGATTCATACTGATTGTCCCATTTTGATCTCAAAAAACTCCTGAATATGAGAGTCGTGATCAAGGGACGTTTCATGAAATGTTCCAAAGTTAAAGTGTGCAATGAAACCAGATTTATCATAGCCTTATTTAAAATAATTATTTCTAAAATTGTTATTGTTTAATTATAAACGGTATCCTTTCAGGATACTTGGAAGATCCATAGCAGTGTTTTTATTTTCACAGAACAAGCATAAATTATTTATGAAATAATAACTCAGATACAGAGATTACTTCCTATTGGCCTTACATATGAATATAAATAAATACATATTATGAACATGAGCATACTTATTTTATAATTATGTAAATGTGTGTGTAATGTTATATTTAAGTTCAATAAAGTCATGCTTATACATGGTTTCAATTCATGCTTCTAAAAACCACTCAATGTAGTCATTATCATATGTTAATAAATAATCTCTGAAAATGTGCTTCTAGTAGTTGCACAATATCCCATCATAAAGATTGTCATGCTGTTTTTAAGTCATACTTTTGGGTATATAAGTTATATCTGATATTTTTCTGCTACATATATACTATTATAAATCTATTAGTAGCTGATTTTTTTGTCAACACATATGATTGTTTCCTCACAATAGTACAAGAGTTGGTTGTAACTTTATTTCCTTCCAACATTTATTTTAGGTTCAGCGGGTACATGTGCAGGTTTATTATGTGGGTAAAATGTGTGTCAATGGGATTTGGTGTACAGATTACGTAGTCATCCAGGTAGTGAACGTAGTATCTAATAGGGAGTTTTTTGATCCTCACTCTACCCCCACCCTCCACCCACAGTAGACCTTGTGTCTATTGTTCCCTTCTCTGTGTCCATGTGGACTCAATGTTTAGCCCCCACTTATAAGTGAGAACATGCAGTGTTTGTTTGGTTTTCTGTTCCTGCATTAATTCACTTAGAATAATGGTATCCAGCTCCATTCATGTTGCTGCAAAAGACATTATTTCATCCTATTTTATAGGTGTGTAGTATTCCATGGTGTATGTACGCTGCATTTTTTTAATCCAGTCTTCTGTTAACAGGCATCTAAGTTGATTCCGTGTCTTTGCTATTGTGAATAGTGTTATAATGAAAATATGCGTGCATATGTCTATGACAGAATGATTTATATTCCTTTGGGTATATACCCAATAATGGGATTGCTGGGTTGAATGGTAGTTCTGTTTTAAGTTATTTCAGAAATCTCCAAACTGCTTTCCACAATGGCTGAACAAATTTACATTCCTGATGAAACTGGAGACTTCCCTGACTCCCCTTGGCAGGATGTGCAACAGGGGTGTGGCTTGTCTGGCCACCGTGTGTGCTGTCAAACCCCTTACTGGGCAGGGAAGCATGCAGACAGGCAGGTGCAATAGGCAGGGCAAGTGGCCATGGTACTGTCTAGGGGTGGGTTCCTGCGACTCCCACAGCCCAAGTGGGCATGTGTTACAGTGCACTCTTTTAGCTTTGCCATCCACAGACAGCTTAAGTGTTAACCTGTTCAGTGCGCTCTTGGTACCCAGTTCCTTGTCCAGCATCCAGAAAGAATTAAGTTGCACACAGACTTGAGGATGGTGAATGTGGGGGTTTTATTGAGTGGTGGAGGTGGCACTCAATGGGATGGATGGGAAGCTGGAAAGGGGATGGAATGGGAAGATGATCTTCCCCGGGAGCTTTGCCATCCAGAGGCTGATCTCTCCAACCACTGCCAGCCAAACTCCTCTTGGCATTCAGATGCTCCTTCTCTTCTTTCTGCCACATCATTCTGCAATTCTGCTCTTCTGTTCATCTCCTCATCTGCTTGTCTGCTTCTGGAGCCTGGGGTCTGGGGCATATATGGGTACAGGACAGGGGGTGCATGGTGAGCTGAAAGACAACTTTTGGGTGCAAAAGCAGGAATGCCTGTTCCCATTTAGGGCCATGGGTTTCCAGGCTTGTGGGCAGGGCTTTGCCAGGGAACCACTCTCTTCTACCCAGCATTTCCCTGTCTCCTTTCTATATCACCACCAGCAGTGTATAAGCATTCCCTTTTTTCCACAAACTCGGCACCGTCTGTTATGTTTTGATTTTTTAATTATAGCCATTCTGACCGGTGTGATATGGTATCTCATGGTTCTGATTTTCTGATGATTAGTGATGTTGAGTATTTTTTCATATGGTTGTTTGCCATACATACGTTGTCTTTTGAAAAAAGAATCCACAGACGGCTTAAGTGTTAACCCGTTCAGTGCCCTCTTGGTACCCAAGTCCTTGTCCAGCATCCAGAAAGAAGTTGCACATGGACTTGAGGATGGTGGATGTGGGGGTTCATGTTCTTTGCCTATTTGTAGTGGGTTTGTTTTTTGCTTATTGATTCTTTATACATGCTAAGTATTAGACCTTTTTCAGATATGTAATTTGAAAATATTTTCTTCTGTTCTGTAGGGTGTTCTCTGTTGATAGTTTCTTTTGCTGTGCTGAAGCTCTTTAGTTTCATTAGGTCCCACTCGTCAATTCTTCTTGTTGCAATTGCTTTTGGAATCTTCATCATGAAATATTTGCCTGCGCCTATGTCCAGAATGATATTTCCTAAGTTTTCTTCTAGGGTTTATATAGTTTTGGGTCTTACATAAGTCCTTCATCCATCTTGAGTTGATTTTTGTATATGGTGAAAGGAAGGGAGTGTACATGCCCCTGTGATATTGTTCCTAATATCCAGGTTGGGAGAGGATATTATACTCAATATTGCAGGAAGTGTCGACCACCCTGAATGTTGCTTTTAATATCCGGGGAGAGAGGGTGATATTACTCCCAATATCATCCTCTCCCCCCACACCCTGCATAGTACAAGCAATATCAAAGGGGGTCTGTGCAACACGTGCAATATTGGGAATAATATCCTCCCCCAACATGGATATTAGAAACAGTATCACAAGGGGTTGTACACCACCTGTGATATTGGGGAGTACTATCATTTTCTTTCCCCATGGATATGTAGAACAATATCACAAAGGTGGTGTACAACCCCTGCTATATTGGGAGTAATACTGTACTTTCCCCACCTAGATATTAGGAACAATATCACGGGAGGTTATACACCACTGCAACATTGGGAGTAATATCATCCTTTCCCTCCCTGGATATTAGGAACAATAACTCATGGGTGTCTACACCCTGTTCCATATTGGGATTAATATTTTCTCCCTTGCTGGACATAAGGAACAATATAACGGGGGGTATACACTCCTTATGATATTGCCAGTAATATTATAGACTCCCCCCAGGGATATTAGAAAGAGTATCAGAGAGGGGTGTACATCCCCTGCGATATTGGGAATAATATTCTTTCTTTCCCTGGATATTAGGAATAATATCACAAAGGGGTTGTATACCCCCCGTGACATTTTAATTAATATCATCTTCCCCACTGAATATTAGGAACAAATTCCCAGGGGGTTGTACACCACCTGCAATATGGACAGCTATATCATTGTCTCTCCCCCGAATATAAGGAACAATATCACAAGGGGGTTGTACAACCCCTGTGATATTGGGAGTAACTTTATACCCTTTCCACATGGATATTAGGAACAATATCACAGGGTGGTTGTACACCCACTGCGATATTGGGAGTAATATCATCCTCTATCCCCTGGGTATTATGAACAATATCATGGGGAGGGAGTGTATGCCCTCTGTGATATTGGGAGTAATATCATCCTGTCCCCTCTGGATATTAGGAATGATATCACAGCGGGGCTGTACCTTTTCTGCATTATTGGGAGTGGTATCACCCTCTCCCCCTATGGATATTAGGAACAATATCACAAAGGGGGTGTACACATCCTGCGATATTGAGAGTAATATTGTCCACTCTTCCCCGAGATATTAGGAACAATATCACAGGCGGAGTGTACACCCCCTGCTATTTTACCTGTAATATTATTCTCTCCCAACCTGGATATTAGGAATAATATAACAGGAGGGGTGTACACCACCTGTGATATTGGGAGTAATATCATTCTCTCCCCCCATGGATATTGAGAACAATATCACAGGGGCGGTTTACACCTCCTGCGACATTTAGAGTAATATCATCCTTTTCCCCCATGGATATTAGGAACGATATCACAAGGGGGGTGTACATGCCCTGTGATATTGGAAGTAATATCATCGACTCCCCCCACGGATATTAGTAACAATATCAGAAGGGGTGTACACCCCTTGCGATATTTATAGTACTATCATCCTATACCCCCTGGATATTAGGAACAATACCACGGGGGGTGTATACCCACTGTGATATTGGGAGTAATTTCATCCTCTACCCCTTGGATGTTAGGAGCAGTATCACAAGGGGGGTGTGCACCCTCTGTGATATTAAAAATAATACCATTCTCTCCTTCTCTGGATACTAGGAATAATATCACAGTGCTGGTGTGCACCCTTTACACTATTTGGAGCAATATCACCCTCTCCCCAACTTGATATTAGAGACAATATCATGGGGGGTGGCGTGTAACACCCTGCACTGTTGGGAGTACTATCATCTAGTCTTCCCCTGGATATAAGAAACAGTATCACAGAAGGGGTCTACACCTCCTGAGATTTTGGGAGTAATATCATCCTCTCCAAATCTGGATATTAAGAACAGTATAATGGGGTGTGGGGAGTAATATGGTGGGAGTAATACAATCCTCCTCCCCACTTGCTGTTAGGAACAATATCGCAAAACGTGTGTACACCCACTGTGACATTTGGAGTAATATCAACATTTCCCCACCTGGTATCACGGGGAGAGTGTACACTCCTTACGATATTGGAAGTATCATTGTCTCTCACTCTCGATATTAGGAAAAATAGCACAGGGTGTGTATACACTTCCTGTGATTTTGGGAAGAACATCATACCCTTCTGTCTTTGATATTAGGAACAATATCACAGAGGGGGTGTACAACTTCTGTGATATTATAATATTCTTTCTTCCCATGGATATTAGGAATGATATCCCGGGGGGCTTGTTGTACACACCCTGTGATACGGACAGTAATATCATTGTCCTTCCCCCTACATATTAGAAACAATATCACAAGGGTGGTATACACCCCCTGGATATTAGAAACTATCACAGGGGGGCTGTACAACCTCTTTGATACTGTGAGTAATACCATTGTCTCCCCTCCTGGGTATTAATAACAATATCATAGGGTGGGTGTACACTCCCTGCAATATTGGGAATAATATCATCCTCTCTTCCCAGGGATATTAGGAACGTTATCACAGGTGGGGTTTACACCCCCTGCAATTTTGTCAGTAATATTACTTCTGGATGTTATTGAATATATCACAGTGGGGGTGTACACCCCCTGTGATATGGGGAGTAATAGCATCCTCTTTCCCACTGGATACTACAAACAATATCGCAGATTGTGTACAACCTCCTGTGATATTGTTCACAATATTTAGGGAAGGAGAGGATGATATTACTCCACATATCGCAGGGAGTGTTACATCCCCTGTAATATTGTTCATAATATTTAGAAGACGACAGGATGATATTACTCCCAATATAGTAGGAAGTATACACTCCCCTGTGATACTGTTCATAATTTTTAGGGGATTAGAGGATGATATTACTTCCAATATCACAGGGAGTGTACACTGGTGATATTGTTTATAATTTTCAGTGGATTAGAAGATATTATCCAGAATATCACAGGGGTTGTACACCCCAAGTGATATTGTTAATATCCAGTGGGAAAGAGGATGATATTACTCCCCATATCACGGGGGATGTAAACCCGTTTGTGGTATTGTCACTTACATCCGGGGGGGAGAGGATGATATTACTCTGCATATCATAGAGGGTGCACACGGCTGTAATGTTGTCCATAATAACATCCAGAGGGGAAGAGAATATTATTCCCATGTTTCAGAAGGTGTACACACCCCTGTGATAGTCTCTGTAACATTTAGGGAAGAAGGGGATGATACTACTCCAGATATTGCAGGGGGTGTACACCCCCCTGTGATACTGTTCGTAACGTTTAGGGGGAAGAGGATGATATTACTCCCCATATCGAAGGGATTGTATATCTCCCTATATATTGTCCATAACATCCAGGGCAGGAGAGGATATTACTACTCCCCATATCACAGGGGGTGGACACCCCCCTCTAAATATGTCTAACATCCAGGCGGGGACAGGAGGATATTTTTCCCCATAACCCAGAGAAAGTAAACCTCCTGTGATATTGTCCATAACATCCAGTGGGGAGAGGATGATATCACTCCCCATATTGCAGGGGGTGCACACTCCACTCTGATATTGGCCGTAATATCCGGGGGGGGGGTGAAGTATGAAGTCACTACACATATCGCAGGGATTATTAGTATCAGATTGTTTGAAGGGCTCACAGTAAGGGTAGTAGTAGGGCGAGTTCTAACTCAAATAGGGGAAATGTGATGGCTACTAGAAAGAATTTTATGGAGAAGGGAATGTGGGCAGAGGATAGAGGGTCAAATCTGCATTCATAAGGGCTAGATTTTTCTATATATATTTATTTTATACATATATATATATTTATTTTATACATATATATATATATTTTTCTCTCTCTCTACATATATATATTAAGTTGTGGGAGCCAAAATGTAATAATTATTAGTAACAGGGCTAATAGGGTGTTGATTACTAGGGTTAATGTTAGGTGAATTACTGTTTTTCGGATGCTATCAAAACTTTGGAAATCATGGTACTATTTATACTAAAAGAGTAAGATCCTCATCAATAAATAGAAACATACAAGAATAGTCATACTACATCTACAAAGTGTCGATATCAGGCAGCGGCTTCAAAGGCAAAGTGATGACTAGATGTAAAGTGGTATTTTAATTGGCGGAGAAGGCAGACTGAGGAATGTTGATCCAATAATGACGTGAATTCTGTGAAAGCCTGTAGCTATAAAAAAATGTTGAGCCATAAATACCATCAGAAATAGCAAAGAGAGCTTTGAAGTATTCTGAGACTTGTAGGAGGGTGAAGTAAATATCTAATATAATTGTAACAAGTAGTGCTTGGATTGTATGTTTTTGATTATTTTTTGTTAGGCTGTGATGGGCTCAAGTAATTGAAACTCCTGATGCAAGTAATACAGATGGATTCAGGAGAGGTACTTCCAGGGGGTCAAGGGGAGAAATACCTGTTGGGGGTCAATGCCCTCCTAATTCTGGAGTAGGGGCTAGGCTAGAATGGTAGAATGCTCAAAAGAATCCAGCGAAGAGGAATATTTCTGAGCCACCATGCCCGGGTAATTTTAAAATTTTTTTTTTCTAGAGATGTGGGTCTCACTATGTTGCTCTGGCTGATCTCAAATTCCTGGCCTCAAGTGATCTTTCTGCCACTGCTTTTTAAAGTGATGGGATTACCGTCATGAGCCACCATGCCTAGTATAGAGTGTAATATTAATTTCAAAGTCTTATTCCTAGAGCCATGTATTGACTTTGGCCTAAATAACTCAATATGATATCTCTGAAACTTTTTTTTACATATTGTGGGGAATGATAATGAGGGAAGGGGATTAGACACTTTTTACTAGGAGATAACTTTGTGCCATTTAAGGAGGAACAAAAATAAATTATCAGAAAAATAAAAGTAAGATGAAGTACAAAAGTTCTGTGGCAAAGATGATGATAGTAAAGAATATATTTTTATGACTCATGGTAGCTTTAACATTGTTCTTAAAATTCTGAGTAATTTAAGGGTTCACATTTGAAGAATCTGATGCATTACTGATAACATTTTATTGCATGTAAATGCATTTTAAAATTTGCTATTGGTTTTGTATTAGATTATTCTCAGCCTACTTCATTATCAAGCTATACTATTTTATTTATGCAGTTTGATGATCTTACGGCAGAGGAGGAAGCTGTATCTTCAAAATGTGTCAATTTGGCTAAAGACAATCAAGTTATCCAACAGGAGTTATTATCTATGAAAAAAGTACAACAAGAATGTGAAAAACTTGAGGAGAATCAAAAGATGTTGGAAGAAGAAATATTAAATCTCAAGACACATATGGAAAACATTATCGTAGAACTTAGTGAACTACAAGAATATAAATCAGAGCTAGATGAAAGGGCAATGCAGGCAGTAGAAAAATTAAAGGAAATCCATTTACAGGTTACTTGTTTAAATCAGGTAAGTTTACCTGTAATGTGCTTTCATTTATTTCACTGCAAATTATATTTTGGAGATTTTATATATATATATATATATATATATATATATATATATATATATATATATATATATATATATATATAGTGTTTCCTCTGCCTCTCTTGTAGCAATCTGCTTTGTAGAGTTGTAGAAAAAAATGGCATCTGTTTTTTCTTTTAAATATTTAAATTTCCATTATTATTATGAGAAAATCAATCTTTCAGAGTAATGATTCTCATTATGGAGTCATTTGATGATTAAGACCAGTTGGCATAGGAAAAAATTGTGATTTAGAAATTATGTGATACTTTTGAATTGGTGTTAAGCTACATTGTTCATTGATCACTTTTTCAAATTATGAATGGATTCTATTACTTTTTATATGACCAGATTACATTAATACTAACATAATTATGATTTCAAATTTTTATAAATCAGACTTAATTCTGAATTCAGTTATTAGTTTTGATATTGCTGAAATATTTTAAGCTTCAGCCTCTTTTTTAACATATTCAGAAATGCTCTTTGAATCACTGACTCAAAATGAAAGGCAACAAACATATAATAATTATGTTATTGTTTTAAAAGTGTATTATTTTCCTTTGTTTTAGTTACAAGCACAATATAAAAAACAATTAGACCAGTTAAACAAGGATAATACGGCTTCACTAAATAAGAAGGAACTCACACTTAAAGATGTGGAATGTGAATTCTACAAAATGTAAACTGCTTATGAAGAGGTTACAACTGAGTTAGAAGAATATAAGGAAGCCTTTGCAGCAGCATTGAAAGCTAACAATTCCATGTCAAAAAAATTAACGAAGTAAGTCAAAACATACACTCAGAGAATGAATTAAGCTCATTAATTTGTTTCAAAAGCATAATTTTTAGTGAGATGGCTTCAGGATATTAGTAGGAAGTGAATGTTAATTTGACAATGTAATTTTGAAAAACAATGTTAGTAAATAATCTTACCTTTTAATGTTAGTCAAAGATAGTTTTTGTCTCTCCTCTCATTTTTTTTTGTTTGTTTTTGTATGGCTTTTTCCCCTGAAAAGTCTCATGTAATTAAACTGATCTGTTAGTTTTTTTCACTATGTATTTTTGAAGCTTTATAATTAATGAAGTGATCCTGTTATAAAATTACTTGTCAGAATTTCCCTAAATAGAAATATTAATGAGTTTAATTTCTTTTTCAGTGGATCACAACCTAAATGAAAAGTGGTACTGTTACTTTGGGCACAATCGTTTTTGATTGTGATCTTTAGTATTATCATCAGAGGGTGCCTCAAGAAAGACTATTTGTGTAACATATTCAAGATGTTACAGAAAGGCATCCTTGTGAAATAAGGAATAATTATCACAGGAATTTAAAGAAGTGTAATTCACAAAGCGGTTAAAAAATAACACCTTGTTCAGCCAGAAGGAGTGTTTGGAAGGCAGAAAGAACATGCCCCACCTCCTGGGCCTTGGTCACAGTGTTGGGGGCTAATTGCCTTCAGAGATGCTTTAGTTCTTTTTGATCACCAACCAGACAATCTAGTTCTCCCCTAGGAGTTGTTGCTCTGAATTATTCTTCAGTGCCAAATGTTTAATTGGTTCTAGATAATGGGTGAAATGTACAAGGGTGAAATCTAAAACTGGTTTACTAAACACAAGTACTCCTAGATTTTTTTAATTCATTTTAGTTTTCTTAAACTACATTAAGGAATACAACATGATGTTTTGATATAATTATTTCTAGTGAAGTGGTTCTTATAATCAAGCAAATCAACATATTCATTTTCCCACATTATTGCCCTTTAAATACAAGTATTTCTAATGGAATCTTCAGAATCTTACAAGTAGAGCCATTTTAGAAGGCAGCAAATTTTGCCTGTTGAGCCATACACCACTGATAGCCATTTCTCTTCCCTGTCTACTTTGTTTGAACTGCTTGTTCAGTGTAAATCACCTTAGAAACAAAGGTGCTTCTTTAGAATGATTTTAAAATTATAATTCCTTACAACAGGTATGCTCTTACACATCTTCGGTGTGAAAACACTATTTAGTGGGTAATTTGGTTTACTCTCAGGGCAACACTTTAAATGTAATGACTGCAAGGCATTAAGAATCATTTAAGGAAATATGAAATACTAAGCATTTGTCTTTGTTATCTTTACAGATCGAATAAGAAAATAGCAATGATCAGCACCAAGCTCCTTATGGAGAAAGAGCAGGTGAAATATTTTCTCAGCACTCTTCCTACAAGGCAAGGTCGAGAGTCACCTTGTGTTGAAAATCTTACTAGTATAGGACTCAACAGAAAATATATTCCCCAAATGCCCATAAGAATTCCTACTTCAAACCGTCAGACTTCAAATAACTGCCAGAACTACTTGACTGAGGTTAGTTATATGACCGTTTCTCTTTAGGGTTTCATTTCTCTAGCGTAATTCTTGTTTATAATTTGGTGAAATACTGAGTTGTTCTGTTGACTTTTTCATGTGAAGTAAAGATCATAATTAGCTGTGTTAACACAGAAAGGAAATGGGAATTTTACATTTTTTAATTCCCTGGAGCCCTCATTTTCAAGAGATATCCATTTGCTAACTTTATTCAATAAATGTGACTAAACTGACACATTTAAAATGTTTTTAAATCTGCATTTAAGTTAGGTTTTAGAAATTACATGTTGTTGCCTGATAACTGATGATATACTTTGAGATGCTTTGGCTTACTCTCTAATTGACTGTAGTTAGGTGTGGTTCATACCACTTTTTTTTTCTTTTTTTTGAGGCAGTGTCTCACTCTGTCGCCCAGGCTGGGGTGTCTTGGTGCCATCTCCACTCACTGCAACCTCCACCTCCTGGGTTCAAGTGATTCTCCTGCCTCAGCCTCCTGAGTAGCTGAGACTACAAGCACCCACCATTACACCCAGCTAATGTTTGTATTTTTAGTAGAGACAGGGTTTCACCATATTGGCCAGGCTCTTCTTGAACTCCTGACCTTGTGATCTGCCTGCCTCAGCCTCTCAAAGTGTTGGTATTACAGGCATGAGCCACCGCACCCGGCCCATGTCACTTTTAAAGTTTCTTTGCACTGGCCAGGTGCTGTGGCTCATGCCTGTAATCCCAACACTTTGGGAGGCTGAGGCAGATGTATCACGAGGTCAGGAGTTCAAGATCAGCCTGTCCAAGATGGTGAAACTCCATCTCTACTAAAAGTACAAAAAAAATTAGTCTGGTGTGGTGGTGGGCACCTGTAATCCCAGCTACTAGGAAGGCTGAGGCAGAGAATTGCTTGAACCTGGGAGATGGAGGTTGCAGGAGCTGAGATTGCACCACTGCACTCCAGCCTGGGTGACAGGGCAAGATTCCGTCTTGAAAATAAAAAATTTAAAAAAAAGTTTATTTGCACCATCTCAATTCTTCCCACCCATAATCACAACTGAATGATTGGCATCCAAACAGTTTACCACATATGGATGTTTATTATTTAGTAGAATCCAAAATAATTGCATTTTATTAATTAAACAAAACACTAAAATATTCAGTTCCATTTTTATGTTAAAAGCTTTGTGCTTGGCCAGGCACGGTGGCTCACACTTGTAATCCCAAAATTTGGGGAGGCCGAGGCAGGTGAATCACTTGAGGTCAGGAGTTTGAGAACAGCCTGGCCAACATGATGAAACCTGTCTCCAGTAAACATACAAAAGTTAGCAAGGGGTGTTGGCAGGCATGTGTAATCTCAGATACTCAGGAGGCTGAGGCAGGAGAATCACTTGAACCCAGGAGACAGAGGTTGCAGTAAGCCAAGATCATACCACTGCACTATAGCCTGGGTGATGGAGACTCCATCTCAAAAAAAATAAAAATAAAAATAAAATGTTTGTGCTTTTCTTACATAAAAGTACATCTTCTGACTATAAAAATCCTGGAAGAAAATCTAGGAAATTCTCCTTTAGACATCATATTTGTCAATTAATTTATGGCTAAGTCCTCAAAAGCAATTGCAAGAATAACAAAAATTGACAAGTGTGATCTAATTTAGCTAAATAGCTTCTGCACAGCATGAGAAACTATCACGGGATTAAACAGACAGACTAAAGAATGGAAGAAAATATTCACAAACTATGGATATAGCAAACGCCTATTATCCTATTATCCAGAATCCATAAGAGACCTAAACAAATCAACAAGCAAAAAATAAATAACACCATGAAAAATGGGCAAAGGACATGAACAGATAGTTCTCAAAATAACACTTGTAGTGGCCAAACAAACATTAACAAATGCTTGCCGTTGCTAATTATCATAAAAATGACAAACAAAACATCAGTGAGATACCATTTCACACCAGTCAGAATGACTTTTGTTAAAAAAAAATAATAAATAAAAAAATTAAAAAAGATGTTGGGGAGGCTGTGGAGAAAAGTGAACACACACTGTTTGTGGCAAAGTTAATTAATTCAGCTATTCTGGAGAGCAGTTTGGAAATTAAGAAGTAAGAAAGACTGTTGGATACAGCAACCCCATTACTACACTAGAGGTATACCAGAAGGATAATAAATCATTGTAACAAGAAGATGCATACACATGTATGTTCACTGCAGCACTATTCACAATAACAAAGACGTGGAGTCAATCCAGGTGCATCCAAGGTACGTTGAAAATCCAAGGTAGATTGGAAAATTCCATATATACCATGGAATACTATGCAGCCATAAAAAGAACAAAATCACATCGTTTGCAGCAACAAGCATACAGCTGGAATCCACTCTCCTAAGCAAACCAACACAGAAACAGAAACCAAATATCTCATGTTTTCACTCACGTGGGAGCTACACATGGGGTGCACATTGTCATAAACACGGGAATAATAGACACTGGAAAATAAGAACGGGGAGGGACAGAGTGGGCCAGGGTTGAAAAACTACTTCTTGGGTCCTATGCTCACTACCTGTGTGATGAGTTCAATTGTGCTGCAAACCTCGGCATCCCTAAATATGCCTTTGAAAGAAACCTACAGAGGTACCACGTTAATTTAGAATACAAACTAGAAAAAAAAAAGAGAAAAGTTTACTATAAGTAGAGAACAGAAATTTCTTTTTAAGATAAAATTTATTGAAGTAAAAAATGGGTTAAACTTTCATAAAGGGCAGAGTTTTCTAAGAATTTCAAAGCAATCCATTCATTGCAAAAGATGGCTTTAATTACTTATTTTTTTTTTTTTTTTTTTGAGACAGGGTCTCACTCTGTTACCAGGCTGGAGTGCAGTGGTGCAGTCTTGGCTCACTGCAGCCTCCACCTCCTGGCTTCAAGCAATTCTCCTGCCTTAGTATCCCAAGTAGCTGGGACTACAGGTGCGCATCACCACGCCCAGCTAATTTTTGTATTTTTAGTAGAGATGGGGTTTCCCCATGTTGGCCAGGATGGTCACGATCTCCTGACTTGTGATCGGCCTGCTTTGGCCTCCCCAAGTGCTGGGATTACAGGTATGAGCCACCATGCCTGGCCATTGTTTAACCTTTGTACTAATAAAACACTACCTTTCTAAAATCATGTATATGCAATAGATCAATATTAACTGCATTTTTGTCAGATTACTCTAAACAGCATTACACATATACATCCTCTGTTATCTAATCTTAAAATAAGTAGAAATTTTACTTTATTTATGTGATTATTTTTCTATTTAAGCAAACTTCAAGTTATGTCTAGTCACTAAAAATACTAAAGGCCACATTTTGTAAGTGATGTCTTATTTTTATGATAATGTTTCTTGTTTAACTTAAACATTATTATTATTTTTACTTATTTTAGATGGAGCCGGACTGTGTAGAACAAATAATTAGAGAAACAAAGAGAAGTACGTTGCCAAAATTTATTAATTAAATTTAGGTTTATTTTAGAAATAAAGTGTAAATAGCAAATGGCATTCCTTTTCATTCTTGGGTTAGTAGATACTACATCAATATTTTTTTTCTTACACACATCTAATGAAAGATGTGAAAACAGAAACTTTCACAGAGAAGACTGTACTTATACACCATAAATTCATCATGTTCCAAAGCTTAAACAGTTCCCAAGAAGTCTGTGCATCTCTTTTTCACTGGCTCTACACTTTCTTAAGTTTTGCCATCCTCATGGAACTGTCAGCCAGCACACTGAAACGATTCTCAGAAAACAAAAGCATCATCAAGTTCTCAGGGTTTCGGTAGAGATTGAAGGCCAACAGACCTAAGACTCATTAAGAAATACTTAGCTGAGCAATAACCCTTCATAAGCAGTCACTTGACAGGTGACATTTTAAATCTCCTGTCAATTACTGTGTCATTGGCTTACACTTGTTCTCAGGAAAAGTTCCAAATTTTTCACCATGAAATAAAAACACCCATATCAAAGTAATTCTCGTCAAGTTACTCAGCCTTGTCTCTCGCCACTTACTGCACTCTGCCCTTTGCTCTAGCACCAAACTGGATGGAGTGGAACTCTGCAGGGCTCTTCCTCACCTCTGGCTCTTTGCCTTCCCCTCTTCCCTCTATCTGGGAAGCTTTTTCTTGCCCTTCAGGTATCAACCTATGTTATCTCCTCCACCAGAAAGCCCATGATATTGACATAAAAGTGGGTAGATGTCCCTTCTATGTGTTCCAGTAGTGCCCTGCTCTATACCTGTCATGGTATCTTTGACTCTATATGGACATTGCCTGCCTGTCTGTTTTTTTTTAGGTTATAGCATATGACTGTTGGGAGGTGGACCATGCCATCTTCATCTTGTAATTCCAGTGCTGGTTCTAGTACCTTAGCATGTGGCTGTTGATTACATGAATGAAGAATGAAAAACTCTGATATTTAAACACAATTAGAATTAATGCCATGTGTAAACTATTAAATAGTAATTTTGTATTGTAAATGCACATACATATTTCTCATTCTTATTAACTCTGATAAAGTTATCAACTCTTTAGTTTTTAAACGCACACTTAGTCAACTGAAGTGTTTTAGGTAAAGAACATAATTCTTTATTTTTCTTTCCAGCTGCTGCTGTGTCGGACACTTGCTCCCATCTACTTTCTTCTCTAGAATCCACGGGTAAGCCACATCTAACGAAGAGAATATTTAACCATAAAGTCTTAAAGAAAAATTGTATGATTTAAAAGATTATAAAACTTTATTACTGGGCTATTTACACATTTTAGTTGTTTCTCATAAAATGTATAACATTACAATATTTACTGAAGTAGGATATTTTTGTATGATATATATGATGATAATTTATAGGGTATTTTAAATGATGTTTTTTAGCCTCCTTAAGTTTTAAGTGGATCTTGCAAATGAAAACCAGTATTATTGAGTTTGACATACTCAAATTGCCCAAATGTCAGCTGTTTAAACAACCAAGTCATCATTGATACTTTAGTAAAGGTTAGTAAAGGTCATCAAAGTCTTATTTGCATTTTACAGTTTTTATTACTTAGGAGACTTAAGGAGTACCTGCCAGGTTTGTCCATGCTAATGTTATGATTTTCTTTTTGTAGTTCAACCGTATTTTGTATGGAGATACTTTGAGGCTCTGTAAATATCTTGTTACTCCTCAGAACCCACTAGATTTAGCATTTCATGATGACTTGTGTTTGAACAATTATTACTTTGATGGATGCCAGATGATTATTTTCCTATTGTCTTCTTTGTTCTACATGGAGAAATAAAACCAATAAATAAGGGAGAAGGAAAGCTCTTGATTCTGATGCTTCAATTCCCCAAGATTAGGCCAGTAGTAGACATTCCAAGCTGACTTTATGTCTCTTTGATTTGTCTCCGTTACTCTGTCAGCACTTTTTTAATTTCTGGCAGAAGATGTTCTAAGCTCATCTTGTATTTTCTCTGCCCCAGCTCTGGAATGAGTAATTTTTTTTAGAAGCAGAGGTGGAGCCAATGAGGAAGCACAGGTGAGCCCTCCCCAGTGTGTACTCACTGGTCCCCAACAGAAGAACCGCTGCCACATCCACTGAGGTACCAGGAAACTAGCAAAGAGCCTTCTGGCTGTCTGGAGAGAGTCCTCATGTGGTCCCTGGCTGAGCCTCAGAGGTTCTGGATTAGTCTTCCTGTAGCCTCTGTGTTGTGTCTTTAGATCGGGGCTATATGGGAAGGGCCCTGGGAGACCCAACAGCACAGTGTGTCTCATCTGCCAAACGTCCCTCCCTTCCTCACACTCTGACACTCAGGAATAGGGTAGATGGTGTGTCCAGGCAGTGTCAGGCCACCTCACTTTCTCCTTTGAGACGGCCCAGAGGGCCTTTGGTGTGAGTGTGGAGCTGGGAACCTGGAGCCTGAGGCCAACTGTCTCTCCCTGTGTCTTGGAGGAAAGGCCATGTCTCAAAAAAACCCCCAGGGCCTGACCTCTGGGCACACATGCAGGGAGGGAGGGTCTATGAGCTGAGGGGGACATTGTAATGAGACTTTGAGCCCCGTTGCTCAAGGGCCTGGTCAGTGGACCATGGTCAGAGATGACCTGGTCATCAGGACCTAGTCATGTGGGACCTGATCAGCAGGGGCCTGGTTAGTGGCGGCCTCCTCAGTAAAGGCCTCATCAGTGGGGACCTGGTGACCTAATCATTGGAAGCCTGGTCAGTGGGGGGACCTAGTCAGTGGTGGCCTTATTAGTGGGGCCTGATCAGTTGGAACATAAACAATGAAAAACTGGTTGGTGAGGCATATACAGTATACCAGAGGCCTGGTCAGTGTGGGGCCTTAGTGGCTTGGAACCTGGTCAATGAGGGCCTGGTCAGAGGGGGCTCGGTCAGCTAGGGACTCATCCATGGAGAATTGTTTAGTGGGGGGTCGGGTCAGCAGCAACCTGGTAAATTGTGGTCTTGTCAGTGGGAACCCGGTCTTGTCAGTGGGGACCAGGTCAGTGGAAAATTGGTCAGTGGGGTCTGGTCCATGAGGCCTATTAAGTGTGGGCCTGGTTAGGAAGACATGGTCAGCGGGGACTTGATCAGTGGGACCTGGTCAATGGAGGAGTGGTCATTAGGGGCCTCATCACTCATCACTGGGAACCTGGTCAGGGATGATTCGTCAGTACGTGGCCTGCTGGCCACTATTGGACCTTAGGCAGGGGGCTTTTCTCTGTCACCTCCTTGCCTCCATCTGCAGGGAAGGTGAGTCAGGGCACCCTAGAGGGTGGCTGGAAAGAGAAGGTGAGAAGATGTGTTGAATCCAATACTGCTTGACAAACCTACAACTTTACAAATGACCTGTGTTCCACCTAGAGAGGGTGCCAGCCCTCTCAGCAGTATGCAGTGCCTCTCTTCTGTCTACATCCCCAGGACCACCATGGGTGGGGAGGGCAGAGATTGGGGAGCACCTATAGAGGCTCTAATGCTCTAAGGTGACAGTGATGAGGACCTGGGTGCACCCATGGGTGGAGAAGCTAGGCCTGTCCAGAGAAGCAAGACAAACACACACATACACGCGCACACACACACAGGCACACATGCGTACACAAACACATTGTATATACACATGTCAGTTCAGGGGATAGAGGACACTGACTCTGAGCCCTGTTGACCCAAGCAGGCTCCCGTTGTGGTGGGTTGTCAACCCACAACATCACTCTTCCTGAGTCCCCATCGCCTCTGTGTTGTGGAGAAGTTAGAGACACACAGCAGTGTCTGTGAGTAGCTCTGCATGAAGGACCATTTTCTAGATGACAGACACATCTCAACACAGCTCACTGATCAGACTCAGGTGAGTGGGACCTGCTCTCCTCACTTCCTCCTGGCTTGGGGACAGTCACTATCAGGTGGGTGGTTTTGGCCTCTGGGCAGCTACTGAGGGTAATCCCTGAACACTCACCGGGTGCCTGTTTTGTGCTGACAGTCGTCTCATTCATCCTCACAGCAATTCCATTCTGCATTTTTCTCATCACCCCCCTGACCACCCAGGACAACCCCATCAGGGCCCTGTCACCAGGCCCAGTCCAGCTCCATGATAACCAAGACACAGGTCCAGAGACTACCGTCCTGCATCGTGCCTGCATCTGATCCCCCTTGGTGGGTAGTGACCAGCACAACATGGAAGAAGCCAGGGCAGCATGCAGCTCTGCAGCCCCAGATGGCTCCTGGGCCTTGGGAAGTCATTCTTAAAAGGGAAGCTGGTCACTTTGAGGTCCCTGAAAGGAAGGGTGAACGTGCATCCCAAAAGCCCTGGCAGCCGGCAGCCAGCAGCCAGCAGCATGGCATACATCTTCTCACCCAACCTGTGTGACAGAGGCCCCCTCCTGGGGCACAAGTCCCATACCTAAAGCATCCTGTCCCAGTCGGACCTCATCCTGAGCCCTGGGAGGGGAGGGGCACCATGGGTTCCCTGCAGCAGCCAGGATTACCACCCAGGGGACTCGGCCTTCTGTGGCCCTGGCCAGACTTAGAATTTGGCCCAAGACAAGCTTACTCGGAGCAACTTCTCAGTACCTGGGGCCTGTGCATGCCAGGCAAGGACAAGCTGGCTCAAAGAGCAACCAGCTACCTCTGCAAGGGTGTGCCAGGAGCAGGTGGAGCAGTCACCAACCTCACCCACTCAAGGAAACAGGGATGGCCAGGTTCCCACAGTCTGAATGACCACCACCTGACAGCTGATGGAGTGGAGGCCTGAGGAAAAGCAGATGGCACTGGGGCTCTACCTCCAGGGCAGAGTAACTGATTTACCCTGGCTGGCAGGGAGTGACGTTGGTGGCTGGTCTATCAGCTCTTGGCACACCCTTGCAGAGGTGGCTGGTTGCTCTTTGAGCCAGCTTGGCTTTGCCTGGGATGAATAGGACTCAGTGCAACAAATGTGCTGCAAATGGAGCCACATAGAGGAAAGGAGCAGCAGGCTCAGGAGCGGGGTGTGTGCCACCTTTGGGGCTCCAGTCCATGCATAGGGGCTTCTACAGCACTGTGGGCTTCTCAGGTGCCAAGAGGCAGAACACAGGCCATCTGGAGGATGACTCTGGTAAGAGCTTCCTTGGGTATGTAGATGATGTCCAGAATGTTGGCCTGGTGTCCCTGAGACAGCACTAACAGGTCCATGACTGGGTCCAGGTCCTGCCTGGGCTGATTGGCAAAGAGCTCATTGACAGTGTGGAATGCATCTATGGTGAAGTGGATCTGTGTTCAAGTGCAGAAAGGGCCCAATCTGGTAGATGAACCACACAACCAGCGTCTGGGTGCAGGCACAGTGCCACATTTTTTGTCACTTCCTGATGTACCCCACCAGCACTGAAGAGACAGCCTGGAGACAGGGCAAGAGGAAGGCTGAGAAGGATGAGATGGTGAGTGCCAGATTCTTCCTGGCCCTGAGCCCTCCCTCAGAGTGACACTCAACCTTTAGGAGTGGGAGAGCAAGATTGACGGCTTCAAGTGCTTCACCAAGAAGATGGACAACAGGGCTCTCAGGTCAACTTCACAGCCAATGAGTGGTGACAGGCTTTAAGAAAGAGCATCTTCCACATTGTCAGTGAGCTCTTTGCCAATCAGTCCAGGCAGGACCCCGACCCAGCCATGGGCCTGTTAGTGCTGTCTCAGGGACACAAGACCAACATCTTGGACATCATCCAGATACACAAGGAAGCTCTTACCAAAGTCACGGAGAGCAGGCAACATGTGGCAGAAGGGAATACAGAG
Organism: Homo sapiens; assembly: GCF_000001405.40. Taxonomy (NCBI): domain Eukaryota; kingdom Metazoa; phylum Chordata; class Mammalia; order Primates; family Hominidae; genus Homo; species Homo sapiens. The sequence continues at coordinate 158,730 of NW_021159991.1, read as the reverse complement.
GTGCAGAGGCTGATGATGTCAGAATCACAGGAACAGGATTTCTTTGGCTACTTTGGCTGAAATTCACCACTTCCATCCAATTCCAGTGAGAGACATGGACTCACAGATGCAGCATTTCTTGCAACAAGAGATACTACTTTTTCAAAAAGTCACTGAGGAATTGATAGTGTTGAATGACTCAATACTCAATCGTGGACTGTTTCCAGTTCAAGGATACTTTCTACAGCAGAATAATAACACTAGCAAAGAGCTAGTACAAGGATGGTTTTGTGCTCAACTGAAATCCAGCTGAATACAGAATTGTATAGGAAACAGTTAATGTGGTGATAGAATAGAAACAGTAGCAAATGTGAACTAAATCATGCTATGAATGCCTAAACTACTGCTGTAACTTTTGGAAAAATGATAATACCACTTTATTGCTTTTTGAAGAATGAATATTTTAGTGTATATGCTCTAGACCTCAAACCCTATAAAGATTCTCAAAGAAGTTGGCTGGATAAAGCCTACTGTGGATGTCTTTATATTCAAAGATTGATGATGCAATTTGAATATGTGTCTCCTCCGAATCTCATGTTGAATTATATTTCCTAATGTGGAAGGTGGATCCTGGAGTAAGGTAATTGAATTATGAAGGCAAATTTCTCATGAATGGTTCAGCACCATCCCCTTGTACCGTCCTCACAATAATGAGTGACTTCTCATGAGGTCTGGTCACTGAAAACTCTATGTCACCTCCCTACTCTCCGTGTTTTCCCCTTGCCATGTGAGACAACTAATTCTTTCTTTGCCTTCCATGATTATTGAAAGATTTCTGAGGCCTCCTAGAAGCAGAAGCACTGTGCTTAGAACCATGAGACAATTAAACCTATTTTTCAAAATAAATCATACAGAAAATGGCAAATGAGGACTGGAGCACTGCTATAAAGATACCTGGAAATGTGGAAGCAGCTTTGGAACCCGGTAATGGACGGAGGTTGGAAGAGTTTGGAAGGCTCAAAAGAAGACAGATAGATGAGAAAACTTTTGGACCATCTTAGAGTCTGGCTCAATTGTTGTGACAAAAATCCTGACAGAAACATGGACAATGAAGACCAGACTGAGGAGGTCTCAGAGAGAAATAAGCTTTCTGGAAAATGTCTTTATTTTTGATATGGAAAGCTTACACAATGCCTGTACCATCATTGTACCTTAGAAGCAGTGAACTTGCTTTTTTCAGAGACTCATAGGCAAAAGAGACTGCAGCCTTGACCCAGATGAGATTTGGACTTTGTAACTTTGAGTTAATCCTGAAATGAGTTAAGACTTTGGGAGACTGCTGGCAAGGCATGATTGTATTTTGCAATGTGAGAAGGACATGAGATTCATGGGGTCAGGGACAGAATAATACGGTTTTTCTCTATGTCCCAACCAAAACTCATATGGAATTATATTTTGTAATGTTAGAGGCGGGGCCTAGGTGGAAAAAGATTTAGTCATAAAATGGTGCAGGTAGATACTTCACGAATGATAAAGGACCATCACCTTGATGCTATCCTCCTGATAGTGAGTGACTTCTCATGAGATCTGGTTGTTTAACAGGCTGTGGAACCTCTTTCCTCACTCTGTCTTCCTCCTACTCCTGCTTTAGGAGACATCTCATTGTCCCTTGGCTTTCTGATATAACGAGGAGTCTTCCTGATTCCTCCCAGAAACAGAAGACACAATGATTCCTTCACAGCTTGCAGAAACATGAGTCAATTACACGTCTTTTATTTACAATAATACAGAAAATTAGAACTGCAGAGAGGAGCTGTGAAATGTCTTCAAGGCCTTTTACCCTTTGTCTTGGCTATTAGCAAAGGGCTTCTTTATATGCAAATTTCTGAAATCTTCTTGAATGTTTCCCCTTAAATGGGATTTTTGTTATTGCTACCTAGCCAACCTGCTATACAGATAGCTAAAAAAGTAGAAGCAGGCTCAATAGTGGGTAGCAAACAAAGATTGGAAGGGCTTGGAGGGATTAGAGTACTAGAGGGAGTGGGAGGGAGTGATTTAATCATGGATGGGTGGGGGTGTATGTGGAAGGGAAAAAGGGGTGGGTAGGGTGGGAGGGAGTAGACTGGCTGTATGGTGGTGGGAAGGTGGTGGGTAGTAGGAAGGGGGAGTAGCCTGCTGCAGAGGCAGAGCCTCATGGAAAATGCCTACTGGGGAAGTGCACCTGTGGCTTTGCAGGTCTGAGCCCCCATGGCTGCTCTCATAGACTGGACTAGTGTTGAGTGCCTGTAGCTTTTCCACACGGAGGGTGCAAGCTGTTGGTGGGTCTATGTATCTGAGGTCTGGAGGGTGGTAGCATGGGGGCTCCAAGTCCATATTTTCCTTCTGCACTGCCCTAGTAGAGGTTTCCCAAGAACTCTTCGTCTGCAGGAGGCTACTGCGTGGAAACAGTAGGAGGTGGGTGTGGGAGGCAGATCCTTCACCAATGGTTAGGCAACGTCTTCTTGATGCTGTCCTCATGATAGTGTGTTCTCATGAGATCTGGTTATATAACAGGGGGTGGCAACTCTTTCCTCTCGCAGTCTTGCTTCTACTCCTGCCATTTGAAATATCTCATTGCCCCTTGGCCTTCTGGTATGATTGGGAGGCTTCCTGATCTGATCCTCCCAGAAGCAGAAGCCACTATGCTTCCTTTACAGCCTGCTGTATAGTGAGCCAATTAAACCTCTTTTCTTTATGATCATACAGAAAATCAGTGCTATGAAGTGGAGCCATGAAATGCCTTCAAGGCCCTTTCCCCTTTGTCTTGGCAACCAGCACTCAGCTTCTTTTCATGCAAATATCTGAAGCCTTCGTGAATTTTCCCCCGAAAATGGACTTTTCTGTTTTACCACATTGCCAGGCTCTGATAAAGATAGCTGACAATGTAGAACCAGGTTCAGAAGTGAGTAAAAGACAGAGGTCAGAAGAATTGGGAAAGCTTAGAAGACAGCAAGATGAGGAAAATATTGGACCACTATAGAGAATTGTTAAATACTTGTGATTAGAAGGCTGACAAAAGTTTAAACACTGAAGTCCAGACTTAAAAGGTCTCAGATGAAAATGAGGAATTTCCTATTAATAGAAGCCAAGATTACATTTGATTGGCCTTAGCAAAGAAGCTGGCTGCACGGGGACCCTGCCCTGGAGATCTGTGAAACTAGGAACTTGGGGGTGATGATTTAGGATGTATTTGGTGAAATGAACATCTAGGCAGCATAACACAAGAGGTGACCTGTCCGCATTGAACAGCCTGTGTTCTTAAGGGTGACCTAAGAAATGACTTCAAGTTGGAACTTCAAGTGGAGATCTAAAGTTTGGAAAATTTGGAGCCTGGCCAAGTAGTCAAAAAGAAAAGCCGATTTTGAGGGGGAAAATTCAAGAAGGCTTAGGGTATTTGCATAAAAAGGAACCCAGTGCAAATAGTCAAGACAGTTTGAAACCGGCCTTGAAGGTATTTTAGAGAAGTCTGCAGCAGCCCTTGCTGTCACAGGCCCCGGGGCCTAGGAGAGAAGAATGGTTTCCTACGCCAGTCCCATGGCCCTGCTGCTGTGTTCAACCGCAGGACACTGCTGCCTGCATCTGTGCAGCTCCAGCACCAGCCATGGCTGAAAGACATACAGGTACAGCTCGGGTCATTGCTTCAGAGGTGGCTCAAAGTCTTAAAGGTTTCCATATAGTGTTAAGCCAGTAGGTGCACAGAGAAAGAGACTAGAGGCTTGGGAGCTCCCGTCTAGACTCCAGAAGATGTACAGAAAATCCTGGATGTTCAGGAAGAAGCTTTTCCAAGAGGCAGAGCCTTATGGGGAACCTCTACTAGGGGAGCAAAGAAGGGACATATAAGGTTGAAGCCCCCACACAGGGAGGCATCACTCTCTAAACCCCAGATTCATAGACCCACAAACAGCTTGCACCCCTGGTGTGGAAAAGCTATGGGCACTCAACAACAGCCCTGTCCATGAGAGACAGCCACTGAGGCTGAACGCTGCAAAACCACAGGGGCAGATCTGCCCAAGGCCTTGGGAGCTCAGCCCTCACAGCCCTGTGCCATGGATATGGGACAAGGATTCAAAAATGATGATTTTGGAGCTGTAGCATTGAGTGACTGGCCTGCTGGGTTTTGGACATTTATGTATCCTATGAGTCCCTTCTGTGTTTTGTGCTTCTTTCTAGGAATTATTTTTTTCTGTTGACTGGGAATGCTTACCCATTGCCTGTACAATCCTTGTACCTTGGAAGTAGTAAATTTTCTTTATAATTCAGTGACTCATGGGCAGAAGGGACTGTAAACTTGTCTCAGATAAGACTCTGGGCTTTGGGCCTTTGAGTAAATGCTGGAATGAGTTAAGATTTGAGAGACTCTAGGGAAGGCATCATTGCATTTTGCAATGTGAGAAAGACATGAACTTTGGGGGACCAGGGACAGAATAATATGTTTTGGCTCTCTGTCTCTACCAAAGCTCATGTGGAATATTAATGGGAAATGTTAAAAGTGGGGGCTGGTGGAAGGTGATTTCATCATGGTGAAGAGTGGAGGTTGGATGGTTGGGGGGCGGGGAGGGTTGGGGGGATTGGGGGGCGAGGAGGGTTGGAGGGGATTGGGGGTTGGGAGGGTTGGAGGGGATTGTGGTGGGGTTGGGGATGAAAGGCAGGGGTGGGGGTGGATCCTTCACAAATGGTTAAACACCATCTCCTTAATGCTGTCCTTCTGATAGTGAGTTCTCTTCATGATTTTGGAGCTGTGAGATTGAATGAACACTGACCTACTGTATTTTGGATGTCCACTGGGCCTGTGGTCCCATTTGTGTTATTTTTCTTGGAAATTTCTTTCCTTTGGATTGAGAAAGCTTACCCAGTACCTGTGCCATCATTGTACCTTGAAAGAAATGAACACCCTTTTAACTTCAGGGAATCATAGGCAGAAGAAACTGTAGCGTTGTCTCAGATGAGACTTTGAACTTTTTACATTTGAGTTAATGCAGGAAGGAGTTAAGGCTTTTGGAAACTTTTGAAAAGGTATGAATGTATTTTATTCTGTGAGAAGGATATGAGATTTGGGGGGTCAAGGTCAGCATAATATGATTTGGCTGTGTGCCCCTGGAAAAACTCATGTGGAATTGTAATGCCAAATGTTGGAGGCAGGACCTGGTGGGAGATTATTTAATCATGGATGGGAGGGGTAGGGGTGGAAAAAAATGGGGTGGGTAGGGTGGGGAAGAGTAGGCTGGCTGTAGGGTGGTGGGTAGTAGGAAGGGGGAGTAGACTGCTGCAGAGGCAGAGGCTCATGGAAACCTCTACCAGGGCAGTGTGCCTGTGGCTTTGCAGGCTTTAGCCCCCATGGCTTCTCTCATGGGCTGGGCTGGTGTTGAGTGCCTATCACTTTTCCATACTGAGGGTGTGAACTGTTGGTAGGTCTATGAATCTGGGGTCTAGAGGATGGTGGCCTCCTGCATAGTCACTCAAAGCCCTTATTTTCCTTCCGCACTGCCATAGTACAGGATTCCCAAGAGCCTCTGCCTCTGCAGCAGGCTTCTGTCTGGAACACTAGGAGGTGGAGCTGTGTTGGGGGGCGGATCCTTCACCAATGGTTAAGCACCATCTTCTTGATGCTGACCTAGTGATAGTGAGTCCTCATGAGATCTGGTTATATAACGGTGTGGCACCTCTTTCCTCTCTCAGCCTTGCTCTTACTCCTGCCGTATGAAACATTTCATTGCTGTTTTCCTACTGGTATGATTGGGAGGCTTCCTGAGTCCTCCCAGAAGCAGAAGCCACTATGCTTTCTTTACAGCCTGCAGAACCATGAGCCAATTAACCCCTTTTCATTATGATCATACAGAAAATAAAGTACTGTGAAGTGGAGCTATGAAATATCTGCAATGACATTTCCCCATCGTCTTGGCTATTAGCACTGGACTTCTTTTTAATGCAAATATCTGAAGCCTTTTGAAGTTTCCCCCTGAAAATGGACTTCTTTTTCTTCTACATTGCCAGGCTGCAATAAAGATAGCTGAAAATGTAAAGCAGGTTCAGAAGTGGGTAAAAGCCAGAGGTTGGAGAGTTTGGAGAGCTTGAAAGAAGACAGGAAGATGAAAGAAATTTTGGACCATAGTAGGCACTTGTTGAATAGTTGTGATTAAAAGGCTGGCAGAAGGATGGACAGTGAAGGCCAGGCTTACAAGGTCTCAGATGAAAATGAGGAAATTACTGGGAACAGGAGCCAAGGTTACTTTTGTTTTGCTATAGCAAAGAACATGGCTGCAGGGCGACCTTGCCCTCTAGATCTGTGAAACTTTGAACTTGAGGGTGATGATTTAGTACATATCTGGTGGAATGAACTTCTAGGCAGCATAGCACAAGGGGGATCCTGTCTGCATCAAACAGCCTGTGCTCTTGTGTGACCGAGGTTATGTGTGACCGAGGAAATGACCTCAAGTTGGAACTTATATTTAAAAATGACAAGCAGAGCTCAAAAGTTTGGAACATTTGCAGCCTGGCCAAGTGGTCAAAAAGAAAAGCTGATTTTCAGGGGGAAAATTCATGAAGGCTCCAGAAATTTGCATAAAATGGAGGCCAGTGCTAATAGCCAAGACAATGGGGGAAAAAGCCTTGGAGGCATTTCAGAGATGTTTACAGCAGCATTTACTGTCACAGACCCTGGGGCCTAGGAGAGAAGAATGGTTTCCGGGGCCAGCCCCATGGCCCTGCTGCTGTGTGCAGCCTCAGGACACTGCTGCCTGCATCCCAGCAGCCCAGCTCCTGCTCCGACCTTGGCTGAAAGATACACAGCTACAGATTGCATCACTGCTTCAGAGGGTACAAGCTATAAGGCTTCATGGCTTCCACATAGTGTTAATCCAGCGAGTCCATAGAGCACTAGCCCAGAGGCTTCGGAGCCCTCATATAGATTTTGGAAGATGTACGAAAATGCTTGGGTGTCCAGACAGAAGGCTGCCAAAAAGCAGAGCCTCTTGGGAAACCTCTACTAGGGCAGTGCAGAAGGAAAATATGGGGTTGGAGCCCCCACACCGGAGGCCACCATCATGCAGACCCCAGACTCATAGACCCACCAAGAGCTTTGTACCCTCTGTGGGTGAAAACTACAGGCACTCAACACCAGCACAGCCCATGAGGGCAGCTGTGGGGACTGAAAACCACAAAGCCACAGGTGCAGACCTGCCCAAGGCCTTGGGAGCCCAGCCCTCATGCCCTTGTGCCCTGGATGTGGGGCAAGGATTAAAAAAGGATGACTTTAGAGCTGTAGGTTTTAATAACTGGCCTGCTGGGTTTTGGATTTTCATGGGACCTGTAAGTCCCATTTGTGTTTCATTGCTTCTCTGGCAAAAATCTTCCTTTAGGGTGGGAATTCTTACTCAATGCCTGGACAATCATACCTTGGAAGTAGTTAACTTGCTTTGTATTTCAGAGGCTCAGGAGCAGAAGGGACAGCATCTTTGTCTCAGATGAGACTTTGGGCTTCAGACATTTAAGTAAATGCTGGAATGAGTTAAGACGTTGGGGGTTTTAGCCAAGACGATGGGGAAAAGTCATTAAAGGCGTTTCATAGCTTCACTTCATAGTACTAATTTTCTGTATGATCATAACAAAAAGGGGTTTAATTGGCTCATCTTTCTGCAGGCTGTAAAAAAAAGCATAGTGGCTTGGGGAATGGTAAGTAAGGCATCACTGTATTTTGCAAAGTGAGAAGGACATGAGATTTGGGGAGGCAGGGACAGAAGAATAAGATTCGGCTGTGTGTCCCTATGGAAACTCATGTGGAATTGTAATCAGAAATGTTAAAATTGGGGCCAGGTGGAAGGTGATTTAATCATGGAGGGCACTGGGTGTTGGAAGGTGGAGATTGGGAAGGATGGGTGGATTATGCTGGGGGTGAGGGGTGAAAAGTGGGGGTGGGGGGATGATCCCTCACAAGTAGTTAAACACCATCTCCTTAATCCTTTCCTCATGATGGTGAGTTCTCGTGACGGTTTTGGAGCTGTGAGATTGAATGGATACTGACCTCCTGGGTTTTGGACTTGCGTTGGCCCTGTGATCACATTTGTGTTATTTTCCTGGCAAACTTCTACCCTTTGGATTGAGAAAACTTACCCAATGCCTGTACCATCATTGTACCTTGAAAGAAAAGAACTCACTTTTAAATTCAGGGACTTATAGGCAAAAGGGACTGTAGCCTTTTCTCAGGTGAGACGTGGAACTTTTTACATTCGAGTTAATGCTGAAATGACTTAAGACTTTTGGCAACTTTTGAAAAGGCATGATTGTATTTTACTCTGTGAGAAGGATATGATATTTGGGGGATCAGGGTCAGAATAGTATGATTTAGCTGCGTGTCCCTACCTAAACTCACATGTAATTGTAATCCTGAATGTTGCAGGTGGGGCCTAGTGGGAAGTGACTTATTCATGGATGGGAGAGGGGTGGGGTTGGAAGTAAAAACAGGTGGGTAAGGTGGGGAGGTGTAGGCTGGCTGTAGGGTGGTGTGTAGCAGGAGGGGAGTAGCCTGCAACAGAGGCAGAGGCTCATGGAAAACCTCTACTAAGGCAGTGCACCTGTGGCTTTGCAGGGTTTAGCACCTGCAGCTGCTCTCATGGGCTGGGCTGCTGTTGAGTGCCTGAAGCTTTTCCATACTGGGGGTGTGAGCTGTTGGTAGGTCCATGACTCTTGGGCTGGAGGATGGTGGCGTGGGGGCTCCAAGCCCATATTTTCCTTTTGCACTGCCCTAGTAGAGGTTTTCCAGGCGGATCTGTCTCTGCCTCAGGCTTTTGCTTGGAAACAGTGGGTAGTGGATATGGGGTGGTGGGCGGATCCTTCACCAACAGTTAAGCACCATCTTGATGCTGATCTTCTGATAGTGAGCTCTCATGAGATCTAGTTGTATAACTGGATATTGCACTTCTTTCCTCTCTCTGTCTTGCTTCTACTCCTGCCATATGAAACATTTCATTGCTGCTTGGCCTTCTGGTATAATTGGGAGGCTTCCTGAGTCCCCCTACAAGCAGAAACCACTATGCTTTCTTTACAGCCTGAAGAACTGTGAGTCAATTAGACCTCTTTTCTTTATGTAGATACAGAAAATTAATGCTGTGAAGTGAAGTTATGAAATGACTTCTAGGTGTTTCCCCCATTCTCTTGGCTATTAGCGCTGAGCTTCTTTCAATGCAAATATTGGAGGCCATCTTGATGTTTCCCCTGATAATGGACTTTTCTTCTTTTACCACATTGCCAGGCTGCAGCAAAGATAGCTGACAGTGTAGACGCAGGTTCCAAATTGGGTAGTGGCCAGAGGTTAGAGAGTTTGGAGAGCTTGGAAGAAGACAGAAAGATGAGGGAAAGTTTGGACCATTGCAGAGACTTATTAAATAGTTGTGAGTAAAAGGCTGACAGAAGGATGGACAGTGAAGACCAGCCTTGTAAGGTCTCAGATGAAAATGAGTAACTTACTGGGAAAAGGAGCCAAGGTTTTTTTGTTTTGACTTAGCAAAGTAATTGGCTACACAGTGACCCTTCCCGGGAGATCTGTGAAACTGAACTCGAGGGTGATAATTTAGGGTGTATTTGGTGGAATGAACTTCTAAGCAGCAAAGTTCAAGAGTTGTACTGCCTACATCGAACAGCCTGTGCTCCTATGTGTGATGAAAGAAATGACCATAAGTTGGAACTTATATTTAAATGAGAAACAGAGCTTCAACATTTGGAAAATTTGTAATCTGGACAAGTGGTCAAAAAGAAAAGCTGATTTTCAGGGGGAAAATCAAGAAGGCTTAGGATATTTGCATAAAAAGGAGCCCAATGCTAATAATTCAAGACAATGGGAAAAAGGCCTTGAAGGCATTTCAGAGACCTTTGTAGCAGTCCTTGCTGTCACTGGCCCTGGGGTTTAGGAGAAAAGAATAGTTTCCTGGCTCAGCCCCATGGCTCCACTGCTGTGTGCAGCCTCAGGACACTACTGCCTGCATCCCTGCAGCTCCTTTTCCAGCTTCAGCCATGGATGAAAGATGTACAGGTACAGCTTGCATCACTGCTTCAGAGGATGCAAGCTCCAAGCCTTGGTGGCTTCTACATAGTGTTAAGCCAGCAGGTGCATAAAGCACAGGACTAGAAGCTTCAGAGCCTTCGTCTGGACTCCAGAGAATATATCAGAAAGCCTGAGTGTCTAGCCAGAAGCTTTTCCAAGAGGCAGAGCCTCATGGTAAACCTCTACTCAGGTAGTACACAAGGAAAGTATAGGGTTGGAGTCCCCATAGAGGGAGGCACCATTTTCCAGACCTCAGTTTCATAGACCCACCAGCTGCTTGCACCCTTACTGTTGAAAAGCTACAGGTACTCAACGCCAGCCTAGCCAATGAAGTCAGCTGTAGGGGGAAGATTCTGCAATGCCACATGTGCAGAGCTGCCCAAGGCCTTGGGATCCCAGCCATCACACCACCCTGTGCTCTGGATGTGGACATAGATTCCAAAAAGATGATTTGGAGCTGTATGATGGAATGACTGGCCTGCTGTGTTTTTGACTTGCAGGTGGTTTTTAAGTCTCATCTGTGTTTTGTGCTTCTTTCTGGCAAATTTCTTCTTTTTGGCTTGGAATGCTTACCCAATGCCTGTACAATCATTGTACCTTGGAAGTGGTTAACTTGCTTTGTATTTCAGAGGCTCAGGGCAGAAGGTATGGCAGCCTTGTCTCAGAAGAGACTTTGGGCTTTAGACATTTGAGTAAACGCTGGGATGAGTTAAGATTTGGGGGACTCTAGGGAAGTCATCATTGCGTTTTGCAATGTGAGAAAGACATGAACTTTGGGGGACCAGGGACAGAATAATATGTTTTGGCTCTGTGTCTCTACCAAAACTCATATGGAATTTTAATGGGAAATGTTAAAGGTGGGGGCTGGTGGAAGGTGATTTAATCATGATGGAGAGTGGAGGTGGGATGGTTGGGGGGTTGGGGAGGGTGGGGGTGATTAGGGGGTGGGGAGGGTTGGGGTGATTGTGGTGGGGTTGGGGGTGAAAGGCAGGGGCGGGGGGTGCATCCTTCACAAATGGACATTTGAGTAAATGCTGGAATGAGTTCAGACACTGGGGGACTGTAGAGGATGCATCATTGTATTTTGCAGTATGAGAAGGATGTGAGATTGGGGAGCCAAAGGGGGAATAATATGATTTGGCTCTGTGTCCCTACCAAAACTCATGTTGAATTGTAATGGGGAATGTTAAACGTGGGGCTTGGTAGAAGATGATTTAATCATGGTAGAGAATGGGGGTTGGAAGGGGGATGTAGGGGAACGGAGGTTCATGGTGTGAGTGAAGGTGAAACATGGGGACGGGTGGCAGATCCTTCACAAATGGTTAAATACTATCTCCTTAATGCAGTCTGTGTGATAGTGAGTTCTCATGATAAATGAATGCTGTCCTGCTGGGTTTTGGAGTCGGATTGGGCCTGTGTCCCAATTGTGTTATTTTTCTGGGAAAATCTTCCCTTTGGTTTGAGAAAGTTTACCCAGTGCCTGTGCCATCGTTTTAACTTGAAAGAAAAGAATTGTATTTTACATTCAGGGACTTATAGGCAGAAGGGATTGGTCTTGTTCTGGATGAGACTTGAACTTACTACATTTGAGTTACTGCTGGAATGAGTTAAGACTTTTTGAAACTTTTGAAAAGGCATGTTTGTATTTTTCTGTGTGAGAAAGACATGAGATGTGGGGGTGTCAGGGTCAGGATAATATGGTTCGGCTGTGTTTCTCTACAAAAACTCATGGGGAACAGCATTCCTGACTGTTGTAGGTGGGACCTGGTGGGAAGTGATTTAATCACAAACAGGAGGTTGGTAGGGGTGAAAGGGAAAATAAATGGGTAGGGTGGGGAGGAGTAGGCTGGCAGTAGGGTGGTGAGAGCGTGGTGGGCAGTAGGAAGGGGGAGTAGCCTGCTGCAGAGGCATATCCTCATGGAAAACCTCTACCAGGGCTGTGCACCTGTGGTTTGCAGGGTGTAGCCGCCGTGGCTGCCCTCATAGGCTGGGCTGGTGTTGAGTGCCTGTAGCTTTTCCATACTGAGAGTGCAAGCTGTTGGTGGGTCTATGAATCTGGGGTCTGAGGATGGTAACCTCATGCGTGGGGCCTCCAAGCCCATCTATTTTTTCTGCTCTGCCCTAGTAGAGGTTTTCCTAGTGGCTCTGCCTCTGCCTCAGTCTTCTGCCTGGAAACAGTGAGGGGTGTGGGTGGTAGGGGGCAGATCTTTCACCAATGGTTAAGCAACATCTTGATACTGACCTTGTGATAGTGAGTTCTCAGGAAATCTGGTTGTATAACAGGGTTATACAACGTGTGGCACCTTTTTCCTCTCTGTGTTTTTTTTTCTACTTCTGCCATATAAAACATCCCATTGCTGCTTGGTCTTCTGGTATGATTGGGAGGCTTCCTGAATCTTCCCAGAAGCAGAAGCCTCTATGATTTATTTAAAGCTTGCAGAACCATCAGCCAGTTTAACCTCTTTTCTTTCTGATTATACAAAAAAATAATGCTATAAAGTGGAACTATGAAATGCCTTCAAGACCTTTTTCCTAGTCTCTTGGCAATCAGCACTCAGCTTCTTTTCAGGCAAATATGTGAAGCCTGCATTAATTTTTTCCTGAAATGGACTTTTCTTCTTTTACCACATTGCCAGGCTATGACAAACGTAGCTGAAAATGTAGAAGCAGGTTGAGAAGTGTGTAATGGCCAGAGGTTGGAGAGTTTGGAGGTCTTGGAAGAAGACAGGAAGATGAGGAAAACTTTGGTCCAGTGTAGAGACTCGTTAAATAGTTATAATTAAAAAGGTGACAGAAGGATGGACAGTGATCTCCAGGCTTAGAAAGTCTCACATGAAAATGAGGAGCTTGCTGGGAACAGGAACCAAGGTCACTTTTGTTTTTTCCTTAGCAAAGAACGTTGCTGCATGATGCCCCTAATGTGGAGACCTGTGAAAATTTGAACATCAGGGTGATAATTTAGAGTGTATTTGGTGGAATGAAATTTTAGGCAGCAAAGCTTAAGAAGTGTCCTGTCTGTGTCGAACAGCCTGTGGTCCTATATGTGACCAAAGAAATGACCTCAAGGTGAAACTTATATTTAAATGAGAAGGAGAGCTTAAAAGTTTGGAAAATTTGCAGCCTGGCCAAGTGGTCAAAAAGAAAAGCTGATTATCAGTGGGAAAGTTCAAAAAGGCTTCAGAAATGCGCATAAAAAGGAGTGCAGTGCTAATAGCCAATACAATGTTAAAAAGGCCTTGAAGGCATTTCAGAGACTTTTGCAGCAGCCCTTGCTATCACAGGCCCTGAGGCCTGGGATAAAAGAAAGGTTTCCTTCTCCAGCCCAATGGCCCCGCTGCTATGTCCATCCTCAGGACACTGCTGACTGCATTCCTGAAGCTCCAGCTCCAGCCATGGCTGAAAGATGCACAGGTACAGCTTGGGTCACTGCTTCAGAGGGTGCAAGCTGCAAGCCTTGGTGGCTTCCACATAGTGTTAAGCCAGCAGGTGCACAGAGCACAAAACTAGAGGCTGGGGATCCTTAGTCTGGACTCCAGAGTATGTATGGAAAAACCTGGGTGTCCAGGTCGAAACTTTTCCAAGAGGCAGAGCCTCCTTTACTAGGTCAGTAGAGAAGGAACATATAGGGTTGGAACCCCATACAGGGAGGCACCATTCTGCCAACTCCAGATTCATAGACTCACTAGCAGCTTGCACCCTGATTGTGGAAAAGCTATAGGTACTCAACACCAGCCCAGCCCATGAGGGCAACTGTGGAGGTTAGACCCCGCAAAAGTCACAGGTGCAGACCTGCCCAAGGCCTTGGGAGCCCAGGCCTCATACCCTTGTGCTCTGGATGTGGGATCTGGATTCAAAAAAAATGATTTGGAGGTGTAGGATTCAATGACTGGCCTGTTGGGTTTTTGACTTGTATGGGGTCTGTAAGTCCCAAATGTATTTTGTGCTTCTTTCTGGCAAATTTATTCCTTTTGGCTGGGAATACTTATCCAATGCATGTAAAATCATTGTACTTTGGAAGTACTTGCTTGGTATTTCAGAGGCTCAGGGGTAGAACATATGGCAGCCTTGTCTCAGAAGAGACTTTAGGCTTTGGACACTTCAGTAAATGCTGGAATGAGTTAAGAGATTGGGAAACTGTAGAGAAGGCATCATTGTACTTTGCAGTGTGAGAACAACATGAGATATGGGGACCAGGGTCAGAATAATATGATTTGGCTCTGCATCCCTAGCAAACTCATGTGGAATTGTAATGGGGAATGTTGAAGGTGGGGCCTGGTGGGAGGTGATTTAATCATTGAGAAGCATGGGGGTTGGAGGTAAGGGTGTGGAGAGAATGGGGGAGATTATTTTGTGGGTGGGAGTGAAAGATGAGGGTGGGGGGGCAGATTCTTCACAAATGGTTAAGCACACTCTCCTTAAGGCTGTTCACATGACAGTGAGTTCTCTTGATGATTTTGGAGCTGTGAGATTGAGTGAATACTGTCCTGCTGGGTTTTGGACTTGCATTGGGCCTGTGGGCCCATTTGTGTTATTTTTCTGGGAAATTTCTTCCCTTTGGACTGAGAAAACTTACCCAATGCCTCCACCATCATTGTAACTTGAAAGAAAAGAACTCCATTTTAAATTCAGGGACTCATAGGCAGAAGGGACTGTGGCCTTATCTCAGATGAGACTTTGAATTTTTAAAATTTGGAATGAGTTAAGACTTTTGCAAACTTTTGAAAAGTCATGATTGTATTTTGGTCTGTGATAAGGACATAGATTCTGGAATATCAGGGTCAGAATTATATGGTTTGCCTGTGTGTCCCTATGAAACTCATGTGGAATTGTAATCCCTAATGTTGAAGCAGGTGACTTAATTATGGACAGGAGGTTGGTGGTGGTAGAAGGTAAAAGGGATCGGTAGGATGGGGAGGAGCGGGTTGGCAGTAGGGTGGTGGGAGGGTGGGGGGAAGTAGGAAGGGGGAGTAGACTGCTGCAGAGGCAAAGCCTCATGGAAAACCTCCACTAGGGAAGTGCACCTGTGGCTTTGCAGGTTTGAGCCCCTCAGCTGTTCTCGTGGGCTGGGCTGGTATTGAGGGTCTGTAGCTTTTCCACACCAAGTGCGTGAGTTGTTGGTGGGTCTATGAATCTGGGATCTGGAGGTTGGTGGCCACCTGTGTGGGGGCTCCAAGCCCATATTTTCTTTCTGCACTTCCATAATAGAGGTTTTCCAAGAGGTTCTGCATCTGAAGGAGGCTTCTGCCTGGAAACAGTGGGAGTTGGGGGTGTGGGTCAGATACTTCACCAATGTTTAAGCACCATCTTCTTGATGCTGACCTTGTGATAGTGAGTTCTCATGAGATCTGCTTGTATAATAGGGCATGACAACATTTTTCCTTTCTCTGTCTTGCTCCTACTCTTGCCATATGAGACATCTCCTTGCCCTTTGACATTCTGGTAGGATTGGGAGGCTTCCTGAGTCCTGTCAGATGCAGAAGCCACTATGCTTCCTTACAGCCTGCAGAATCATTAACCAATTAAACCTCTTTTCTTTATAATCATGGAGAAAATTATGACTGCAAAGTGGATCTATTAAATGTCTTCAAGGTCTTCTCCCTAAAGTCTTGGCAATCAGCACTCAGCTTCTTTTCACTCAAGTATCTGAAGCCTCCTTGACTTCTTCCCCAGGAAATGGGCTTGTCTTCCTTTACCACATGGCCAGCCTGTGACAAAGATAGCTGATAATGTAGAAGCATGTTCAGAAGGGGGTAGCAGATGGAGTTTGGGAGAGTTTGGAGGACTTTGAAGACAGGGAGATGAGGGAAAGTTTGGATCTTTGTAAAGAATTGTTAAATACTTGTGATCAGAAGGCTCATAGGAAAATAGTAAGGATCAGATTGAGAAGCTCTCAGATGAAAAGGAGGTACTTACGGCAAACAGGAGCCAAGGTTACTTTTGTTTTGCTGCAGCAAAGAACGTGGCTGCACAGTGACCCTGCCCTGGAGATCTCTGAAACTTTGAATTTGAGGGTGATGACTTACTGAGTATCTGATGGAATGAACTTCTGGACAGCAAAGCTGAAGGGATGTCCTGTCTGTATCAAATAGCCTGTGCCCTTATGTGTGACTGAGGAAATGACATCTGGATGGGTCTTACATTAAATCAGTCCCAACTCTTATATTATATGAGAAACAGAACTCAAAAATTTGCAGCCTGGCCAAATGGTCAGAAAGAAAATCTGATTTTCAGGGGAAAACTGAGGAAGGCTTCAGAAATTTGCATGAAAAGGAGCCCAGTGCTAATAGCCAAGACAATAGGGAAAAGGCCTTGAAGCCATTTCAGAAACCTTTGCAGCAGCCCTTGCTATCATAGGCCCTGGGGCCTCGGAGAGAAGAATGGTTTCCTGGGCCAGTTCCGTGACCCCCCTCTATGTGCAGCCTCAGGACACTGCTGCCTGCATCCCTGCAGCTCTAGTTCCAGGCATGGCTTAAAGATGCACAGGTACAGCTTGCATCACAGCTTCAGGGGTGCAAGCTTCAAGCCTTGGTGACTTCCACATAGTGTTAAGCCAGCAGCTGCACAGAGCACAAAACTAGAGGCTTGGGAGCCTTTGTCTAGACTCCAGAGTATGTACGGAAAAACCCGGGTGTTCAGGCAGGATCTTTTCCAAGAGGCAAAGCCTCATGGGAAACCTTTACTAGGGCAGTACAGAAGGAGAATTTAGGGCTGGAGTCCCTAAATATGGAGGCACCATTCTCCAGACCCCAGATTCATAGACCCACCAACAGCTGGCACCCTTAATGTGGAAAAGCTACAGGCACTCAACATCAGCCCAGCCCATGAGGGCAGCTGTGGGGGATAGACCCTGCACAGCCATCTGTTCTCTAGATGTGAGATGTAGATTCAGAAAGGATGATTTGGAGCTGTAGGATTCAATGACTGGCCTGCTGGGTTTTTGACTTGCATGGGGTCTGTAAGTCCTTGTACATTTCAGTAAATGCTGGAATGAGTTAAGTCATTGGGGGGCAGTAGAGAAGTCATCAATGTATTTTGCAGTGTGGCAAGGATACAAGATTTGGGGAGCAAGAACCAGAATAATATGATTTGATTCTGTGTCCCTACCAATACTCATGTGGAATTGTAGTGGGGAATGTTAAAGGTGGGACCTGGTGGGAGGTGATTTAATCATGGAGAAGAGTGGGTGTTGGAGGTAGGGTTGTGGGGAGAATGGGAGAGATTATTTTGTGGGTGGGAGTGAAAGATGAGGGTAGGGGGGCAGATTCTTCACAAATGGGTAAACACTATCTCCTTAATGCTGTCCGCATGACAGTGAGTTCTCTTGATGACTTTGGAGCTGTGAGATTGAGTGAATACTGTCCTGCTGGGTTTTGGACTTGCATTTGTGTTATTTTTTCTGGGGAATTTCTTCCATTTGGATTGAGAAATCTTACCCAATGCCTGTTGTACCTTGAAGGAAAAGAAATCCCTTTTAAATTCAGGGACTCATTGGCAGAAGGGACTGTAACCTTGTCTCAGATGAGACTTGGAAATTTTTACATTTGGAATGAGTTAAGACTTTTGGAAACTTTTGAAAAAGCATGGTTGTGTTTTGCTCTGTGAGAAGGACATGAGGTTCTGGGGTATCAGGGTCAGAATAATATGGGTTGGCTATGTGTCCCTATATAACTCACGTGTCATCCTTAATGTTGGAGGTGGGTCAGGTGGGAGGTGATTTAATCTTGGATGGGAGGGGGTTGGGTGGAAGGAAAAGGGGTGGTAGTGTGGGGAGGAGTAGGTTGTCAGTAGGGTGTTGGGAGGGTGGGAGTAACCTGCTGCAGAGGCAGAGGCTCATGGGAAACCTCTACTAGGACAGTGCACCTGTGGCTTTGCAGGGTTTAGCCCCCATGGCTGCTCTCATGGGCTGGGTTTGTGTTGAGTGACTGTAGCTTTTCCATACTGAGAGTATGAGCTGTTGGTGGGCTTACAAATCTGGAGTCTGGAGGATGGTGGCCTCCTGTGTGGGGGCTCAAAGCCTATATTTTCCTTCTGCACTGCCATAATGGAAGTTTCCTAAGAGGTTCTGCCTCTGCAGGAGGCTTCTGCCTGGAAGCAGTGGGCGGTGGCATGGGTGGAGAATCCTTCACCATTGGTTAGTCTTCTTGATGCTGATCTCCTGATAGTGAGTTCTCATGTGATTTGATTGCCTAACAGGATGTCACACCTCTTTCCTTTCTCTGTCTTGCTCCTACTCCTGCCATATGAAACATCTCTTTGCCGCTTGGCCTTCTGATATGGTTAGGAGGGGCCTGATCAGTGTGGGCCTGCTCAGTGGACCTAGTCAGTCGGGACTTGGTCAGTGAGGCCTATTTAGTGGGAGGTGGCCACCAGGGGTCTGCTTAGAGAGGGTCTCATTAGAGGGATCTAGTAGTGCAGGTCTTGGTGAGTGGGTTCCTAGTGGCAGACAAATATTTGGTGTCTGGTCAATGCCTACCTGGGCTGTGGGACTTGGTCACTGGAGACCTTGTCAGCTGGGGCTTAGTGATGGCCTTGTCAGATTGGGCTGGGTTACTGGTGACCAGGTCAAGGGGTGTTATTCAGTGGAGGTCTGGTCACATGGGACCTAGTCAGCAGAGGCGCTTGTCAGTGGGGCCCTGGTCAGGGCAGGCTGGTCCATGGAAACCTAATCAGTGGGGGCCTGGTCAGAGAGGACTTGATCAGTGGTGGCTTTTGTAGCACTGGTCTACGGGGTGACCTGGTCAGCGGGGATCTGAGCAGTGCATGCCTGTTCAGTGGGGCATACTTATTAGGGTCCTGGTCAGGGGCATCTGGTCACCTCAGGCCTGGTTAGCAGGGGCCTGGTCACTGGCAACATATTCCCTGCAGGCCTGGTCAGTAGGGCTTCATCTGTGGGACCAGGTAATGGGGTCATGATCGGTGGAACCTTATCAGTTAGACCTTGTAAGTAAGGACCTGGTCAGTGAGGCCTTGCCAGTGAGGCCTTGTCAGTAAGGTCCTCGTCAGTGGAGTCCTGGACATTGTGGGCCTGGCAGTGGGAATCTAGTTAGTGAGGTCTGGTGAAGGGGGTCTAATCAGTGAGGGTGTGGTCAGGGAGGATCTGATATGCTGAATCTGCTCAGCAGGGACCTGGTCAGTGGGGGCTGCTGAGCACTACTGGGAAATGTCAGGGAAAATGCATGTTATCGAGGAGGCTGTGGACAGTTGGCGTGGCCCAGTGGTGTTCAATGGCCCAGTCAAAAGTGGACAAAGCAGGTGTCTGGATGGACCTGGGAGTTCTTGCGCCAAGGAACAGGCAGGGTGGGCAGCTGGGTTTCAGGGAGAGGCAGGTGCATGCTGGGAGGTCAGACCCTGTGAGGGCTGTGGGGGCATCAGGTGGGGTTGGCTCCAGGTGCACCCTCAGTGCACTGAGCAGGTCTTGGCCCAGGCTTTCTGGACCCCGGCCGGGTGATGTGGTCACTTACTGGGGGACTGTTGTCAGGCGCTGGCCGCCCACCCTGGGTAGCACTGTCCCATCTCAGGACTGGACTTCCTCAGATCCTGCAGAGGGCACAGCCTCCAGCCCAGGAGAGGCAGCCCCTTGGTGGAGCCTGAGCTCTCCATGGGCATGGAGCATCACCTGCCAGCCCTGTGCTCTCTCTTCTCCCAGGTCCTGCTTTTCCAGGGTCAGCCAGTGGAGAGGCCCCATCCTCCCTTCCCTATGTGTCTCCTGGGCTGAAACTTGCAGTGCACTGGGATAGGGATGAGGCTTCCCTAAGGCCCATTTAGGGAGAGGACTGGCTCCCAGCTGGGCACAGGTCCTCAGCTCTGCCTTGGTTGCCTTAGAATGAGATGGATCTCATTCTAAGATTGGCTGGTCTAGGGATGGAGGACTTAACAGGTCCTCCCAGTCTGTCAGGCCTGGGCAGCACTGTCCTGTCTCAGGACTCAGAAAGTCCATTCCTGGGATGTGACGGTGCTGCCCAGGGGGGGTGGCCAGGGTCTGACAGCAGTCCCCCAGGGAGTGACCACATCACCCAGCCGGGGTCCAGGGAGCCTGGCCTGAGACCTGCCCAGTGCACTGAGGGTGAACCTGGAGCCCACTCCACCTGATGAGCCCACAGCCCTCACAGGTCCTGACCTCCCAGCATGCACCTGCCTCGCCCTGCACCCCAGCTGTCCACCCTGCCTGTTCCCTCACTTCCTCCATCCTGTCCAGCAGGATGGGATGGGCAGGGGGACAGCCTGTGTGCACATTTCATGGCAAGCAGGAGTGACACACCATCCCTGGGAGGCGCCTTGGTTCCTCCCAAACCCAGCCCCAGAACTCTGTCCCTGGGGTGGTTTTACCAAACCCCAAACCCAGAACTGTGGTTGTGGCTCGGGGGTCAGCACCCGCTAGTTCTACAATGTCGCCAAGGACTTTGACTGTACTTTATTCTTCTTTTCAATAGTCATTCCAAATATTGTGAGATGCATTGTTTCAGGAAGCCCCTTGCCCTCCTAAAAGCCACCCTACTTCTCTCTAAGGAGAATGGCCCAGTCCTCTCCCGAGCTCACACAGGGGAGGTGATAGCATTGCTTTTGTGTAAATTACATAATGCAAAATTTTTTAAATCTTTGCATTAATACTTTTAAATTTTGTTTTATTTTGAATGATTAGCCTTCATTGCCCCCCTTTTTTGTACCCCAACTTGGAGTGTATGAAGGGTTTTGGTCTCCCTGAGAGTGGCTGGAGGCAGCCAGGGCTTACCTGTACTCTGCCTTGAGAAAAGTTGGATAAAAGTGCACATCTTAAAAAAAACTGAATGATGAAGAATTAACAAAAACAGAATTTCAATACAGTGGACAGCTTAGCATTTTGACAATTGGAAATAAAATGCACAGTTCTGAACTGTACAATGTAAGACACAAAAACGAAACACTGGAAATGGAAATTCAATTATGTCACTGTAGACTGGCTACTGCTCTACATGATTGTGACCAAAGTCAGAGAGTTGCAAGAGATTTCTTTCCAGAGAACAAGACATGAACAGGTTTATTTACAGAAAACAATGAATTCTCATATATCTAACCTAAAAGATAACAGATTCTTTCAGAACAAGTCTAATGTAGACAGTAAAATTAACGGGCTAAAAATTAAGCTCCATCAAACAAGACGAACTCTGAGAGAATAGATGGGGCAGGCCGCCATCTTTCCTGTTCAGGCAACTTGGTCATTCCAGCCTGAAGGCTTTGGAGAGTACAAACCGACCAGGGGCAGAAGAGATCCCACAGCACAGCATGGCTGCTTTACCAAATCATGGCCAGACTGCTTCTGTAAGCAGGCCCCTGACTCTGTTGCATGTCACTGGAAAGGACCTCCCAACTGGGGTCCCAGCTACGGCCACCAGCATTCCTTGGCCAATGGAAATTTGAAGTGTTCCCGGGACAGAGCTCCCAGAGAGAGGGGCAGGCCACCACCTTTGCTGTTTGGGTGACTAGCCATTCTGGACTGCGAGATTTGGAAACCCCAAGGTGACAAGGGGTGGAAGAGGAACCTCAGCACAGCACAGCCACACTACAAAAACGTGGCCAGACTCTTGTTTAAGTCAGTCCCCGAACACATTTCTAATCAGTGGGTGAAGCCTTTCAACCAGGGTCTCCAGCTACCTTCACTGCTGTTCTCTGGCCGACAGAGGTTTCAGGCCTCCCTGAGTCAGAGCTCCCAGGGGGAGGACCAGACTGTCATCTTTGCTGTTGGGGCAACTCAGCCATTTCAGCCTTAGGGCTTCAGAGTGTCTGAGGCGACAAGGTGTGGAAGTGAACCCCCGGCATAGCACAGCTGCTCTAGAAAAACGTGGCCAGACTTTTTTTTAAGCAAGTCCCTGTTCTTGTTCCTCCTGACTAGATAAGACTTCTCAACTTGTCTCCAGTCATATCTTATAGGTGTGTTCATATAGGCAACAAGTTCGTACCTCAGTGGCCCAGAGCTCCCAGAGGAAGGGGCAGGCTATCATCTTCCCTGGAAAATACAAGGCAAATAGGGACTGGAGGGACCCCCAGCATACCACAGCAGCCTGACAGGAAAGTGGCCGGACAGTCTACTTGATGGACAAGTCCTCCTGGCCTGGGTCTCCAGCCAGTCCACCATTGGAGCTATCAAGCCAGTAGCAACTCAGCAATTCCCTGGACAGAGCTTCCAGGAGCAAATGAAATTCCCTCTGCCACTGTCTCTGCAGTGGAACTGCCCTTGCTACCCTCAGAATATCAAGGGAGCAAAGACCCTAAGTGCCATATCGACACCTCCAATAAGCTGCAGTTGACCCAACGAACAAGCCAGTCCATCTCCCACGGGTACCACACACCCCACACTGCTCATCACCAGAGAGGGAACCCTGGCTTGGGCTTACAACACAGACCCTCCATCCTGGGCTGATTACGCTAAGTGATTGCTAACTCACATCTCTCCGGGATGGAGCACCCAGGAGACAAGCAGAGTGCTGGAGCAGCAAGTCAGGTGATGTGGAGCCCAGAGGGCAGGGACAGCTATCTCTCTAGGCTCCACTTGCCCTTGTGAGACACTTTATCCCAGCACTTTAGAAATGCTAAGCTCAGATCAGCCCCATCTCATGTTCAAGATTGCCCAGCAGAGATCAGGTCAGAGAGTTCCCCTCTTAAAAAAGGGGACTTGCTTAAAAAAGAAGACTGGCCATGTTTGTGTAAAGCAGCTATGCTGTGCTGGGGGTTCACTTTTGAGGGAGTTCTCCTCTGAGACCTGATCTCTGCTGGGCAGTCTTGCCCATGAGATG
This sequence comes from Homo sapiens, assembly GCF_000001405.40. NCBI lineage: Eukaryota > Metazoa > Chordata > Mammalia > Primates > Hominidae > Homo > Homo sapiens. Next base: position 135,912 of record NW_021159991.1, on the reverse strand, counting down.
GGGCACTCCTTAGTCTGCTTGCCTCTCCCAGGACCCCAGCCTGGCCACACCTGCTTACAGGGCACTCTCGGATGCCCACAGCATAGCTTCCGTGCTAGTGGACCGTAGCTGATCAGTGGAGAGCTGCAGCAAGGTGGCCCCAACAGCCACGCACCAGTCTGCACATTACCTCTCCATGCTGCAGCCCTTTATATGGAAACTTCCTACATCACTTTGCTGTGTGTGTTTACACAGGTGGGTTTTGCTGTACTTGCCCTGACAGCACACGGGAGTGCAGCACACACACCAACCCACACCAACTGCCATTGAAGACAGAGCCTTGGTGGGCACAGAACCAAGAACCCCATCCCTGCCAGCACCTCACCCTTGACCTAATGCTGTGCAGAGAAAAAGGGACATTCTTATACCCTGAGCGACCACTGTTTCTTTGAGGGGCACAGAGAAGGCACCATGGTCTGCACTGGCCAGCAGCTCACCCTGAACCAACACTACCTCCAGTGCAACACACACACAGCAGGGGAGCCCTGGCCCACACCCCAGCTGTCTTGCCTCCACCACTGGGTGAACGCCCGCAGGGAGGAAGGGAATTTTGCATCCACTAGCATTCCGCCACAGTTGCCACACTTCGGTCCCCTCAGTGCAGTGGACTCCAAACCTCGAGGAGCCAGAGAACAAAGTTGGGGCCTAAGACAAGTTCCCTAGAGTTAAAGCACACAGTCCAGGAATTGGGAGCTGCACATTGGCCTCCCCAAAATCCTCCAAAAACAAAGCCAGTTGGTTGAATCCACCTTATACCACAATGAAACCCTCAAGATCATCAAATACAATAAAACAAAAATACCCTGTCCGAAGGTCAGCAACCTCAAAGATGGAAGGTGGATAAGCCCATAAAGATGAGAAAGAATCTGTGTGAGAACACTGAAAACTCAAAAAGTCAGCATGCCTTCTTTCCTCCAAATGACTGCATCAACTCTCCAGCAAGTGTTCAGAACTGGGCTGAGGCTGAGATGTCTGGAATGATACAAGCAGGGTTCAGGATATGCGTAGGAACAAAGTTCACTGAGTGAAAGAAGTATGTTGTCATGCAATACAAGTGAGCTAAAAATCATTGTAAAACATTGCAGGAGCTAACAGACAAAATAGCAAGTATAAAGAAGACATAACCGACCTAATAGAGCTGAAAAGCACACTACAAGAATTTTCATAATGGAGTCACATGGTGATTATGTGTGATTGCATTATGAAAATTATTGTAGTGTGTGTGGGCACCCGATATTGCCCTGTAAGCAGGTGTGGCCAGGCTGGGGTCCTGGGAGAGGCAAGCAGACTAAGGAGGGCTGAGGTCAGAACAGCTCCATCTCATGTGCAAGACCACCCAGCAGAATAGACCAAACAGAGGAAAGAATCCCAGAGCTTGAAAACTGGCTTTCTGAAACAAAACAGGCAGACAAAAATGGAGGAAAAGGAATGAACAAAACATCCGAGAAATATGGGATTATATAAACGACCAAATCTATGACTGATTAATGTACCTGAAAGAGATGAGGAGAATGGAACCAATTTGGAAAACATACTTCAGAATATCCTTCATGAGAATGTCCGAAACCTAGCCAGACAGGCCAACATTCAATTTCAGGAAATCCAGAGGACTTCAGTAAGATATGCCACGAGAATATCATCCCCAAGACATATAATCATCAGATTCTCCAAGGTCAAAATGAAAGAAACAATGTTAAAGGCCGCTAGAGAGTTAAAATGGTTAAAATGAGAGCTAGAGAGTTAAATGGTTAAAAAAAAAGAAAAGAAATTTCAACCCAGAATTTCATGTCCAGCAAAATTAAGCATCATAAGTGAAGGAGAAACAAGACCCTTTTCAGACAAACAAATGCTGGGAGAATTCATTATCACCAGATCTACCTTACAAGTGCTCCTGAATGAAGCACTAAATATGGAAAGAAAAGACCATCACCAGCCACTACAAAAATGCACCGAAGTACACAGACCAGTGATGCTAAAAACCGACCACATACACAAGTCTGCAAAATAACCAGCTGACAGCATGACGACAGGATCCAATCCACACATACCATTACTAACCTTAAATGGAAATGGGCTAAATGCTCTGATTGAAAGACGCAGGGGGGCAAGATGGATAAAGAACCAAGACCCATTTGAGTATGCCGTCTCCAAGAAACCCATCTCACATGCGGTGCCATACATAGGCTCAAAATAAAGGAATGGAGAAAAATCTTTCAAGCAAACGGAAAACAGAAAAAAGCAGGTGTTGCACTCCTAGTTTTGACAAAACGTATATACCAATAAAGATAAAAAAAGACAGAGAAAGACATAAAAAGGTGGTCCTGACCTTTGATAAATCTCATTATTGCTTGATACCAACCTGGGCTATCTTTATTGCCCAAATCAACGGATAATTTGCTGAGGTTGTGGAGCTTCTCCCCTGCAGAGGTTCCCTGATCTCCCAAAATCTGGTTGAGAACTAAGGTTGATTTTGCTGTACAACTCCTTTTCTGAAGTTTTACTCATTTCCAACAAAGAAGGCAAGTTTTCCTGCTTCCATGATGATGGAGAGCAGGCACCTCCTTTCCTGAGTTTCAGCTTGCTTCTGACAGGGAAGGTGAGTGTAAGTTTTTTCCAGCTTCTAAGATGGCAGAGAACGACCACCAGCCTGAGCCTTATTTCCAGGTAAGTAGCTGAATTAGAGTTTTGTCTTAAAATTTTTCCTTAATGAATAAAATTTAAGATTACTCACCAGCTGCTTTTAATTTCTGCTTTTAATTTCTCCTTACCATTAGAACACTCAGTAATCATATGAATTGTGCATTTGTTGTTTTGCTTAACTCTTTGTTTGTTTATGCTTGGGGTTTTATTGTTGTTGTTTCACTTTTCTCCCATCTCTTCCTGACTTGGTCAAATCCAAAGGAATGTTCCAAATTGTAGGGAGCAAGGCCTCTGAATTGGCTAAAACTCCTATGGCTGCAAAAAGAAACAAACAAATAAACAACAACAAAAAGCATTCCAGTTAGCAGAAATTATTTTTTAAACCTTTTTTTTTACGTAAGTGGTCTCATCTACATAAAAAGGTCACCCTTTTGCTAGCCAAGGCCAAACTGAAGGAGTAGCTGTGGTGACCCAATGTGAAGATTCTGCCCTGTTCACTACAGAAACCTGAGTTTGGTTCCTAAGTCTAGTTCTTTCTGTTTGATATTTGTGTTACTTTTAAAACGTCAGCAGTTTGTCCCAGCTATGATGTGGTAGTAAAAGATTCAAAAGGGTTTTCTTTACAAGTTCTATGATTAAAAGCTTAATTAAAAACAAATTTCTTTTTTTTTTAATTATACTTTAAGTTCTGGGGTACATGTGCAGAACATGCAGGTTTGTTACATAGGTATACACATGCCATGGTGGCTTGCTGCATCCATCAACCCATGATCTACATTAGTTATTTCTCCTAATGCCATCCCTCTCCTAGCCCCCCACGCTGACAGGCCCTGGTGTGTGATGTTCCCCTTCCTGTGTCCATGTGTTCCCATTGTTCAACTCCAAGTTATGAGTGAGAACATGTGGTGTTTGGTTTTCTGTTCTTGTGTTAGTTTGCTGAGAATGATGCTTTCCAGCTTCATTCATGTCCCAGCAAAGGACGTGGATTCATCCTTTTTTATGGCTACATAGTATTCCATGGTGTATATATGCCACATTTACTTTATCTAGTCTATCATTGGTGGGCATTTGGGTTGGTTCCAAGTCGTTGGTTTTGTGAAAAGTGCCGCCATAAACAGACAGGTGCATGTGTCTTTATATTAGAATGATTTATAATTTTGGGGGTATATACCCAGTAATGGGATTGCTGGGTCAAATGATATTTCTGGTTGTAGATCCTTGAGGAATTGTCACACTGTCTTCCACAATGGTTGAACTAATTTATATTCACACCAACTGTGTAAAAGCGTTCCTATTTCTCCACATCCTGTCCAGCATCTGTTGTCCCCTGATTTTTTAACGATAGCCATTCTAAGTGCTGTGAGATTGTATCTCATTGTGGTTTTGATTTCTATTTCTCTAATGACCAGTGATGATGTGCTTTGCTTCACATGTTCGTTGGCTGTATAAATGTCTTCTTTGGTAAGTGTCTGTTCATATCCTTTGTCCACTTTTTGATGGGGTTGTTTGTTTTTTTTCTTGTAAGTTTGTTCTTTGTAGATTCTGCATATTAGCCCTTTGTCAGATGGATAGATTGCAACAATTTTCTCCCATTCTGTGGGTTGCCTGTTCACTCTGATAATAGTTTCTTTTGCACAGCAGATACTGTTTAGTTTAGTTAGATCCCATTTGTCAATTTTGGCTTTTGTTGCCATTGCTTTTTGTGTTCTGGTGATGAAGTCTCTGCCCATGGCTCTGTCCTGAATGGTATTGCCTAACACAAGGACATTTCTGTGCCTGAGTGCTATACCACCCAAAGTAATTTATAGATTCATTGCTATCCTAATTAAGCTACCATTGACTTTCTTCATAGAATTAGAAAAACTACTTTAAATTTCATATGGAACCAAAAAAGAGCCCACATAGCCAAGACAATCCTAAGCAAAAACAACAAAGCTAGAGGCATCACAGTACATGACTTCAAATTATTCTACAAGGCTTCAGTAACCAAAACAGCATGGGGCTGGTACCAAATCAGATCTATAGACCAATGGAACAGAACAGAGGCCTCAGAAATGACACCACACATCTAAAACCATCTGATCTTTGACAAACCTGACAAAAACAAGCAATGGGTAAAGGATACCCTATTTAATAAGTGATCTTGGGAAAACTGGCTAGCCTTATGCAGAAAACTGAAACTGGGCCACACCCATACACCTTAAACAAAAATTAAGTAATATGGATGAAAGAGTTAAATGCAAGACCTAAAACAATAAAAAATCTAGAAGAAACCTAGGCCACCAACCTCAGGGAAAATGTACCTGTAGTGAAATGCATGGTACAAACACGCATTCCCTGCTTCCTTGAGTGGGTGACGTTGATGGCTAGTCCAATCACTCCAGGCACACCCTTGCAAACGTGGCTGGTTCCTTTTTGAGCCAGCTTGGCTTTGCCCGGCATGCACAAGTCAGTGCAACAACTGTGACACAAATGGAGCCATACAGAGAAAATGAGCAGCAGGCTCAGGAGCAGGGTGTGCGCTGCCTTGGGGGCTCCAGTCCATGCCTCAAGGCTCATATGGCACTGCGGGCTTCTTGGTTGCAAAGAGGCAGACCACAGGCCATCTTCAGGAGGCCTTTATGTTGAAGTGCAGAAAGCAGCCAGGATTACCACCCGTGGGACTCGGCCTTTTGTGACCCTGGCCTGACAGAGTTTGGCCCAAGGCAGGGCAAGCTCACTCAGAGCAACGTGTCAGTACCTGGGGCCTGTGCATGCCAGTCAAGGCCAGGCTGGCTCAAAGAGCAACCAACCACCTCTGCAAGGGTGTGCCTGGAGCAGGTGGACCAGCCACCAACCTCACCCACTGAAGGAAGCCAGGATGGCCAGGTTTCCACAGCCTGAGTGGCTGCCTCCTGATGGCTGATGGAGCAGAGGCCTGAGGAAAAGCAGGTGGCATGTTTAACTCTTTAATCTATCTTAAGTTAATTTTTGTATAAAGCAGAAGGTACCGGTCCATGCCTCGGGGTTCATATGGCACTGTGGGCCACAGAAGGCTGAGTCCCCTGGGTGGTAATCCTGCCTGCTTTCTGCACTTGAACATAAAGTCCTCCTCAAGACGGCCTGTGGTCTACTTCTCGGCCCCACCTTTAGGGTAGAAGAACTGATGTACCATGTCTGACAGTGAGTGAGGTTGGCGGCTGGTCCACCTGCTCCTGGCACACCTTGCAGAGGTGGCTGCTTGCTCTTTGAGCCAGCTTGGCCTTGCCTGGCATGCACAAGCCTCACTGCAACAAGTGTATAACAAATGGAGCCATAAAGAGGAAATGATCAGCAGGCTCAGGAATGGGGTGTGCACTGCCTTTGTGGCTCCAGTCCATGTCTCAGGGCTCGTATGGCACTGTAGGCTTCTTAGTCGCCAAGAGGCAGACCACAGACGGTGTTGAGGAGGACTTTATGTTCAAGTGCTGAAAGCAGCCAGGATTAGCACCCAGGGAACTCGGCCTTCTGTGGCCCTGGCCAGAGGTAGAATTTGGCCCAACACACTACAAGCTGACCTGGAACAGCATATAGGTAGCTGGGGCCTGTGCATGCCAGGCAAGGCCAAGCTGGATCAAAGAGCAAGCAGCCACCTCTGCAAGGGTGTGCCTGGAGCAGGTGGAGCAACCACCAACCTCACCCACTCAAGGAAGCAGGGATGGCCAGATTCCTACAGCCTGAGGGGCTGCCTCCTGATGGCTGATGGAGCAGAGGCCTGAGGAAAAGCAGATAGCACTGTGGCCCTACCTGTAGGGTAGAAGAACTGATGTACCCCGACCGGCAGCAAGTCAGGTTGGTGGCTGGTCCACCAGCTCCAGGCACACCCTTGCAGAGGTGGCCGGTTGCTTTTTGAGCCAGCTTGGCCTTCCTCAGCATGCACTAGTCAGTGCAACAACTGTGACACAAATGGAGCCACACAGAGAAAATGAGCAGCACGCTCAGGAGCAGGGTGTGCGCTGCCTTGGGGGCTCCAGTCCATGCCTCAAGGCTCATATGGCACTGCGGGCTTCTTGGTTGCAAAGAGGCAGACCACAGACCATCTTCAGGAAGCTTTTATGTTGAAGTGCAGAAAGCAGCCAGGATTACCACCCGTGGGACTCGGCCTTTTGTGGCCCTGGCCTGACAGAATTTGGCCCAAGGCAGGACAAGTTCACTCGGAGCAACGTGTCTGTACCTGGGGCCTGTGCATGCCAGGCAAGGCCAAGCTGGCTCAAAGAACAACCAGAGCATCCATTCTGGTGGATGAGCCAACCACATGGCCAGCTTCTGGGTGTGGGCACAGTGCCACATCTTCCATCACTTTCTGATATATCCCAACACCACTGAAGAGACAGCCTGGAGAGAGTGCAAGAGGAAGGCTGAGAAGGATGAGATGGTGAGTGCTGGCTTCTTTCTGACCCTCAGCACACCCCCACGTGGTGACCATCAACCTTTAGGGGTGGGAGAGCAAGACTGATGGCTTCAAATACTTCCCCAAGAAGATGGGCACAGGCCACTCAGCTCAACCTCACAGGCAATGAGTTGACATGCAAGCAGATGACAGTGACAGGCTTTTAGAAAGAGCTTCAGAAGGCGGCCAGTTTTTCTTCAGCCTCAGCCAGGCCTTGGAACTTGACTAGGCCATCCACTTCACCAGAGATGCCTTCAAGAACATCAGTGAGCTCCTTGCCAATCCGTCCAGGAAGGACCTGGACCCAGCCACGGACCTGTTAGTGCTGTCTCAGGGACACCAGACCAACATCCTGGACATCATCCTCATACACAAGGAAGCTCTTACCACAGTCATGGAGAACAGGCAACATGTGGCAGAAGGGAAGACACAGGTACAGAGGCTGATGGCATCATTATCACAGGAACAGGATTTCTTTGGCCACTTTGGCTGAAATTCACCACTTCCATCCAATCCACTCAAGCGAGAGACTTGAAATCACAGATGGAGCATTTCTTGCAACAGGAGATACTATTTTTTCAAAAAGTCACCTAAAATTTGATAGTGTTGGATGACTAGCTATTCGATTGTGGTCTTTTTCCAGTTCAAGGGTACTTTCTACAGCAGAATGATAACAATATCAAAGAGCTAGTGCCAGCTATCGGTGGTAGTACAAGGATGACTTTGTGCTCAACTGAAACCCAGCTGAATATAGAATTGTGTAGGAAAGTGTTAATATGGTGATAGAACAGAAACAGTAGCAAATGAACTAAATCATACTATGAATGCCTACACTACCATTATAACTTTTTGAAGAATGATAATACCGCTTACTTTATTGCCTTTTGAAGTAGGAATATTTTAGTGGATATGCTATAGACCTGAAACCATATAAAGAATCCCAAAGAAGCTGGCTGGATAAAGCCTGCTATGGATGTCTTTATACACAAAGACTGATGAGGCAATTCGAATATGTGTCCCCACCAAATCTCATGTTGAGTTATGCTTCCTAATGTTGGAGGTGGATCCTGGTATAAGGTGATTGAATCATGAAGGCAAATTTCTCATGAGTGGTTCAGCACTATCCCCTTGGTACTGTCCTCACAATCATGAGTGACTTCTCGTGAGATCTGGCCACTGAAAACTCTATATCACTCCCTACTCTCCGTGATTTCCTCTTGCCATGTGAGACAATTCACTCTTTCATTACCTTGCACAATGATTGAAAGATTTCTGAGGCCCCCCAGAAGCAGAAGCACTAAGCTTCCTGTCCACTCTGCAGAACCATGAGCCAATTAAACCTCTTTTTCAAAATAAATCTTACCAAAAATGGCAAATGAGGACTGGAGCATTGCTATAAAGATACCTGAAAATGTGGAAGCAACTTCGGAACTGGGTAATGGGTAGAGGTTGGAAGAGTTTGGAGGGCTCCAAAGAAGACAGACAGATGAGAACATTTTTGGACTATCTTAGAGACTGGTTAAATGGCTGTGACAAGAATTCTGACAAAAACATGGACAGTGAAGGCCAGGCTGAGGGGGCCTCAGATAAAAATAAGAAGCTTTCTGGAAAATGTCTCCCTTTTGGATATGGAAAGCTTACACAATGCCTGTACCATCATTGTACCTTAGACGCAGTGAACTTGCTTTTTATTTCAGAGACTCGTAGGCAAAAGAGAATGTAGCCTTGACCCAGATGAGACTTTGGACTTTGTAACTTTGAGTTAATGCTGAAATGAGTTAAGACTTTGGGAGACTGCTGGCAAGGCATGACTGTATTTTGCAATGTGAGAAGGACATGAGATTTGTGGGGTCAGGGACAGAATAATACGGTTTTTCTCTATGCCCCTTCCAAAACTCATGTGAAAGTACACTCCCTAATGTTAGAGTTGGGGCCTAGGTGGAAAAAGCTTTAATCATAAAGGAGTGGGAGTGGATCCTTCACAAATGGCAAAGCACCAAGCCCTTAATGCCATCCTCCTGATAGTGAGTGAGTTCTCATGAGATCTAGTAGTTTAAAAGGCTGTGGAACCTCTTTCCTCTCTCTGTCTTGTTCCAACTTCTGCCATATGAAACATGTCATTGCCGCTTGGATTTCCAGTGTGGTTAGGAGGGGCCTGATCAGTGTGGGCCTGGTCAGTGGACCTAGGTCAGTGAGGACTATTTAGTGGGATCGTGGTCAGCAGGGGTCTGCTTACAGAGGGTCTCATTAGTGGGGTCTAGTAGTGGGGGTTTTGGTGAGTGGGGACCTATTGGCTGCCAGTTGTTTGGTGTCTGGTCAGTGCAAACCTGGGCTGTGGGGCTTGATCAGTGGAGACCTGGTCAGCTGGGACTTAGTGCTGGCCTGGTCAGCATGGGCTGGGGCACCGGTGACAAGGTCAAGGGGTGCTATTCAGTGGAGGACTGGGCACATGGGACCTAGTCAGCAGACCCTGGTGGGCGTGTCCTCATCAGTGAGGCCCTTCTCAGTGGGGCCCTGGTCAGGGCAGCCTTGTCAGCGGGACCTAATCTGTAGCGTCCTGGTCAGAGAGGACTTGGTCAGTGGTGACTTTTGTAGCACTGTTCTACAGGATGACCTGGTCAGCGGGGATCTCAGCATTTGGTTCCAGTTCAGTGGGGTCTACTCACTAGGGTCCCAGTCAGGGGCATCTGGTGACCTTAGGCCTGGTTATTAGGGGCCTGATCGGTGGCAACCTGTTCCCTGGAGGCCTGGTCAGTGGGGCCTCATCTTTGGGGCCAGGGAATGAGGTCATGATCAGTGGAACCTGATCAGTGAGGCCTTGTCAATAATGACCTAGTCAGTGAGGACTTGTCAGTAAGGACTTGGTCCCTGAGGCCTTGTCAGTGAGGCCTTGTCAGTAAGGTCCTGGTCAGTGGAGTCCTTGTCATTGTGTGCCTGGCAGTGGGGGCCTTGTTAGTGGGGCCTGGTCATGAGGGTCTAATCAGTGAGTGTGTCATCAGGGATGACCTGATGTGCGGGGTCTGGTCAGCAGGGACCTGGTCAATGTGGGCTGCTGAGCACTGCTTGGATAAGCCAGGTGCAATGTGCATTATTGAAGGCCCTGTGGACAGCTGGGATAGCCCAGTGATGCCCAAGGGCCTAGTCAAAAGTGGACAAAGCACGTGTTTGGATGGACCTGGGAGATCCTGCTCAGAGATTCTGAGAGGACAAAGGTAAAGGAAGGGCCAGAGTGGCTGCAGAGATGGTCACAGTCTATGGGCTGCACAGGATGAAGGAGGCCAGGGAACAGGCAGGGTGGGCAGTTGGGGTTCAGGGAGAGGCAGGTGCATGCTGGGAGGTCAGACCCTGTGAGGGCTTCGGGGGCGTCAGGTTGGGTAGGCTCGAGGCACTCTCACTCACATAGGATTCCATAACACTGCTACAAGGCTCTGAGTGTTTGTCCCTCACATAGGATTCCAGAACACTGCTGCCATTGTCTGAATGTTTGTCCCCCACATAGGATTCCAGAAGCCTGCTGCTGGGGTCTGAATGTTTGTCCCCCATCTAGGATTCCAGAACACTGCTGCGAGGGTCTGAATGTCTGTCCCTCACATATGATTCTAGAACATTGATGCTAGGGTCTGTATGTTTGCCCTTAACATATGATTTCAAAACACTGCTCCTGGATTCTGAATGTTTGACCTTCACATAGGAATACAGAACACTGCTGCTGGAGTCTGAATGGTTGTCACTCACATAGAATTCCAGAACACTGCTGTGAGGATCTGAATGCTTGACCCTCACATGGGATTCCAGAACACTGTTGCGAGGGTCTAAATGTCTGTCCCTCACACAGGTTTCCCGAACAATGTTACGAGGTTCTGAATGTTTGTCCCTAACATAGGATTCCAGAGCACTCCTGCTGTGCTCTGAATGCTTCTCCCTCACATAGGATTCCAGAACACTGCTACGAGGGTCTGAATGCTTATCCCTCATATAGGATTCCAGAACACTTCTGCTGTGGTCTGAATGTTTGCTCCTCACATAGGATTCCAGAATACTCCTGCCGTGGTCTGAATGTTTGTCCCTCACATAGGATTCCAGAACATTCATGCTGGGGTCTCAGTGTTTCCCTTAACATAGGATTTCAGAACACTGCTCTTGGGGTCTGAATGTTTGTCGCTCACATAGGATTACAGAACACTGCTGCTGGAGTCTGAATGTTTGTCAGTCACAGAGAATTCCAGAACACTGCTACAAGGGTGTGAATATTTCTCCCTCACCTAGTATTCCAGAACACTGTTGCAAGGGTCTGAATGTTGGTCCGTCATATAGGATTCCAGAACACTGATGCTGTGGTCTGAATGTTTGTCTCTCACATAGAATTCCGGAACACTGCTACAAGGGTCTGAATGTTTGTCCTTCACATACCATTCCAGAACACTGCTGCCGTGGTCTGAATGTATGTCCCTCACATAGGATTCCAGAACACTGCTACTAGGTTCTGAATGTTTTTCCCACACCTAGGATTCCAGAACACTTCTGCTGGTGTCTGAATGGTTGTTCCTCACGTATGATTCCAGGACACGGCTATGAGAGTCTTAATGTTTGTCCTTCACATAGGATTCTAGAACACTGCTCCCGTGGTCTGAATGTTTGTCCTTCACATAGCATTCCAGAACACTGCTGCTGGGGTCTGAATGTCTGCCCCTCAAATCAGATTCCAGAGCACTGCTGCTGGGGTTTGAATGTCTTTCCCTCACATAGAATTCCAGAACACGGCTGGGAGGGTCTGAATGTTTGTCCCTCACATGGGATACCAGAACACTGCTGCGAGGGTCTAAATGTCTCTCCCTCACATAAGATTTCAGGACACTGCTACGAGGTTCTGAATGTTTGTCCCTCACAAAGGATTCCAGAGCACTCCTGCTGTGGTCTGAATATTTGTCCCTCACATAGGATTCCAGAACACTGCTGCTGGGGTCTGAATGCTTGTCCCTCACATACGATTACAGAACACTGTTGGTGAGGAGTGAATGTTTGTCCCTCACATAGGATACCAGACCACTGCTGTTGGGGTCTCAATGTCTGTCCCTCAAAAAGGATTCCAGAACACTGTTACGAGGGTCTGAATTTTTGTCCCTCACTTAAGACTGCAGAACACTGCTTCGAGGGTCTAAATGTCTGTCCTTCACATAGGATTCCAGAACACTGCTACGAGGGTCTGAATGTTTGTCCTTCACATAGCATTTCAGAACTGCCATGGTCTGAATGGTTGTCCCTCACATAGTATTCCAGAACACTGCTATGAGGGTCTGAATGTTTGTACCTCACATAGGATTCCAGAACACTGCTACGAGGGTCTGAAAGTTTGTCCCTCACATAGGATTCCAGAAGACTGCTGCTGGGGTCTGAATGTCTGTCCCTCACATCGGATTCCAGAACACTGCTGCTGGGGTTTGAATGTATGTCCCTCACATAGAATTCCAGAAGACTGCTGGGAGAGTCTGAATGTTTGTCCCTCACATAGGATTCCAGAACACTGCTATGAGGGTCTGAATGTTTGTCCTTCACATAGGATTCCAGAACACTCCTTCTGGGGTCTGAATGTTTGTCCTTCACATAGGATTCCAGAGCACTCCTGCTGTGGTCTCAATGTTTGTTAATCACATAGGATTCCAGAACACTGCTACAAGGATCTGAATGTTTGTCCCTCACATAGGATTCCAGAATACTCCTGCTATGGTCTCAATGCTTGTCCCTCACATAGGATTCCAGAACATTCATGTTGGGGTCTGAATGTTTGCCCTTATCATAGGATTTCAGAACAGTGCTCCTGGGGTCTGAATGTTTGTCCTTCATATAGGATTTAAGAACACTCCTGTTTTGGTCTGAAAGTTTGTCCCTCACATAGGATTCCAGAACTCTCTTGCTGTGGTCTGAAAGTTTGTCCTTCACATAGGATTCCAGAACACTGCTGCTGTGGTTTGAATGTTTGTCCCTCACATAAGATTCCAGAACACTGCTACGAGGGTCTGAATGTTTGTCCCTCACATAGGATTCCTGAGCATTGTTGCCGTGGTCTGAATTTTTGCCACTCACATAGGATTCCAGAACAGTGCTACGAGGGTCTGAATGTTTGTCCCTCACATAGGATTCCAGAAAACTTCTGCTGGTATCTGAATGTTTGTACCTCACATAGGATTCCAGAACACTGCTGCTGGGGTCTGAACGTCTGTCCCTCACATAGGATTCTAGAACACTGCTGTTGGGGTTTGAATGTCCCTCACATAGAATTCCAGAACACTGCTGCGAGTGTCTGAATGTTTGTCCTGCAGATGGGATTCTAGAACACTGCTGCGAGGGTCTAAATGTCTGTCCCTGACATAACATTCCAGCACACTGCTACGAGGTTTTGAAATGTTTGTCCCTCACATAGGATTCCAGAACATTCCTGCTGTGGTCTGATTGTTCCTCACATAGGATTCCAGAACACTGCTACGAGGTTCTGAATTTTTGTCCCTCACATAGGATTGCAGAACACTGCTACAAGGGTTTGAAAGTTTTTCCCTCACATAGGATTCCACAACACTACTGCTGGGGTCTGAATGTTTGTCCCTCACATAGGATTCTGGAACACTCCAGCTGGCTTCTGAGTGTTTGTCCCTCACATAGGATTCCTGAAGACTGCTGCTGTCACTATAGTCGTTGCGAGTGTCTGAATGTTTGTCCTTCACCAAACACTAAATATCCTGCCCCTTTAGTCTTGGACTTCCCAGCCTCCAGATCTGTGAGCAATAATCTCTGTTGTTTATGAATTACTCAGTCTAAAGTATTTTGTTATAGTAGCCTAAAAAGACTAAGAGAGCATCACCTGCCCTGTCACCTCATCACCGCATTACTAAAGCTATACTAACAGCAGTCACTTTTAGTGGGTGCTTCATGCATGAGAATAAAGGGAAAAAATTGAAAGGCATACTAAAATCCAAAAAAAGAAAAAAAATACAATTTGTATCAACAGAGCAAGCTTCAGAAGCAGACAAAGATATGATTTTGGAATTTTTGTAAACCTCTGGAGAATATGCTAAGGGCCTAATGAATGAAGTAGACAGCATTCAAGTATAGACGGGTAATGTAATCAGAAAGACAGACATCGTAAGGACCTTCAACATAATGTAGTGGTAAAAAATGTGGTAAATAACTGAAGAATACCTCTGATGGCTTATTAGTAGACTGGACTCAGCTGAGTAAATAATCTCTGAGCTTGAGGATTTATCATCAGAAACTTCGAAAACTAAAGAAAAGAAACACTGAAAAGAACAGAAGATGATATCCAAGACTGTGGGACAACTACAAGAGGTGAAACAGAGTAATGAGAATACCAGGAGGAGAAGAAATAGAAGAAAGTTCTGCAACAACCATGTCTGAGAACTTCCAGTATTAATGTCAGACACCAAACCAAAGATCCAGGAAGCTCCGAGAACACCAGGCAGAATAAATGCCAACAACCTACACTTGGACATATAATTTTCAAACTATATGAAATAAAAGATAAAGGGAAACTCTGAAAGAAACCAGAGGTGGGGCAGAAAACACCTTACCTACAGAGACACAAAGATAAGAACTGCATTCAACATTGCAGAAACTGTGAAAGCAAGAAGACAGTGAAATGAAAAATTCAAAATGTTGACAGAAAAAAACCCACCAACCTAAGTTTCTGTACCCACTGAAAACTCCCTTCAAAAGTGAAGGAGAATTAAGGCCTTCCTCAGAAAAATAAAAATTCAAGAAACTTGTTGCCAGGAGACCTGTCTTGCAAGAAATGTTAAATGAAATTCTTTAGAGGGAAACAAAAGATATATAACTGAAACTTTGATCAACATTTTTAAAAAAGAGCATTAAAGAATTGTGGTACAATAAAAACCTATGTATTTATTCTTAATTGATCTGACCAAGAAGTTCATAGACAATAACAAATACACACATATAGATTATGTATGCTTATACACAAGTTAAATGAGTAACACTAATACAAGGAATGGAATGGAAGGATGGGAGGGAGGAATTGTGGTACAATAAAAACATGTATTTATTCATAATTGATCTGACCAATAAGTTTGTAGATAATAATAAATACACACAGATAGATTATGTATGCTTATACACAAGTGAAATAAGGAACAATACAAGGAATGGAATGGAAGGATGGGAGGGAGGAATCAGGTGTTTTCTTTGTTAAGCAGGTAGTCACCCGTGAAGTGGGATAGTGTTATCTGAAAGTGGACTTGAATTGGTTGTAAATGTATATTGAGGAATTAGGTGTGTTCTTTGTTAAGCAGGTAGTCTTATTTGTGGGATAGTGGGATAGTGTTATTTGAAAGTGGACTTGCATTGGTTGTAAATGTTACTGAGGAATTAGGTGTTTTGTTTGTTAAGCAGGTAGTCTTATTTGTGGGATAGTTGGATAGTGTTATTTGAAAGTGGACTTGAATTGGTTGTAAATGTATATTGCAAATTCTGTGGCAACTAGTTAAAAAAGTTTTAAAAAGAGAAGTACATGCTAAGAAAGACAGGGAAAATGTAGTCATCTAAAATCATCAATGAAAACTGCAAAAGGCAGAAAAAGAGTGGTAGACAAAAGAATGGAGACTGAGGAGAATAAATAGAAAACAGTAACAAATATAGTAGATATTAATCCAATGATATCAATAATCACTTTGAATGCTAATGGTATGAATGTACCAATTCAAAGATAGAGATTGTCAGAGTCTATCAAAAGACAGACACATCTTGTTTCACTGCACTTTGCTTTATTGTGTTTTGTGACCATGTGTTTTACATATTGAAGGTTTGTGACCACCCTGCAATAAGCAGGTCTGACTGGCACCATTGTTCCTACAGCACGTGCTCACTTCACGTCTCTGTGTCACATTTCGGTCATTCTCACAGTATTTTAAGCTTTTTATTATTGAATCTGTTGTGGTGATCTGTAATCAGTGATCTTTAATGTTACTGTTGTCATTTTGGGAACCACAAATCACACCAGGATAAGACAGCAAACAATTGACAAATGCGTTTGTTCTGACTGCCCCATCAACGGGCCATTTCTCTTTCTCTCTCTTTTTCTCAGGCTTCTTTTTATTAATATTAAAATGTGGCCAATTAATAACCCTACAATAGCCTCTATATGTTCAAGTGAAAGAAGAGTTGTATGTCTGTCACTTTAAACCAAAAGGAAGAAATAATTAAGCTTAGTGAGGAAGGCATGCTGTAAGCAAGACAGGCCAGTAGCTAGACCTCATGCAACAAACACTTAGCCAAGTTGTGAATGCAAAGGAAGTGTTCTGGAAAGAAATTTAAAGTACTACTCCAGTGAATACATGAATGATAAAAAGCTAAACAATCTTGCTGCTGTTATGAAGAAAGTTTAATTGATCTACATAGAAGATAAAAAAAATTCCATTAAGCCTAAGCCTAACTAACTTTTTACTTTTTTCTTTGTTTTTGAGACAGAGTTTCATTTTTCTTGCCCAAGCTGGAGTACAATGGCGTGATCTTGGCTTATCGCAACCTCTGCCTCCCAAGTTCAAGCTCTCCTGCCTCAGCATCCCGAGTAGCTGGGATTACAGGCATGCACCACCACGCCTGGCTAATTTTTTGTATTTTTAGTAGAGACGGGGTTTCTCCACGTTGGTCAGACTGGTGTCGAACTCCCGACCTCAGGTGATCTGCCCGCCTCGGCCTCCCAAAGTGCTAGGATTACAGGTGTGACAGCCACCACACCTGGCCTCTCTTCAATTCTATGAAGACTTAGAGAGGTGAGGTAGCTGCAGAAGAAAAGTCTGAAGCTAGAAGAGCTTGTTTCTTGAGGTTTAAGGAAAAAAGTCATCTCCATAACATAAAAGTGCAAGATAAAGCAGCAAGTACTGATGGAAAAGCTGCAGAAAGCTATCTAGAAGATAATTGATTAAGATGGCTACACTAAACAGATTTGCAATGGAGACAAAACAGCCTTCTACTAGAAGGAGATGCCATCCAGGATGTTCCCAGCTAGAGAGAAGTTGATGCCTGGATTTAAGGCTTCAAAGGACATGCTGACTCTTTTATTAAGGCCTAATGCAGTTGGTGATGTTAACTTGAAACCAATGATGATTTACTATTCTGAAAATCCAAGGGCCCTGAAGAATTATGATAAAACGCAGCTCTGCTTGTACTCTACAAATGGGAACAAAGCCTGGATGACAGACTATCGGTTTACAAATATGGTTTATTGAATATCTTAAGCCCACTGTCGACAACTACTGCTCAAGAAATAAGATTCCTTTCAAAGTATTACCGCTCACTGACAATGCCCCTGGTACTCAAGGGCTTTTACAGAGATGTATAAAGAGCTGAATATTGTTTTCATGCCTACTAACCCAACATTCATTCTGGTGCCCTTGGATCAAAGAATAATTTCAACTTTCAAGTCTTATCACTTAAAAAATATATTTCATAAAGCTATAGCTTCTCTAGAAAGTGGTTCCTTTGATGGATCTGGGCAAAATAATTGAAAACCTACTGGAAAGGATTCACCATTCTAGATGCCATTGAGAACATTCATGATTTAAAAAAGAAGATCAAAATAGCAACATTAGGAGAAGTTGGGGCTGGGCTTGGTGGTTCACGCCTATAATCCCAGCACTTTGGGAGGCCAAGGCACGTGGATCATGAGGTCAGGAATTTGAGACCAGCCTGGCCAACATAGTGAAATCCTGTCTATACTATAAACAGAAAAAAAATTAGCTGGGCCTGGTCGGGGGTGACTGTAATCCCAAACACTTGGGAGGCTGAGGCAGGAGAATTGCTTGAATACGGGAGGTGGAGGTTGCAGTGAGCTGAGATCGCATCACTGCACTCCAGCCCAGGCAAGACTTCATCTCAAAAAAATAAAAGAAAGAGAGAGAAGTTGGGAAGATTATTCCAACCCTCACTGATGACACAGGGGTTCACGACTTCTGTGGAGGAAGTAACTGCAGATATGGTGGAAATAACAAGAGCACTAGAATCAGAGACAGAGCCTGAAGATCTGGCGAGACTGCAGCAGCCTCTGGAGAAAACGTGAGTGGGTGAGTTGCTTCCACGGATGAGCAAAGAAAGTGGTTTCTTGAGATGAAATCTACTCGTGGTGAAGACAGTGTAAACAATGTTGAGATGACAACAGATTTAGAATAAACTTGGTACAGCAGAAGGAAGGCTTGACAGGATTGAACCCAATGATTTACAATAATACATAAACTTAGTTGGTACAGCAGTACGAAGTTTTGACAGCATTGAATCCAATTTTGAAAGTTCTACTGTGGGTAAAAAGCTATCATCTTATGCTACAGATAATTCTTTTGTGAAAGGGAGAGTCAATTGACACAGCAAACTTCAATGTTGTCTTATTTTAAGAAATTGCCACAGCCACCCCAACGCTCAGCAACCACCACCTTACATTAAGGTAAGACCCTCCATCAGCAAGAAGACTGAAACTTGGCCAGGTGCAGTGGCTCACACCTGTCATCCCAACACCTTGGGAGGCCAAGGTGGGTGGATTGCTTGAGCCCAGGACATCAAGGCAACATGGCAAAACCCCATCTCTACAAAAAAAGAAAATACAAAAATTAGCTGGACACGGTGGCATGCACCTGTAGTCCCAGCTAGTCAGGAGTCTGAGGTGGGGGTTTGATTGAGCATGAGGTTGAGGCTGCAATTACTCCAGCCTGAGCCACAGAGTAAAACCCTGTCACGAACACAAAAAAAGATTGCAGCTTTCTGAAGGCTCAGATGACTGTTAGCACTTGTTAACAATAAAGTATTTGTAAATTAAAGTGTGCATACTTTGTAGACATATGCTATTGCACACTTTATACAGCACAGTATAAACATACTTTTACATGCACTGGGAAACCAAAAGAAATTGTATAAAACTTTATTGCAGTGGTCTGGAACCAAACCCACATATATCTCTGATGCATGGACGTCCTGTATTGTACACTTAAAAAAATACTTAAGAGGGTATATTTTATGTGAAATGGTCATCTCATTTTTTTTTTTTGAGACGGAGTCACACTCTGTTGCCCAGGCTGGAGTGCAGTGGCACGATCTCGGCTCTCTGCAAGCTCTGCCTCCCGAGTTCACACCATTATCCTGCCTCAGTCTCCCAAGTAGCTGGGACTACAGGTGCCCGCCATCACGCCTGGCTAAATTTCTGTATTTTTAGTAGAAACGGGGTTTCACTGTGTTAGCCAGGATGGTCTTGATCTCCTGACCTCGTGATCCACCTGCCTTGGCCTCCCAAAGTGCTGGGATTACAGGCGTGAGCCGCCACTCCCGGTCTCATTTTTTAAAAAGGGTGAGAATGAGAAATATATGGGGAGTGATTGTCAAGTTTACGGCATTATTTGTTGTGATGAGACCTGGGGCGAATACTTATCCCTATACTCATTAAGATGTATATATTCGGTGTCACACGCCTGTAATCCCAGCACTTTGGGAGGCCGAGGCAGGTGGATCATCTGAGGTCAGGGGTTCGAGACCAGCCTGGCCAACATGGTGAAACCCTGTCTCTACTAAAAAAATACAAAAATTAGCCAGGCGTGGGGGCGCAAGCCTGTGATCCCAGCTACTCAGGAGGCTGAGGCAGGAGAATTGCTTGAACCCGGGAGGCGGAGGCTGCAGTTAGCTGAGATCGTGTCACTGCACTCCAGCCTGGGCAACAAGAGTAAAACCTCCGTAACACACACACACACACACACACACACACACACACAAGGTATATATTAAATATGTGTAATTTTTGTGTGTCAACCACACCTTAGCTTTATTTTATTTTATTTTTTTGAGACAGAGTCTCTCTCTGTCACCCAGGCTGGAGTCCAGTGGTGCAATCTCGGCTCACTGCAAGCTCCACCTACCAGGTTCACACCATTCTCCTGCCTCAACCTCCGGAGTAGCTGGAACTACAGGCACCCGCCACCACGCCCGGCTAATTTTTTGTATTTTTAGTAGAGATGGCGTTTCACCGTGTTAGCCCGTATGGTCTCGATCTCCTGACGTGATCTGCCTGCCTCAGCTTCCCAAAGTGCTGCGATTACAGGTGTGAGCCACCACGCCCAGACAATTTTTATTTTTTTGAGACAGAGCCTCACTCTGTCACCCAGGCTGGAGTGCAGTGGCAGTATCTTGGCTCACTGCAACCTCTGCCTCCCATGTTCAAGCAATTCTCCTGCCTCAGTCTCCCGAGTAGCTGGGAATACAGATGCATGCTATCACGCCTGGCTAATTTTTTGATTTTTAATAGAGATGAGGTTTCACCATGTTGGCCAGGCTGGCCTCAAACTCCTGACCTCATGTGATCTGCCCACCTCAGCCTCCCAAAGTGCTGGGATTACAGGTGTAAGCCACTGCACCCAGCAATTTTTAAATATATATAATTAAAAATTAATAAAAAACAGGTATTTGCAAGGTTCTGTTTAGTTATATGCTTATTATTCTTTATCTTTATGTCAGGTTGCTGTGTCAATACACTTAGGAGATCATAGTTTCTAAATTGAAATACAAATAAATATGTCTGAAATTTTTTTTTCTTTTTTTTTGAGACGGACTCTCATTCTGTCACCCAGGCTGGAGTGCAGTGGTGCAATCTCAGCTCACTGCAACCTCCGCCTCCCAGATTCAAGTGATTCTCCTGCCTCAGCCTCCAGAGTAGCTGGGATTACAGGCAACCGCCATGACACGCAGCTAACTTTTATATATTTTTTTTCTATTTTTAGTAAAGACAGGTTTCACTATGTTGGCCAGGGTGGTCTCCAACTCCTGACCTCAGATGATCCTCCCGCCTCGGCCTCCTCAAGTGCTGGGATTACAGGTGTGAGCCACTGTGCCTGGCCTGGAATTTTTTTCTAAAATTTACATTTCTGAGTTAAGAATGCTTAAAATATTATAAAAACAGAAGCACAATTCATTATGTGTTTCATTAATTACCTTTATTAAAAACAACACAATTATATTACAATAGGACAAAAAATGTTTAAGCAAATGAAAACGAAACCATGACATACCCAAACTCAGGAGGAGGCAACAAAGGCAGTGCTAAAGGGAAGCTTACAGCTGCAGATGCTTAAATTAAAAAGAAGAAAGATCTCAAACCCATGCTAAAGGGAAGCTTACAGCTGCAGATCCTTAAATTAAAAAGAAGAAAGATCTCAAACCCGTGCTAAAGGGAAGTTTACAGCTGCAGATGCTTAAATTAAAAAGAAGAAAGATCTCAAACCCTTGCTAAAGGGAAGCTTATAGCTGCCGGTGCTTAAATTAAAAAGAAGAAAGATCTCAAATCAATAACCTAACATTACACCTGAAGAAGGAAAAAAAAAACTAATGACAATCCAAGCAAAAGGAAGAAAATAACAGATTACAGCAGAGATAAGCAGAATAAGACCAGAAAAAAAGGAAAAAAAACACTGAGTTTGTTTTTTTAAAGATCAATAAAAATTTTAAAACTCACAGCTATATTAAGAAAAAAAGAGAAATCTCAAATACTACAATCATAAATAAAAGAGTTGACAGTACAACACATGCCACAGAAATGAAAAAGATTACAAGACACTAATGTGAGCAACCATATGCCACCAAACTGGGCAACCTAGAATAAATTTATAAATTCCTAGAAACACAAACCACCATACTGCATCACGGAGAAATAAAAAATCCAAAGAGACCTGTAACTAGTAAGAAGATTCAACCAGTAATCAAAAACCCCACCAAAAAGAAAATTCCAGGTCCAGATAACTTCACTGGAAAATTTTACCAAACATTTCAAGAAGAATTAATTCCAATCCTCTGCAAAATCTTCCAAAAATGTTCAAAAAACCAGAAGGGGACATTCCAATCCATTCTATCAGGTCAACATTTATCTGGTTCCAGAGCCAGATGAACACCTTTTGTAATAAAAACACTCAAAGAATTAGTAATATATGGAAACTCCTCAGTAAATAAAGATTATACATGAAAAGCTCACAGCTAACATCATACTCAATCGTGAAAAACTAAAATCTTTTCCTCTAGGATCAGGAATAAGATAGCAACTTCTCTTCCTGCCACTTCTATTCACCACAGCACTGGAATTTCTACTTAGAATAATTAGGCAAGAGAAAGTAATAAAAACATGCCGATCGGAAAGGAAAAAGTACAAAATTTTGTTCACAGACAACAAGATGTAATGTGTAAAAATTCTGAAATTCCACAAAATACTGGTAGAATAATGAAATTCAACAAAGTTTCAGGATATGGTAACACTCTCAAGTCAGTTGCATTTCTATAAACTAACAATGAACAATCTGCAAATAAAATTTTAAAAAGAGGCCAGGTGCAGTGGCTCACACTTGTAATCCCAGCACTTTGGGAGGCCAAGGCGGGTGGACCACCTGAGGTCAGGAGTTCGTGACCAGCTGGGCCAACCCCATCTCTAATATAAATAGTAAAACTCTATCTCTATTAAAAATACAAAAATTAGCTGGGCATAGTGGCAGACACCTGTAGTCCCAGCTACTTGGGATGCTGAGGCAGGAGAATTGCTTGAACTTGGAAGTTGGAGGTTGCAGTCAGCTGAGATTGTGCCACTGTGCTCCAACTTAGGAAACAGAGTGAGACGCGGTCTCAAAAAAAGAAAGAAAGGAAAGAAAGAGAGAGAAAGAAAAGAAAAGAAAAGAATAGAAAAGAAAGAGAAAACAAAAGAAATTTTTAAAAAGAATGACATTTGGCCAGGTGCGGTGGTTCATGCCAGCAATCCCAGCAGTTTGGGAGGCCGAGGCGGGCAGATCACCTGAGGTCACAAGTTCAAGACTAACCTGGTCAACATGGAGAAACCCTGTCTCTACTAAAAATACCAAAAAGTTAGCTGGGCGTGGTGGCGTGCACCTGTGATCCCAGGTACTTGAGAGGCTGACGTTGGAGAATTGCTTGAATAAGGAAGGTGCAGGTTGCAGTGACCTGAGATAGTGCCACTGCACTCCAGCCTGGGAGACAGAGCAAGACTCCATCTCAAAAAAAAAAAAAAAAAAAGAATTACATTTACAAAAGCATTAAAAAAATTAGAGGCTGGGCGCGGTGGCTCACGCCTGTAATCTCAGCACTTTGGGAGGCTGAGGCGGGCGGATCACGAGGTCAGGAGATCAAGACCATGTTGGCTAACACGGTGAAACCCCGTCTCTACTAAAAATACAAAAAATTAGCCGGGTGCCTTGGCGGGCGCCTGTAGTCCCAGCTACTCGGGAGGCTGAGGCAGGAGAATGGCGTGAACCCGGGAGTCGGAGCTTGCAGTGAGCTGAGATCGCGCCACGCCACTGCAGTCCGGCCTGGGCGAAAGAGTGAGACTCTGTCTTAAAAAAAAAAAAAAAAAAAAAAAAAAATTAGAAATAAGCTTAACCAAGAGGGCAAAAGATTTGAACACAGAAAACTACAAAACACTGTTGAAAGAAATTAAACACAAATAAATGAAAAGAAAAGCTGGGTTTGCAGATTAGATGATTTCATCTTGGAATGATGTCAACACTACTCGAAGTGACCTAGATTCAATACAATCCTTATAAAGATTCCAATGACATTTTTGATAAACAGAAAAACCTATCCTAAAATTCATATGGAATCTCCAGGGCCCATGAATAGGCAAATCGATCTTGAAACAGAACAAAATTAAAGGTCTCAAAACAATTACAAAACTGCAATAAGCCAAAAAAAAATGTGGTCATGGCATAAATACACTCTTGACACACTTATGGACCAACACAACAGAGACCTCAGAAACCAACCCTGGCATATATGGTCCGATGATCTTCCACAAGGATGCCAAGACCACTCAATGGTGAAGGACAGTTTCTGCAACAAATTGTGTTGGGAAAATTTTATATCTACATGCAAAACAGTGAAGTTGGACTCTTACCTTATAACACGTTAAAATTAATTCAAAGTGAATTATAAACCTAAATGTAAAACTAGAACTATCAAACTCCTAGGGAAAACAAATTTGGAAAATGCTTTATGACGATGAATTTGTCAATAATTTTTAGGATATGACATTAAAAGCTCAGGCAGTAAAAGCAAAAATATATCAAACCTAAAAACTTCTGTACCTCAAAGGTCACAACCAACAGGGTAAAAGGCAAACTGTAGAATAAATAAAATGCCAGTTGAGAGTTCCTTATTTGAAATGCTTGGGATGTGTTTCAGATTTTGTAATATTTGCACTATTCTTACTGGTTGAGCATTTCGAATTCAAACACCTGAGTCTGAGATGCTCCAATAAGCATTTCCTTTGAGTGTCATGTTGGCACTCTAAAAGTTTCAGACTTTGGAGCATTTGGGATTTCAGATTTTTGGATCAGAGACATTCAACCTATAGTTGCTCATCATGTATCTCATAAGAAGTGAACATACAGAATACGTAAAGAACTCCTACAGAGAGACTACCAGAAGCAGAGAGGAGCAAACACATTTTCACACTAGGGCACCTCCTATCTCTCCTGGATTCCAATTAGGGCAGAGTAAGTGCTAGTTCTCTGCCAACCTAGGATTAGGCCCTGCAGCTGCAGTGAAAATAATCACAGAAGAAAACTAAGAAATAAAAAATGGAGAAAGTGAGACATCAAACTAGAATTACTAGAAACCCCTAGGAAGAAGGAAAAAAAAAACAAAACAGAAAAACAATCAAACCAGTTAATTAAACCTTGGTGTGACCAGAAGATCAGGGTTTCCTAAAGGAGTGGAAATTTATTGACTTGAAGAGTATTTATTGATTACTGATTTGAAGAGGAAGAAAAACCATGAATGGTCTAAAGCAAAAGCCTAGTGTCTGAAGAAGTCAGTAGGGTGAAAACAAGAGCTGGCCAGAATGTCCACAGATGGTGACAAGTTTGCAAAGCCTTTACTAGACTACTTGTGAGGCTAACTAGAGGCCAAGGAGCCAACACTGCCCCTGTCCTTACAGAGAGACCCTACAGAGGATTCCCAGATATACATGGAAGGACAACATCTTGTCAGGTCCTCTCTGTGCAGATGTGGTTATCATTCCAAATAATGAGCTCCAGCCCCAAGACTGTTCCATCCTCAATTGCTTTGAGTGGGCAAAGTAGGCTCTCCACACATGAGCTACATGTAGGTTCCTTGGGTACCCAGATGGGAGCCGTGAAACGCAAACCTTCCATGGTCAGGTCCGTATCTGTTTCCTGCCTTTTCCCCAGCAATCCCCAGGCCTCAGCAGCAGTGGTCTACCTCTGCTGATTCTCATTCAGAATCTAAACTTAGAAACAATTAGAACCTAGACCCCAATTCTATCTGAAAGTAACAGAATAACATAATCTATACCCTGCAGCATGACTGTTTGCCCAACGTAATGAGGATGAACTGAGAGATAATGAATGACCATGACCCTGGCCCAAGTAACAAGAATGAACTGTGAGATAAATGAATGATCATGACCAAAAAACCCCACTACAACACAACAACAAAATAAAGTGATTAAAAAATGGACAAAGAACATTTATCCAAAGATGCAAAGATGATATAAAAATAGCCAACAGATACATGAGATATATGAGAAGATGTGTAACATCACTAGTCATTAAAGAAATGCAAATAGAAACCACAATGGGACATCACTTCTAACCCAACAGAAAGTAACAAGTGCAGGTGAAACTGAAACCCTTGAACACTGTTGGTGGAAATATGAACTGGCTCCTCACAAAAAATAAAATAAAATGACCATATGATCCAGGCATCCAACTTCTACAGAGACAGAATAACTAGTAGCAGGAACTCCAACAGATATGTGCACACCTGTGTTCACAGGAGCATTACACAGCCACAAGTGGAAGAAACCAAAACGTCCATCCAGGAATAGATGGATAAACAAAAGGATATATATATAGAGAGAGAGAGAGAGAGAAAATATATATATATATATGAAGAAATATTATTCAGCCATAGAAAGGAAGAAAATCCTGACACATCTGACATATAACATGGAACCTACTTACAAAACAACAAATATTATATAACCCTAGGTATATAAGCCAAAGTTTTAGAAACACAAAGTAGAATAGTACTTGCCAGGAGGTGGAAGGAAGGGGGAATTAATAGTTGTTGAATGGGTATAGAGTTTTCCAAGATAAAAAAAAAAATCTAGAAATCTGCTACACAACACTGTAAATATTCTTAACTCTACAAAACTGTACACTTACAACTGGTTATGATGGTAAATTTTAAGGTATGTGTTTGTTACCAAAATTAGAAATAATAAATTATTTATAAAAAATGATATTTTTTGACACAGGATCTTACTCTGTTGCCCTGGCAGGAGTGCAATGGCATGATCACAGCTCATTGCAGCCTCAGCCTCCCAGGCTCAAGCAACCCTCCCACCTGAGCCTCCCGAATAGTTGGGACTACAGGTGCACACCAAGATGTCAGGCTAAAGTTTGGTTTGGTTTTTTGTAGAGAGGGTTTTCCCATGTTGCCCAGGCTGGTCTCAACCTCCTGGGCTCAAGCAATCCACCTCCCTTGGACTCCCACAGAGCTGAGATTACGAGCATAAGCCAACATGCCCAGCCTATAAAAAATTATTTCAAAAAGCCAAAAGATTAATCAAACTGGAATATTTAGAAATATTTAACCCAAAAGAAGTTAGGAAAGAATATATAGAAGATCAAAAGACAGACGAAGACCAGGCATGGTGGCTCATGCTTGTAATCTGAACAATTTGGGAGGCCAAGGTGGGTAGGTTGCTTGAGCTAAGGAGTTCAAGACCAGCCTGTGCAACATGGCAAAACTCTATCTCTACAAAAAATATAAAAATTAGCCAGGTGTGGTGCCATGCACCTGTAGTCCCAGCTACTCAGGGGGATCAAGTGAGGATTGGTTGGGCCTGGGAGGCAGAGGTTGCAGCGAGCCAAGATTGCACCATTGCACTACAGTCTGGGTGACAGAGCAAGACCCTGTCTTAAAAATAATAAACAAACAAATAGAAAATAACTAGAAAAATGGCAGACCTAAATCCAACCTTAGCAATGATTAGTTACAATGTAACTGGACAAATACTCTACTTAAGACAGAGACTGCCAGACCTGAGAGGAAGGCAAGACCCAACAATATGGCATCCACAGAGACACAATTTAAACACAAAGACACAAACAAAGTATGAGAAAAAATATGCTATGCAGACACTAATCATAAAAATATGCTATCCAGACACTAATCATAAAAAGCTTCAACAGAGATGTTAACACTAGATGAAAGAGGCTTCAGAGCAAAATATATCACCAGAAATAAACAGGGTAATTTAATAAAAATAAAAGAATCAGAGACGATGATGTTACAATTAAAAATTGTGCCTCAAAATGCACACAAAGTACACACACACACACAACCTCAAAGTATGTGAATCAAAAACAACAGAACAAAAGCAGGAAATTGACAATGCAAAATTATAGCTGGTGAATTAATACTGCTCTCTCAGTAACTGATGGGACAACCAGATAAAAATATTGGAAAAATATGGATCTAAATGACAAAATCCTGACCCAAATGGTACTTGGCAGTACCAAGATAGACTGTATGTCGATCGATTGAGAAAAGGTTCAAGCCTGAAATACTATACAAAGGATGTTGTCTGAACACTTGAAATTAAATTAGAAACCAACAACAAATTGATAACCAGAAAAGCCTCAAATGTCTGAAAACCAAGTAATAAACTTTGAAATACCCTGTGAGTCAAAAAAGTATTCACAAGGGGAACTGGAATGTATTTGGAACAAACTTGTTATAAAAATCTCATTTCTGGTAGACTAAAGGTGACAACTTCTTTCCTGCTCCTCTCTCTGTGAGGACCAATTCCCCTTAAACCTTGACCAAACTACTGACTTATTTGGCCAACAGAAGGTGACAAAGGTGGTATTTGGGGACTTCAGAAGCCAGGCTGAGAAAACAGAACACTTATCCAGGAGAAAGCCAGTCACCAGGCAGGAAATCCCACTCCCCTGAGACCTCATGATGGAAACCACACGGCCAGTCCATGACTAGCTACATGCATTGACATCCCCCACTGAGCCTCCAGCAACACCGACTCCCAACAACTAGTGAGCCTCCAGCAACATCCACTCCCAACCGCTAGTGAGCCACCCTGCACACCACCTCACTGTGCTTTCACACAATCCAGCTTGGCTGCAACTGTGTGTGAGATGAGCTGACCACCAAGACTCTCTAAGCCAAAAAACAAGTAATAATGAGTTGTTTTAAGCTGCCAAGTTTTGGGGATGGTTTCTTCAGAATAGATAACTGGAACAGAATATGACAGCTGGAAATGAGCTGCTGTGGTAATCAGAAGCTACAATATGTGACACGACTGTGAGGCTGATCTGTAACTGGGCCTCAAGGAGACCATTCATGCAACCTGGAAGAGCATCAAGACACTTGGTCAGGGCCTGAAGGACGGTGAGAAAATGTCATTGGAAACTGGAGAAAAGGCCTGAGAGTTACATGCTGAGGGACTGTGGGAAAACTATGGCCACAACATGGAAACTGAAAGGGCACTGCACCATCTCAGGGATCTGCCTAAGGAGACATCTGGGAAGAACATGGAAAGTGCTACCAGCCTCCCCTAACTGTCACTGAATAAATATGACAGGAGAGGGACATGATCTAAAGAAGAAGGTTCAGTTTTCAAACAGAATTTAGAGAAAATATAAAGAAATAATTTCTTGTCTCAAAAGGCCAAAGTAAAAAAAAAAAAAAAAAGAAAAGAAAAGGAAAAAAAATGAAAAAGAAGCCATTGAATACCCTATTGACCATAAGAAAAAGGCAGGGAAAGTTGGTCAACGGCAACCCAGGCACTGAAGGAAAAAGAACATGGAGAATGACAAAAGCCCAGAGGGAAGAGTAAAAGGACACAAACACCATTCTCAGGGACCAGGACTGGGCGCCGTTCTCAGGGACCAGGACTGGGCACTAATCACAGAACTGTAACAGGCACCCCATGGGAATGACCAACTGTTAGACGGGGCCTGCAGGGCAGCACTTCCCTCTTGCCTCCCACCAACAGCTTCTAAAGGGAAATGCCGACTGTTTTCACACCAGTCCCCTCACTGCGGCTGAGTTTGTGGGCTCAGATGATAGGTCATAACAACCTGATTCAGTCCTCACTGTGGCTGAGTGTGTCAGGGGCAGACGACAGGCCACCACAACCTGATTCAGTCCTCACTGTGGCTGTGTGTGGGGGGGTCAGATGACAGGTCACCACAACCTGATTCAGTCCTCACTGCGGCTGAGTGTGTGTGGGTGCAGATGACAGGTCACCACAACCTGATTCAGGATTCAGTTGGGCTACCAGCCAGTGCCATAAGGAAAACCTTTCTGGGGCTCTTGAGAGGGGCAAAGCATAATTTGCATGTAGGAGAAATGTTAATAGTTTGTGGCCAGAGGACAAGCTGTGGTTTATTAAAGACTGCTGCAGGTTCCTACTATGCTTCTCATCAAGAGGTGGAATCTAATCACCTTCCCCCCTTGAATCATGGCTGGTCTCAGTGATGAGTGCGACTGGGCAGTGTGGCAGGAGAGATGCTCTGGGACTTCTGAGGGGCGATCATGAGAGTCCTTACAGCTTCTGCCTGGGCCTCTTGGACACACACCCTGGGAGAAGCCAGACAAACCTGACTACCTGACGCTGCCAGACTGGGAGGAAGTCCGTGCTGGCCACGAAGAGAGGGCTGGGTGCCTGCTCCATGTCCCCAGCCACTAGAGTCCTTCCAGATGAGACCAAGGACATCATGAAGCAACCAACCAACACCGCCCTGTCCAGTGTCTTGACCCAGAAAATTGTGACATGTAAAAAGAATAAATTCCTGGTTTAAGCCAGTAAGGTTACTGGTACATTGTTACATCTCAGATAATTAAAACCTTGAAAAACTCATGAGAGATCACAAGTAGAACCTTGATCTGAAACGGCATGTAGCGATTTATATTGAGTATTAGGTTAAAAATGCAAGAATGGAGCATAGTTAATATTTTACGTTAAAGCTAAAACTATAATTGCCTACTTCAAATTTTCAGTTAATTAGTTTGTCACTTTTTGTTCTTAACCAAGAAATCAACTAGTTTTAGTCCATAAACAGTTAGAACTGATGCACACATCCGTTTCTCCTTACTCATTTTAAACAACTATCTGAAATAGGAAGTGTAATATAATCTTTAAAGAATCTGAAAACATGACAGAAATGTTTAAACTATAAACATATATTGTATATGTTAGCATATTGTATACATTGCATATTAACATAAGCTAGAATCATTGACATAAATTTATATAAACAAAAGGTGTAAAATATGACAGTGTTCTTCTTGATTTTTGTCTTTGCATATTTCTTTATTGGCCTTTGTCAAATGTGACCCACTAACTCCTGAATGCTTTCTCTCTCCCCATTGATTCCTAAGGATGTCACCACAGTGTTGGCCAGATGCACAGGTCACAGGGGACTGAATCTCATCACCCCACAAACATACTATTCAGGTTTTGCCAAGAATGACACTGTAAATGTAACGAAGCTTCCGTGCTTGTTAGTGAACACCAACTCAGCTCCTCTCCTGTATTCAGAAATCAGCATGAGATGAAAACAACAAGCAGGCCAGGCACGGTGGCTCACGCCTGTAATCCCAGCACTTTGGGAGGACGAAACATGTGGATCACCTGAGGTCGGGAGTTCGAGACCACCCTGATCAAAACAGAGAAACCCCATCTCTACTAAACATACAAAATTAGCTGGGCATGGTGGCAAATGCCTGTAATACCAGCTACTCAGGAGCTGAGGCAGGAGAATTGCTTGAACCCGGGAGGTGGAGGCTGCAGTGAGCCGAGATCACACCACTGTGCTCTAGCCTGGACAACAAGAGTGAAACTCTGTCTCAAAAGAAAAAAAATTAAAAATAAAAGAACAAGGAAACAAAAGTAACAAGGCTTGACACCAGATGAGCCTGAATCTAAGCAAGAAAAGCCCAGAAGAAATCCCATTTTGGGTCACTGGTTGCATGGTAGTAATACCATACACATAAGGGAAGAGAGGAGGATGTGGCTTTCACTTTGAATTTTTTGAGCTTAAGGTAACTTTTGCGTAGCTACAAAGAAGCATTCAACAGAGAGTTAAACCTATGATGGAAAGACTGAAGGGGTCCAAGCTGTAGAGAAACAGGACTGCAAACCACAAAGGGCTGAATCAGTCAAGGAGAACTGCAGGGCGGGATGAACAGGGACTAATGGAACATTTGGATAAGCTGTTGAGAAGAAAGGAGAATTCAGAGAAAAAGAACTGTCAGTGAGGTCATAATAGGAACTGTTACAGTGAACTAAATATGGCCTGGGAAGGACTCTGTACTTCTAGATTTGAGTCCCTGTGGACAAACTGCAACCTAACTTAATAGGTAGGAAGACTGAAAACCTAACTTAGGAGTATGCGCCTGTAACTATAGCTGAGTCCTGGCCAATCCCAACAGCCAAACTTCTGCCACTCACACACTGCTGAGTGTTCAGCTGTGTTCAGATAAGGCAAATGCTGAGCACTGGAACCAGTCCAGTTGCTTCTGGACCTCACTGCTGAGAATGGTAAGGGACCCAGTTGCTTCTGGACCTCACTCCTCACTTCAGATTTCTGTACATCACGTTGCCTTTATTGTCTATAAATCTTCCACCATGTAGCTGTGCTGGAGTCTCACCAAATCTGCTGTGATTCTGGGGGCTGCCTGATTCGTGAATCATTCATTGCTCAATTAAGTTCCTTTAAATTTAATTCAGCTGAAGATTTTCTTTTAATAGATGGTGTCAGAAGTGGGATCTGTGGGAGCAGGACTGCTAGGGCCTCCGGAGCTATAGTGTGGTGAGCAGCGTTGCTAGGGCTTCTAATGACCCCCAGGAGTGCTGAGGTACAAGAAAGGCACCTGCAAGGACTGCTCTGTGATGGCAGCAGTGGTCCACATGGAGCAGTTGCTACGGAGACACTGGCTGCAGTGGGGAGGAGTGGCTGGGGCTGTGCGCTCCTCGAAGCTGGTGGGAGCCAGGAAGGGGTGGGAGCCCCACCCCTTCTAAATTGGCAGGCAGGAGCCCTGCCCTCCCAGGCACAGCTGCAGCCATCCAGCCATGACTGCAAACCCGGGCATCTTTGCACTCTCAGAGGCCCAGCAAGCCCCCCTGCCCCCACAGGCTCAGTCGTACCTGGTCCCACCACCTGGCATCTCTCCACTCCCAGAGCCCACTCCAACTTCGGATACAAGTTGAGGCTGAACCCAGGCACAGTCGCAACCTGGCCCGGTTTGTGCAAGCTCAGGGCAGTGCTGACATGCCAGCCCCCTGCCACCTCGGCCCCCTCCAGAATTTGGGCAGTGACGAGCACAAGAGGGAGGTTGAGGTGGGGCTAAGAGTGGCTCAGCACTGGCCTGAAGGCACTCCTCAGCTCGAACAGCCTCGGCAATGTGGGCACAGCTAACCACAGTGCGTCTCTCTCAGCTGCTGAGAGCTGAACAGACGTTGGGATGACCTGCCTGCAGAAAGGAGTTACCCACTGCAGTTCTCCTCTGAGCTGTACTGTTGCTCAATAAAGCACCTCTTCACCTTGCTCACCTTCTACTTGCCCACATACCTCATTCTTCCTGGACTCAGGACAAGAACTCGGGACCTGCAAACTAGCAGGGCTGAAAGAGGTGTAACATAAACAGGGCTGAAACGCCCCCCTTGCTTGCCAAATTGCAGGCAAGAAGAAGAGAAGAGA
Organism: Homo sapiens; assembly: GCF_000001405.40. Lineage (NCBI taxonomy): Eukaryota > Metazoa > Chordata > Mammalia > Primates > Hominidae > Homo > Homo sapiens. The sequence continues at coordinate 103,026 of NW_021159991.1, read as the reverse complement.
GAAGGAGACAAGAGCTGTGGCCCTTCAGGGAGCCCAGACCTAGGAGCTCCCCAAGCCAGGGCTGTGATGCCTTCTTTGGGGCTCTGCAGTTCCTGCATCTCCAAGTTTCTGGGCGCCACTGCATTCCCTGATACACACAGTGGAAGCTGTTTGCAGTCGGTCTGGTCCAGCTGCAGCCTCACAGGGAGCTGGCACCTGTGCCTGTACCTGGAGCTGCCCACCTCACTGCAGCTGGCATGCTTGGCTGTGTGCAGTGGCCAGATCCCATGCTTGCTTGCTCACACACCCTTCACTGCTCTGTACCCAGCTCACCCTTGGCAGGTGTGGGATCCACACCACTAGCATGAGCCGAGTGGACGGAACGAACCCAGTGGGCCCGAGCAAAACACAGGTAAAGGTGCCACCAGCCAGAGGTTTCAGGCAGAAAAGTGACGTCACAGGATTCTGTAACACTTGTGCCCTTTGACCTCTCAGAGCAGCTGGGGATCATGGTAAATTCTCTCTCGGATTTCAGAGCTCCATGGATTTGTGTTTTGAGCTCTGAGTTTCTTTGAGCAAATTTCTGTTCCAAACTGCTATCCAGCCATGACTGGCTGGATGTTTTAGAAGTTATGACAGAAACGGGACCGGGTCCAGGATCAGATTTGATCCAGTAGTTAACTGGCTTGAATCCAGTTCCAGTTAGAGGCCCCCTACATCTGAATGGGTCAGAAGGAAAGTGGTAGCAAATGATAATATTGGAGGATTGTAAAATTTGGCTTTTCAAAATTCACAGGGATTTTTGTGTTCTACCCCTTTGTTTCATTTTCCTCGCATGCTTAGGTAGGAAAAAAAAATCATTGGCTAAGTCAATCAAGGGAACCTGGGAGTAAAGCCAATATATTAGGTAAAAATAGGATCCTTAATTTCTGGAAAACTTAGTTCCTTCTGGCTAATTCATTAGGCCTGGGAAGCAGCAAAGTCTTACAGAAATGGCAAAATCTTACTAAAGATAACTTACAGTGGAACATTCCAAATGAATAATGCCCTGAAGTGCATTTAAAAATGAGGGCTCCCAAATTAGTCTCATCTAGGGATGCCTATTAATATGCAGAAGCTTCTAAAAAGATTTAGAGGTGGCACGGCCTATCTGGGAGCAAGTTTGGGTCTTACCAGTTTGACACTGGGTGCTAAGCAAAGTGGCTCGTGTCTATGTTTTGTCACATGTATTTTGCTCTGAGCAGAATGAAAAATGTTAATTTGGTTACTCCAAGCAACCTCTTGGGCAGCATGTGGCAAAGCTGAGTGGATTCTTCCTGTGGCTCCATGATTTCCATTGTGATGCAGCTTGGCCCCAGAGCTATAATATGGAGAGGAGGGTGACAGAGCAAGAGATTATCTTTAAAAAAAAATGGCCAGGGGCAGTGGCTCACGCCTGTAATCCCAACACTTGGGGAGGCCGAGGCAGGTGGATCACCTGAGGTCAGGAGTTCAGGGCCAGCCTGACCAACAAGGAAAAACCCCGTCTCTACTAAAAACACAAAATTAGCTGGGCATGGTGTGGCATGCCTCTAATCCCAGCTACTCAGGAGGCTAGGGCGGGAGAATTGCTTGAACCTGGGAGGCAGGGGGTTGCAGTAAACCGAGATCACATCATTGCACTCCAGCCTGGGCAACAAGAGGGAAAATCCACCTCCAAAAAAGAAAAGAATACTAGATTGGCCTATAAGGTTTTATGAAAAAGTGGGTGACATTTGGCTTTCTCTCTTTAAAGAAGATTTTCAGAAAATATTAAAAAATAATGGGAGGAGGAGCCAAGATGGCCGAATAGGAACAGCTCAAGTCTACAGCTCCCAGCATGAATGACGCAGAAGACCGGTGATTTCTGCATTTCCATTTGAGGTACTGGGTTCATCTCACTAGGGAGTGCCAGACAGTGGGCGCAGGACAGTGGGTGAAGTGCACTGTGCACTAGCTGAAGCAGGGTGAGTCATTGCCTCACTCAGGAAAGTGCAAGGGGTCAGGGAGTTAGCTCCCTTTCCTGGTCAAGGAAAGGGGTGACAGACAGCACCTGGAAAATCGGGTCACTCCCACCCTAACACTGTGCTTTTCTGACGGGCTTAGGAAACGGCACACCAGGAGATTATATCTGGCACCTGGCTCGGAGGTCCTACGCACACGGAGTCTCGCTGATGGCTAACACAGCAGTATGAGATCAAACTGCAAGGCAGCAGCAAGGCTGGGGGAGGGGCACCGGCTATTGCCCAGGCTCTCTTAGGTAAACAAAGCAGCCAGGAAGCTCGAACTGGGTGGAGCCCACCACAGCTCAAGGAGGCCGTCCTGCCTCTGCAGGCTCCACCTCTGGGGGCAGGGCACAGACAAACAAAAAGACAGCAGTAACCTCTGCAGACTTAAATGTCCCTGTCTGACAGCTTTGAGGAGAGCAGTGGTTCTCCCAGCATGCAGCTGGAGATCTGAGAATGGGCAGACTGCCTCCTCAAGTGGGTCCCTGACCCCTGACCCCCAAGCAGCCTACCTGGGAGGCACCCCCCAGTAGGGGCAGACTGACACCTCACACGACCAGGTACTCCTCTGAGACAAAACTTCCAGAGGAACGATCAGACAGCAGCATTCGCGGATCACGAAAATCCACGATTTTGCAGACACCACTGCTGATAGCCAGGCAAACAGGGTCTGGAATGGGCCTCTAGCAAACTCCAACAGACCTGAAGCTGAGGGTCATGTCTGTTAGAAGGAAAACTAACAAACAGAAAGGACATCCACACCAAAAACCCATCTGTACATCACCATCATCCAAGACCAAAAGTAGATAAAACCACAAAGATGGGGAAAAAACAGAGCAGAAAAACTGGAAACTCTAAAAAGCAGAGCACCTCTCCTCCGCCAAAGGAACGCTGTTCCTCACCAGCAATGGAACAAAGCTGGACAGAGAATGACTTTGACGAGTTGAGAGAAGAGGGCTTCGGACCATCAAACTACTCCGAGCTACAGGAGGAAATTCAAACCAAAGGCAAAGAAGTTGAAAACTTTGAAAAAACTTTAGACGAATGTATAACTAGAATAACCAATATAGAGAAGTGCTTAAAGGAGCTAATGGAGCTGAAAGCCAAGGCTCGAGAACTATGTGAAGAATGCAGAAGCCTCAGGAGATGATGAGATCAACTGGAAGAAAGTGTATCAGTGATGAAAGATGAAATGAATGAAATGAAACAAGAAGGGAAGTTTAGAAAAAAAAGAATAAGAAGAAATGAACAAAGCCTCCAAGAAATATGGGACTATGTGAAAAGACCAAATCTGCATCTGATTGGTGTACCTGAAAGTGACGGGGAGAATGGAACCAAGTTGGAAATCACTCTGCAGGATATTATCCTGGAGAACTTCCCCAATCCAGCAAAGCCAGCCAACATTCAGATTCAGGAAATACAGAGAATGCCACAAAGATACTCCTCGAGAACAGCAACTCCAAGACACATAATTGTGAGATTCACCAAAGTTGAAATGAAGGAAAAAATGTTAAGGGCAACCAGAGAGAAAGGTCAGGTTACCCATAAAGGGAAGCCCATCAGAATAACTGCTGATCTCTTGGCAGAAACTCTACAAGCAAGAAGAGAGTGGGGGCCAATATTCAACATTCTTACAGAAAAGAATTTTCAACCCAGAATTTCATATCCAGCCAAACTAAGCTTCATAAGTGAAGGAGAAATAAAATACTTTACAGACAAGCAAATGCTGAGCGATTTTGTCACCACCAGGCCTGTCCTAAAAGAGCTCCTGAAGGAAGCACTAAACATGGAAAGGCACAATCGGTACCAGCCACTGAAAAAACATGCCAAATTGTAAAGAACATCAAGACTAGGAAGAAACTGCGTCAATTAACGAGCAAAATAACCAGCTAACATCATAATGACAGGATCAAATTCACACATAACAATATTAACTTTAAATGTAAATGGACTAAATGCTCCAATTAAAAGACACAGACTGGCTAATTGGATAAAGAGTCAAGACCCAACAGTGTGCTGTATTCAGGAAACCCACGTCACGTGCAGAGACACACATAGGCTCAAAATAAAAGGATGGAGGAAGATCTACCAAGCAAATGGAAAACAAAAAAAGGCAGGGGTTGCAATCCTAGACTCTGATGGAACAGACTGTAAACCAACAAAGATCAAAAGAGACAAAGAAGACCATTACATAATGGTAAAGGGATCAATTCAACAAGAAGAGCTAACTATCCTAAATATATATGCACCCAATACAGGAGCACCAAGATTCATAAAGCAAGTCCTGAGTGACCTACAAAGAGACTTAGACTCCCACACAATAATAATGGGAGACTTTAACACCCCACTGTCAACATTAGACAGATCAATAAGACAGAAAGTTCACAAGGATACCAAGGAATTGAACTCAGCCCTGCACCAAGTGGACCTAATAGACATCTACAGAACTCTCCACACCAAATCAACAGAATATACATTTTTTTCAGCACCACACCACACCTATTCCAAAATTGACCACATACTTGGAAGTAAAGCCCTCTTCAGCAAATGTAAAAGAACAGAAATTAAACTGTCTCTCAGACCACAGTGCAATCAAACTAGAACTCGGCATTAAGAAACTCACTCAAAACTGCTCAACTACATGGAAACTGAACAACCTGCTCCTGAATGACTACTGGGTACATAATAAAATGAAGGCAGAAATAAAGATGTTCTTTGAAACCAACGAGAACAAAGACACAACATACCGGAATCTCTGGGACACATTCAAAGCAGTGTGTACAGGGAAATTTATAGCATTAAATGCCCACAAGGGAAAGCAGGAAAGATCCAAAATTGACACCCTAACATCACAATTAAAAGAACTAGAAAAGCAAGAGCAAACACATTCAAAAGCTAGCAGAAGGCAAGAAATAACTAAAATCAGAGCAGAACTGAAGGAAATAGCAACAAAAAAACGCTTCAAAAAATTAATGAATCCAGGAGCTGGTTTTATGAAAGGATCAACAAAATTGATACACTGCTAGCAGGACTAATAAAGAAAAAAAGAGAGAAGAATCAAATAGACACAATAAAAATAATAAAGGGGATATCACCACTGATCCCTCAGAAATACAAACTACCATCAGAGAATACTACAAGCACCTGTACACAAATAAACTAGAAAATCTAGAAGAAATGGATAAATTCCTCCACACATACACTCTCCCAAGACTAAACCAGGAAGAAGTTGAATCTCTGAATAGACCAATAATAGGATCTGAAATTGTGGCAATAATCAATAGCTTACCAACCAAAAAGAGTCCAGGACCAGATGGATTCACAGCCAAATTCTACCAGAGGTACAAGGAGGAACTGTTACCATTCCTTCTGAAACTATTCCAATCAATAAAAAAAGAAGGAGTCCTCCCTAACTCAATTTATGAGGCCAGCATCATCCTGATACCAAAGCCGGGAAGAGACACAACCAAAAAATAGAATTTTAGACCAATATCCTTGACGAACATTGATGCAAAAATCCTCAATAAAATACTGGCAAACCGAATCCAGCAGCACATCAAAAAGCTTATCCACCATGATCAAGTGGGTTTCATCCCTGGGATGCAAGGCTGGTTCAATATATGCAAATCAATAAACGTAATCCAGCATATAAACAGAACCAAAGACAAAAACCACATGATTATCTCAATAGATGCAGAAAAGTCCTTTGACAAAATTCAACAATGCTTCATGCTAAAAACTCTCAAAAATTAGGTATTGATGGGACTTATCTCAAAATAATAAGAGCTATCTATGACAAACCCACAGTCAATATCATACTGAATGGGCAAAAACTAGAAGCATTCCCTTTGAAAACGGGCACAAGACAGGGATGCCCTCTCTCATCACTCCTATTCAATATAGTGTTGGGAGTTCTGGCCAGGGCAATCAAGCAGGAGAAGGAAATAAAGGGTATTCAATTAGGAAAAGAAGAAGTCAAATTGTCCCTCTTTGCAGATGACATGATTGTATATCTAGAAAACCCCATTGTCTCAGCCCAAAATCTCCTTAAGCTGATAAGTAACCTCAGCAAAGTCTCAGGATACAAAATCAGTGTACAAAAATCACAAGCATTCTTATACACCAATAACAGACAAACAGAGAGCCAAATCATGAGTGAACTCCCATATGCAATTGCTTCAAAGAGAATAAAATACTTAGGAATCCAATTTACAAGGGACGTGAAGGACCTCTTCAAGGAGAACTACAAACCACTGCTCAATGAAATAAAAGAGGATAAAAACAAATGGAAGAACATTCCATACTCATGGATAGGAAGAATCAATATCATGAAAATGGCCATACTGCCCAAGGTAATGTATAGATTCAATGCCATCCCCATCAAGCTACCAATGACTTTCTTCACAGAATTGGAAAAAACTACTTTAAAGCTCATATGGAACCAAAAAAGAGCCTGCATCACCAAGTCAATCCTAAGCCAGAAGAACAAAGCTGGAGACATCACCCTACCTGACTTCAAACTATACTACAAGGCTACAGTAACCAAAACAGCATGGTACGGGTACCAAAACAGAGATATAGACCAATGGAACAGAACAGAGCCATCAGAAATAATGCTGCATATCTACAACTATCTGATCTTTGACAAACCTGACAAAAACAAGGAGTGGATCCCCTATTTAATAAATGGTGCTGGGAAAACTGGCTAGCCATATGTAGAAAGCTGAAACTGGATCCCTTCCTTACACCTTATACAAAAATTAATTCAAGATGGATTAAAGACTTAAATGTTAGACCTGAAACCATAAAAACCCTGGAAGTAAAACTAGGCATTACCATTCAGGACATAGGCATGGGCAAGGACTTCATGTCTAAAACACCAGAAGCAATGGCAACAAAAGCCAAAATTGACAAATGGGATCTAATCAAACTAAAGAACTTCTGCACAGCAAAAGAAACTGCCATCAGAGTGAACAGGCAACCTACAAAATGGGAGAAAATTTTTGCAACCTACTCATCTGACAAAGGGCTAATATCCAGAATCTACAACGAACTTAAACAAATTTACAAGAAAAGAAATACAACCCCATCAAAAAGTGGGTGAAGGATATGAATAGACACTTCTCAAAAGAAGACCTTTATGCAGCCAAAAGACACATGAAAAAATGCTCATCATCACTGGCCATCAGAGAAATGCAAATCAAAACCACAATGAGATACCATCTCACACCAGTTAGAATCACAATCATTAAAAAGTCAGGAAACAACAGGTGCTGGAGAGGATGTGGAGAAATAGAAACACTTTTAAACTGTTGGTGGGACTGTAAACTAGTTCAACGATTGTGGAAGTCAGTGTGGTGATTCCTCAAGTATCTGGAACTAGAAATACCATTTGATCCAGCCATCCCATTAGTGGGTATATAACCAAAGGACTATAAATCATGCTGCTATAAACACACATACACACGTATGTTTATTGCTGCACTATTCACAATAGCAAAGACTTGGAACCAACCCAAATGTCCAACAACAATAGACTGGATTGAGAAATTGTGGCACATATACACCATGGAATACTATGCAGCCATAAAAAATGATGAGTTCATGTCCTTTGTAGGGATATGGATGAAATTGGAAATCATCATTCTCAGTAAACTATCACAAGGACAAAAAACCAATCACTGAATGTTCTCATTCATAGATGGGAATTGAACAATGAGAACACATGGACAAAGGAAGGGGAACATCACACTCTGGGGACTGTTGTGGGGTGGGGGGAGGGGGAGGGATAGCATTAGGAGATATACCTAATGCTAAATGACGAGTTAAGGGGTGCAGCACACCAGACTGGCACATGTATACATATGTAACTAACTGGCACATTATGCACATAAACCCTAAAACTTAAAGTATAATAATAATAATAATAATAATAAAATAAAATTAAAAAATGAAAAATTTGTTTGCCTTGTAAATAAACTACCAAAAAAAAGGAAAAACAAGAGGCAGATTATTTGTGGAGATAAGTCTTCCCCCTATCAATGAGTAAAGATTTTTGCCCTTTAAAAATTTTTTAAGTCATGATTTTAGGTAAATGAATGACTTACGTTGACGTGGAATTCTATTTCATAACATCAAGTGTTTAAACCTTTAATATATTTAATAGGCTTCCCAAAATCAAATTACAACTTCAAAATTTTATGTTCTGACCTCTAACTTTGGGATACTACAGAGGCCCCTGAAGCACCCAAAAGAGAGGTAAACAGGACTATTTAACATGTTAAGTCACATGGCTAGCACTGTCAAAATAAAAAATAATGTTGAACCTTCTTTAGGTTATATTCAGTGTATGTCATCAATCCATTCTAAATTTGTGTAGGATTTCTAAAATTCTTGTATTTTTTTTTTCTGAGAAGGAGTCTTGCTCTGTCACCCAGGCTGGAGTACAGTGGTGCAATCTTGGCTCACTGCAACCTCCACCTCCCGAGTTCATGCCATTCTCCTGCCTCAGCCTCCTGAGTAGCTGGGACTACAGGCACCCACCACCATGCCAGGCTAATTTTTGTATTTTTAGCAAAGACAGATTTCACTGTGTTAGCCAGGATGGTCTCGATCTCCTGACCTCGTGATCCTTCCACCTCGGCCTCCCAAAGTGCGGGATTACAGGCATGAGCCACCACATCCACCCTAATTATGGTTATTAAGTTATTGTAGACCACAGAAATAACCAAATTTCCTTGTCAATTGTCTTTATCTATAACTATTTAAAGTCATTTCCACAGTTAATTGCTTAATGGTGATGCAGTTTCTAAAAACTTCACAAGCATGCAAAATTCTAGAATATGGTGTCTCTTAGAAGATTCATGAAAGAATGAAAAGGATCCTGAAAAACACTCGTGAACACAGATTTTTAATAACTTTAATATAATGGGTAAAAATTCCCCATAAGTTCCCTGATACCCCAAGAATTGGACAGGTTAAGAATTCTCAAAAGTTAGGCTGGGTGCAGCGGCTCACGTCAGCAATCCCAGCACTTTGGGAGGCCAAGGCCAGTGGATCACTTGAGGTCAGGAGTTTGAGACCAGCCTGGCTAACGGTGAAACCCCACCTCTACTAAAAATGTAAAAATTAGTAAAAATTAGCCGGGTGTGGTGGTTTGTGCCTGTAATCCCAGCTACTCTGGAGGCTGAGGCAAGAGAATTGTTTGAACCCAGGAGGTGGAGGTTGCAGTGAGCCAAGATTTTGCCACTGCACTCCAACCTAGGTAACAGAGTGAGACTCTGTCTCAAAAAAAAGCCCAAAAGTTTAATAAATAGACCAACTGGTTTATAAAACTGCTAACCTAAGTAAAACAAAAATTGTATACCAAGGAAATATTTTGCCACATTTGCATGCTAAATCACCAATATTGAAATTGTTTAGGTATATAATTTAAATAAACTCCATGGTCTAAGTCAAATCACCTATAACTACTCATCAGTTACCAGTGCCATGCACGTAATTTGGAGAAACAGCTGGTATTCAAGAGGATGTAAGTCTAATGTTAATTAAGCACAGACTTATGAAGAACCAGGATGGCCACCTTATCCTTCTTAAGTCCTTAAAACTTTTGTTATTAAAAGTTCTGCATTCCATAACTCATCATGGAAAGAGAAAATGATCCAAATTAAATATATTGGTGTGGTGATTTCTAAACTGCTAAAATAGTTTATAACCAATGTTTAGTTTGTCAAACCTATATTTCTAGGAAAACAATCAAAACTTCAGGTACATTTGGTTACCTGATGGGCCATTTAAACATTTTATAAAGGGATTTGATTCAGTTGTCATTTTCAGTGCATGTTTTCTGATTGTATAAAAGCTCTTCCATGCGAGAGAGTTGATGTTAAAACAGTACATTATTACCCTGAAGTGTATTTTCACCAGGTAAAGAAAGCCTTTTATGGTTCGCTGAGGACAGTCAACTCCTTCAAAATCTGGAATCTGATGACTGGATCTTCTGAGAACATCAGAGAAGGACTGCCCTTGCCATCCACATGACAGCAAAACTTTAAAACCTTAAACTTTGGGTTCATAGTCTCACAACTCAGAAAGGTCCTTCCACACTTGGAACCATATACCCATTGGAACCCTTAAGGTAAAGCTAACAAGGACAGTTCCCCCCAGAAGAAGATGGCATCCTTAATGTGAACAGCTTTTCCCACGATCACAGATCAAGACTTCTCTACTATCATGAGACACTTATCTTAAGTATCTGTGCAGCTGCTAACACTTACAGCATGTGGAGAAAACATGGGGTATTATAAAAATTTGGTTGTAGGGAATTAACAAAAAAACCCACTTAGTTAAGCAAGTAAACTCTTTATCTAATTCATTCTTTAATCTATTTGATTTTAGGTGGTTTGATTTATGGGGACCCTGAGTTAGGAGCATATACCAAATTCTTGGTGTTATCCCAACAGTCATAAGAGTCTCCCTGTTGCACTGTACTTACTCAAATGTTTTAAGAGTTTGCATGCAGGCATCTCTAAAATATCAAATGGTATCTCTTCAACTGGAATGACAAGAGATTAAAAAAAAAGGGCAACCGTAAGGACACCATAACCTATGAGTGACATGCTAAACCGGAAACCCAAAACAATGGGGGTGACATGCTAAACCAGAAACCCAAAACAATGGGAGTGATGTACTAAAACGGGAACCCAAAACAATGGGAGTGACGTGCACTAAAACCAGAACCCAAAACAATGGGAGTGACGTGCTAAACAAGAAACCCAAAACAATGGGAGTGACTTGCTAAAACTGGAACCCAAAACAATGGGAGTGACGTGCCAAAAGCGGAAATGAAAACAATGGGAGTGATGTGCTTAAACCAGAACCCAAAACAATGGGAGTGACCTGCGAAACCAGAAACCCAAAACAATGGGAGTGACGTGCTAAACCAGAAACCCAAAACAATGAGAGTGATATACTAAAACTGGAACCCAAAACAATGGGGGTGACGTGCACTAAAATCAGAACCCAAAACAATGGGAGTGACTTGCTAAAACTGGAACCCAAAACAATGGGAGTGATGTGCTAAAACCGGAAATGAAAACAATGGGAGTGATGTGCTAAAACCGGAACCCAAAACAATGGGAGTGACCTGCTAAACCAGAAACCCAAAACAATGGGAGCATCCTGCTAACCCAGAAACCGAAAACAATGGGAGTGACCTGCTAAACCAGAAACCCAAAACAATGGGAGTGACGTGCTAAAACTGGAACCCAAAACAACGGGAGTGACGTGCTAAAACTGGAACCCAAAACAATGGGAGTGACCTGCTAAACCAGAAACCCAAAACAATGGGAGCATCCTGCTAAATCAGAAACTGAAAACAATGGGAGCATCCTGCTAAACCAGAAACCCAAAACAATGGGAGTGACGTGCTAAAACCAGAACCCAAAACAATGGGAGTGACGTGCTAAACCAGAACCCAAAACAATGGGAGTGACGTGCTAAAACTGGAACCCAAAACAATGGGAGTGATGTGCTAAACCAGAAACCCAAAACAATGGGAATGACGTGCTAAACCCGGAACCCAAAACAATGGTAACTAAGAGTGATGCTAAGGCCCTATATTTTAGTCACACTCGCAACTAAGTGAGAACTTGACTGAAAAGGAGGACTTTTTTTTCTAAGACAGAGTCTTGGCCTGTCCCCCAGAGTGGAGTGCAGTGGCAAAATCTTGGCTCACTGCAAGCTCCACCTCCCAGGTTCAGGCCATTCTCCTACCTCAGCCTCCTGAGTAGCTGGGACTACAGGCACCCACCACTACGCTTGGCTAATTTTTTGTATTTTTAGTAGAGATGGGGTTTCACCTTATTAGCAAGGATGGTCTCAATCTCCTGACCTCGTGATCTGCCCACCTCAGCCTCCCAAAGTGCTGGGATTACATGTGTGAGCCACCGCGCCCAGCCAAAAGGAGGAATTTTTTAAGCAAAATTATGGGAGGTCATTGTTTTGAACTAAACTCATGCAATAGGTCCCAACAGACCAAACCAAACCAAAATGGAGTCACTCATGCTAAATGTAACATAATCAAACTAAGACTTTAAGGAAACACATAAATCCTAGAACAAACCAGGTTTTGTTTTTCTCCTGTAAACAGGATGTTCCAGCATAAGAAGACACCTTCTACTCAAGTCCTTGTTCCACCTTTTCAAATCTCACTGGTCTATTTCCCAGTGGGTTTCTAAACCAAGTAAGTACATTTGCAATGGTAATAGTGACACCAGTGACTGAAGTTTTGGCCAATCTCTCAAAATTGAGAAAATAACCAAAGGGAAGGCATTGTTAAAGTGAACTAAGTATGGCCTGAGAAGGACTCCATAATTCTATATATGAGTCATTGTGGATGAACTGTAACCTACCTTAATAGGTATAGAAGAATGAAAAACTAACTTAAGAGTATGCATCTTGAACAACAGCTACATCTTGGCCAATCCCAATGGCCAAACTTCAACCACTCAGGCACTGCCAAATGTTCAAACTGTGTTCAAACAAGGCAAACACTGAGTTGTTTCTGTACCTCACTTCCGATTTCAGTATGCCATTTCCCTTTTGTCTATAAATCTTCTTCCACCACACGAATGCGCTGGAGTCTCTGTGAATCTGCTGTGATTCTGGGGACTGTCTGATTCGTGAATCGTTTATTGCTCTATTAAACTCCTTTAAAGTTTTTCTTTTAACAGAACTAACACAGATGAATTTCCAGATCATGAACAGATGTTTTGTAATACCCAACGTTGTAACATGAATAGACTCTTCCTTAGATAGATAACCTTGTTTTTAATATGAATAGACTCTCCCTTAGCTGAGAAAACCAGACAAACTCCATTTGGCTCCTTCATTTACAAGACATCAAGGGCTCCCTACCCACCCCCTTTCCTCAAGGACTTTAACTTGTGCAAGTTGACTTTCAACATATCAAAGAGTGCAATTAACTGATAAAGTGCTTAGACAAGCGATGTCTGCAGTTCCCAGCAATTTATTCAGAGATAGTATCATAAAGCCCCACATTTGTCTGGCAGATAATGCCCAGAGCCCCCTCACCTATCACTTTGTGGTGAATTTAAAGCCCCTGCACCTGGAACAGTTTGTTTTCCTGTAACCATCTGTCTTTTTAACTTTTTTGTCTGTTTTTTTCTTCTGTAAAGTTGCTGCAGCTAGAATCCCCCCTCCCCTCTCTAAACCAAATTATAAAAGAAAATCTAGTCCCTTCCTCGGGGCCGAGAGAATTTCGTGCATTAGCCGTCTCTCAGTCACCAGCTAATAAAGGACCCCTGAATTCGTCTCAAAGTGTGGCGTTTATCTCTAACTTACTCGGGTACTACAGTTTCAACTATGGTAGAAGACTTGAGTAAGTCAAATACAGTCCCCCTAAATTTGACTATTATTTAGGTTAATGGTGAGTTTAGAAGAAATAAGTTAAGACTACACAGAGTGGGCTAAAGTGCAAATAAACACTGGAAATATTTCCCAGAAAATATGACTTTGAACAGGCTGCTGCACACCCTGCATGTAGAGATAAACTAAGAAAAATGTCTGGAGAGTTATTTAAGGGCCTATGGTTAACTCAGTCCTCAAGATGTTCTGGGTTTCATCCATGAATCAAGGAGGACCTCCCAAAAGCTGTTTGGGACCACACTCTTTGAGCAATGAGCACACCTTACGATGGAAGCTGTGCTTTAGCGGCAGATGACCATTTCCACTGCACAACACGCTGTGCTTTAGCGGAAGATGACCGTTTCCACTGCACAACACTACAAGTGGTTACTGCCAGGCCGGTGTGAAATATGTTCCAGCACATAATCTATGTCACCAATGAAGGTGGTGGTTCGGACTTGGTGCACACAATCTTTCCTGTCCCACAAGAACACAGCATGCTCTCTTCTCGGGTTCCATTCCAATTACGTAACAAATATGACTGCCTTTTTTGTCTCGGCATCAGAAAGATCAGAGGAAAATTTGCACCCAACTGAGACTACTCTAAGCTCTTATAACCTGCCTATATCTACAGGTCAGCTTTATCTTATTTATGTATATTTCCTTCAACCTGAGTTTTACTTATTTCTACTTTTCCTTTTTAATTCACAGACACCCATAAACTCAGAAAATACAGTGTAAAACAAAGTGAAGAACAAGTAAGCAACTCACCAGAGATTTATTCGTTTCTTGTTGCTCTTGGAAACACCCAGAGGACACTGGAAACATAGCTGGGATAGAAGGCAAATGACGTGGATTAAGGAGAGAACTGGTGTGGTGTGGTCCCAGATTCTTCTGCCCAACGCTCTAGAGACATTACCTGGGAAAGCCCTCCTCCCTCCTGAAAAAGAAAAACTTCTCCAGGGGAGAAGAGTTCTTCACGCCTCATTAGGGGCAGCAGAGGCTCAAGTTAAGATAAGATACATAGACAAGTACATTAATTGGTAGACATTAGATGCACAATTTATTTTTGAATAAATATATGTATTACCTACTAATTTAGTAACAATATTATCTAAAGATATAATCTAATAATTTAATACAAAGAAACATAAGTTCACTAAAATAAATGTTATAGAAATATACTGGGCTGTATTAACTATTTTCCTATTAATATGTAGATTCCACAAATAACTTCATATGAGTGTTCCCGTGACAGTACCTCTTGCTTTTCTATACCTGAACATCATGGAAAGTGCATCTTGCAAACCAGCAATTTTGGCCTACAATTACGTTTTTTAAAATGTACATAATGCGTATTTCCTACAGTACACCATTCCACTCATGTTTCCCAATAACACTTTTCCTTCTATCCAAGCCCTCATATTATGCTCTGACAATAAATTGGGCTTTTCCATCTGACTTGTCCAGTGAATGGACAATGGAAAATGTGATGCAAATATCCATTGGTTCTTCCCTTTTTGGGAGAAATTGTGAAGAGGTCTGGAGCTACCCTGTTGGAGACACAGGGCCTAGCCAAGAGTCACCACAAACCACCAGATTGTGAAGGAAACTATCTTAAACCAACCAGGCTCAGTCAAGGCACCAGGTGACTAAGGCCTTTTTGTGATCCAGGCAACACAAATATATCAACTACCCAGGTGAATCCACCACACCAAAATGCAGATCCACAGAACTTCAAACAAATAAAATGGTGGTTGTTTTTTATAAGCCAGTAAGGTTTAATTAGTTCCTTAAACAGCAAGTATTAACTGTTACACCTAAGTGAACAGAATTCACTTCTGTGTTTTTAACAAAATTATGTAGGGGGAGAAAATCTTAAATTACAAATCAAATACAATCAATAGAACTTCTCAATCTAATGCTAAATTTGGTGATGGACTAGGTTTAATATATCTCAGACGCGAAAAAACGAGCTAAGATTGAAGGAATGGGACTGTGGAGAGTATTTTAATCCTCTCAAGTATGACAGGTCACTCCTGTACCACAGACCACACTTTCAGACCCCTTCAAATAAGGAATATTTCCTAAGTCCTTGCCTGTTTTTCTCAGCTGAATTCACCTCAACCTTCTGAAAGTTCGTCCAAACCTTCTACTATCACCTAGTCTTTGCAAATCTTGTGCATTCTAGGGAGTAGAATTAATATTTCCTGAGCAAGGAAAACTGGGATCTTCACCTGTGACCTTTTTTCCTCCTCTGAAGCACCAGTGAGAGGTTAGACCAGACGGCTGTTCTTTCAAGTGTGCTTCTTATTCATAGGGAACCCTCCCTTTCAAACTTTCTAACACACAGTTAAGACTGAAGTACCCTTAAGGCTGACGACCATCATCTATTACGCCATCTCCCTCGCGGAATCAGTGAGTTCTTCCCTGGAAACTAGGTCTCGTATAAACTTCTGTAAATGCGACCCAGGAGGACTAGGCAGGTCACACAGTGAAGGAGGGAACCAGAAACTTCACTTGCTAAAGAGACACCAGGAAACCCAACTAATACAAACGTCAAGTTTAAGACTAGAGGCGCACGCGTTTCACACTACTCCTCTGGGAATGGGGAACGTCTCCCGAGAACTGTGTGTTAGCACTGGGACAGATGGGCAAACTGAGCGTCATGCGGGTTGGTAACCGGGTCCCTCAGCGGCAGGACAGGAGCGCAGCCTGCAGACTCCGGGCCCAGGGCCACCGGCCTCTCCTACCCGCTCCTGTGCCTCTAGAACCCGCGTCACTGCTGGGACCCCACGCCTGTCCTCCCAGCCCCCGCCAGGGTCCGCAGCCCGCACCTGCTCTTCAGGCCCTGCCCTCCCGCGATGCGCCCACGCGTCTGTTCCCACAACTAGGGAACACTGGTCCGGCCCCCTGGGATCCCCTGAGGCTCACGGGTTCCTCCTGGCCCTTGCACCAACCCACAGGGACATAGAACCAAGCCCCAAGCCGGCCCAGCTACAGGACCGCCTCTGGGTGCCACACTTCCGGAGGAAAATGGCGGAGTGGGCCGGGCGGCGCATCCGCAGAGAGAAAAGCTGGTTCCCAAGGTCCTTGATGGTAACGTCATTGGAAGGTGACACTACAATTCCCATGAGGCTTTGCGGTCCTCCTTTAGGAACCCACACCGGACATTCTGTTTTGCCCAGCAGTTGAGTCCAGTTACCCAGAGACCCGGACTTAATGTATCAGGACTGGTCCCTACCCAGTTGACACAGATGTGGCATTCTGGTTCTTTATTAAATACTGGTTTCACAGCCTGGGACATTGTGAAAATAATGAAGAAATTTCAATAGAGGCCAATTGGTCTATGCTATTAATCAGTAACTTTTTTTTTTTTTTTGAGACAGAGTCTCACTCTGTCGCCCAGGCTGGAATGCAATGGTGCGATCTTGGCTCACTGCAACCTCCGCTTCCCGGGTTCAAGTGATTCTCCTGCCTCAGCCTCCTAAGTACCTGGGATTACAGGCGCGCGCCACCACACTCGCCTAATTTTTGTATTTTTAGTAGAGACGGGTTTTCACCATGTTGGTCAGGCTGGTCTCCAACTCCTGACCTCGTGATCCGCCCTCCTCGGCCTCCCAAGGTGCTGCGATTACAAGTGTGAGCCACTGCGCCCAGCCCTCAAGTCTATTTTTTATAGATGCATTCGAAAGCATGAAAAAAATCATGTCTCTATTTTACTTTAAAATTTTAAAAACACAACTAATGAATATGGTAATTCTCTTCCAATCTGTTATCTTTTCTCTCACTAAACTAATTTGTGAGCCTTCAATTTACACAGTTAGAAAATATGCTCTAGTGCATATACTAGGATAAAATAACAGGGTCATAAGACAGGTGCACTCCATAATCTTTGTGACAACTTTCACTTCCAGTGTCTGATAAATATTTGCCCGTAGACTCCCACGTTTCATCCATCCATCCATCAATCAAATCTACCTATCTTTATTTATTTATTGTGAGAAAGACCTGAAATTTGCCTTTCCTTCCCTGATTTCTGCCACAAACTAGGCAAGGAGTTCTGCATAGGGGTTTCTCAGAGCTCTGGCTACCACCGATGTTCCTAACAGGGAAACGCAGGCTTGAATGCTCAGGGTTGATGTGGGAGTGCGTGTGAAACGGGGGTGGGGTGAAAGGGCAGTGACGTTTGTAGGTGGGCAGATGGGGGTGTTGATAGGCTTTCAGGTAAGAGGCACGCAGGAAACTGGGAGAGGCAGCGAAAGCACCTCACACCTCAGATCACCAGAAGACGCTCCCTCCAGTGCCATGACAGTTTGCCAATGCCATGTCATCACGAGAAGTCCCCACCCCTTGCCATGGAAACAGATGGAAGTTACTGCCCATTTCTAGCTATCTCTGAATAACCCGCCCCTTAATTAGCATGCCATTAAAAGTGAATTATAAAAGTGACTACAAGCCACCCCTAGGCTGCTGCTCTGGGAGCACAACCCACGGAGGGCTCCCTGCCCTGCCGGAGTGGATGCAGGGTTGTAACACCGCCAATGCCTCCGTAGAGCTGCTTTCTTCCACCAGAGGCTTGCTTTTGGATTTCTTCCTGAGCGACGCCAAGAACCTGCCCTTCCTCAGTGTGACTCTTGCCTAAAACCTATCCCTGGTATTCTCTTTTCCTAAGCATGCCCTGACTTGTTCTTTCATCTCCTCTGATCTTGCAATTGGTCCTCAGTGACTCTATTCTGCAGATCCAGAAAACTCAACCTTAATCTTCCCAGAGCCCTGTTGTCTCTAATATTGGAATCTATAGCCTTGTTTTCTCAGACGCCTAGATTACAGGCCTCTCTCTTGAACACCTATTGGTATGGTATCCGGGGATCCTTTAAATACTTGATGATTGGCAGGGGTTAAATAGCGGAAATCAGTGCCTGACAATTCACCTTCCAGGATATGGACTGTCATTCCCTCTCTTGGTGGGCCTCAGTCTCTTATCCATAAAAGTAGAGATTGTAATACTCATTTGAATTGCAGATACCTCAACCCGAACCCACCTAATATAATGTAAAAGCCAAGAATGCAACCCCTTTCCTCACCCCGTGAAGGTAAAGCCCTCAGAGCCAAGGAGAGAAGGCTCAGGGATGGTATCTGGGTGTTTCCAACGCTAACCATGTATTGTAGTTTTTAGTGTTCAAGTTTAAGCTTCCCCAGCTTTAATTCTATTGTAACAAGATTTATTTTTGTAATTCCATTTTTGGATTCTTGATTTCTTGGTAAAGAAATACAGTTATTTTTGTATACCAATCTTATACAGTGTTACATTCTTAAATTTGTTCATGAGTCCTAATACTTTTTAGTAAATTTCTTACGATTTTCTAAATGCAAGATCATGTCATCTGTACATAAAGATAACTGTACTTCTTCTTTTCCAATCTAGATGCTGTTTATTTATTTACATTGCCAAATTGTCCCAGCTACCATTGTTATCAAGTAAAAGGGTCTCACTGCCCAAAGCACAAGAAGCCGGTACCATGACACTGAGTTTTCAAGAAAAGAAAAAGTTTAAAGTCAAACCAAAACCTAGGGTAGAGGCCGGGCGCAGTGGCTCATGCCTGTAATCCCAGCACTTTGGGAGGCCAAGGCGGGCGGATGATAGGGTCAGGAGATTGAGTCCATCCTGGCTAACACGGTGAAACCCCATCTCTACTAAAAATGCAAAAAAAAAAAATTAGCCGGGCGTGAAGGCGGGCGCCTGTAGTCCCAGCTACTTGGGAGGCTGAGGCACGAGAATGGCGTGAACCCAGGAGGCGGAGCTTGCAGTGAGCCAAGATCGCGTCACTGCACTCCAGCCTGGGAAACAGAGCGAGACTCCATTTCAAAAAAAAAAAAAACCTATGGGATACAGTAAAAACAGTACTACAGTACTAAGAGGTAAGTTTATAGAAAAAAGCACCTACATCAAAAAAAGTAGAAAAGCTTCAAATAAACAACCTAATAATGCATCTTAAATAATTAGAAAAGCAAGAACAAACCAAAACCAAAATTAGTAGAAGGAAGCATAGCAAAGGTCGGAGCAGAAATAAATGAAATTGAAATTTAGCAATATAAAATATCAATGAAATGAAAAGTTAATATTTTTAAAAGACCAACAAAATCAACAAACATTTAACCAGACTAAGAAAAAAGAGAGAAGATTCCAATACATAAAACCAGAGATTGAAAAGGAGACACTATAACTGATACTGTGGAAATTCAAAGAATCGTTAGAAACTATTATGACCGACTATATTCCAATAAATTGAAAAACCTGGAAGAAATGGCTGGGCACCGTGGCTCATGCCTGTAATCCCAACACTTTGGGAAGCCAAGGCAGGTGATCACCTGAGGTCAGGAGTTCAAGACCAGCCTGGCCAACATGGTGAAACCCCATCTCTACTACAAATACAAAAATTAGCCAGGTATGGTGGCATGCACCTGTACTTCCAGCTACTCCAGAGGCTGAGGCAGGAAAATCACTTGAACCTGGGAGGCAGAGGCTGCAGTGAGCTGAGATTGTACCACGAAGCAGCCTGGGTGACAGAGCAAGATTCCATCTCAAAAAAAAAAACCTAGAAGAAATGGATAAATGAAATTGAAGCCATAATAAAACATCTCCTAGCAAAGAAAAGCCTGGATTCAATGGCTTCACTGGCTTCATGGATTAATTTTACCAAACATTGAAGGCAGAATTACTATCAATCCTACCCAAACTATTCCAAAAAACAGAGAAGGCTGTAGTATTCCAAACTCATCCTATGAAAAAGACCATTCATCACGTCTAAGTGGGATTTATCCCGATGATGCCAACATGGTTCAACATATGCAAATCACTCAATGTGACACATCATATCAACAGAATGAAGGACAAAAACCATATGATAATTTCAATTGATAATGAAAAGCATTTAATAAAATTCAACATCCCTGTGATAAAAAGAAACCCTCAAAAAAAACTAGATATAGAAGGAACATACCACAACACAATAAAAACCAAATGCAGCAGACCCACAGCCAGTATCATCCTGAACAGGGAAAAGCTGAAAGCCTTTCTTCTAAGATCTGGAACAAGACAAGAATGTCCACTTCCAACACTGTTACTCAACACAGTACTGGAAGTCCTAGCTAGAGCAATTCAGACAAGAGAAAAACAATAAAAGGGATGCACATTGGAAAGAAGTAAAATTATTAATGTTTTATTGTTTGCAGATGACTTGATCTTATATTTGGAAAAACCTAAGGACTCCACCAAAAAACTATTAGAACTGATCAACAAATTCAGAGTCACAACATACAAAATCAAGCTACAAAAGTGAGTAGCATTTCTAAATGACAAAAATGAACAATCTAAAGAAGAAAATCAAGAATGTAAACCCATTTACAATAGCTACAAATAAAATAAAATAACTGGGAATAAACATAACAGAAGAAGTGAAAGATCTCTACAATGAAAAGTATAAAATATTGATGCAAAAAAATTAAAGAGGACACAAAAAAAATGGAAAGATTGCCCATGTTCATTTATTGGAAGAGTAAATATTATTAAAATACCCATACTTCACAAAGCAATCTACAGATTCAATGCAATCCTTATTGAAATACTAATAACACACTTCACAGAAATAGAAAAAAAATCCTAAAATTTATATAAAACCATAAGAATGGAATGCAACGGAATGGAATCAACCCGAGTGGAAAGGATTGGAATGGAAAGGAATGGAATGGAATTCAATGGAATGGAATCAAATGGAAAGAAATGGAATGGAACGGAATGGAATGGAATGGAATGGAATGGAATGGAATGGAATGGAATGGATTGGAATGGAATGGAATGGAATGGAATGGAATCAACCCGAGAGGAATGGATTGGAATGGAATGGAGTTATCCCGAGTGGAATGGAATGGAATGGAATCACCCGAGTGGAATGGAATGGAAGGGAAAGCAATGGAATGGAATGGAATAGAATTAACCTGAGAGGCATGGAATGGAAAGGAATGGAATAGAATTGAATGGAATGGAATCAACCCGATTGAAATGGAATGGAATGGAATTGTACGGAATGGAATAGAATGGAATGGAATCAACTCGAGTGGAAAGGAATGGAATGGAAAAGAATGGAATTTAATAGAAAGGAATGGAATGCAATGTCATGGAATGGAGTCAACCCGAGTGGAATGCAATGGAATGGAATGGAAGGGAAAACAGGAATGGAACGGAATCGAATGAAATCAACCCTAGTGGAACAGAATGGAATGGAATGGAATGGAATGGAATGGAATGGAATGGAATGGAATGGAATGGAATCAACTGGAATGAAAGGAAATGGAATGGAATGGAATGCAATGGAATGGAATGGAATCAACCCGAGTGGAATGCAATGGAATGGAATTGAATGGAATTGAATTGAATGTAATGTAATGGAATGGAATCAACCCAAGTGGAATGGATTCGAATGGAGTGGAATGGAATGGAACAGCACGGAATGCAATGGAATCAACTAGAATGGAATGGAATGGAATGGAATGGAATGGAATGGAATGGAATGGAATGGAATGGAACAGAATCAACATGAGTGGAATGGAATGGAATGGAATGGAATGAATACAAGGGAATTTATTGGAAACTAATGGAATGGAAAGGAAACAAACCAAGTGGAATGGAATGCAATGAATTTCAATGGAATGGAATGGAATGGAACGGAATGCAATTCAACGTAATGGAAACAAACAGAGTGGAATGGAATGGAATGGAAAAGACTGGAATGTAATGGAATGGATTGGAATCAACCCGATTCCAATGCAACGGAATGGAATTGAATGGAATGGAATGGAAGGGAATGGAATGGAATGGAAGGGAATGGAATGGAATGGAAAGGAATGGAATGAACTGGAATGGAATGGAATGGAATGGAATTTAAATGAATGGAATGGAATAGAATGGAAAGGAATGGAATCAACCCGAGTGGAGTGCAATGGAAAGGAATGGAAATGAATAGAATGGAATGGAACGGAACGGAATGGAATGAACACCAGTGTAAGGGAATGGAATGGAATGGAATAGAATGGAAAGGAACGGGATAGAATGGAATGGAATGGAATGAACACGAGTGGAATGCAATGGAATGGAATGGATTGGAATGGAATGGAATAAACCCGAGTGGAATAGAATGGAATAGAATGGAGTGGTACGGAAAGGAATTCAATGGAATGGAATGGAGTGGAATGGAATGTAAATGAATTGAAAGGAATGGAATGGAGTGGAATGGAATGGGATGGAATGGAATGGAAAGGGATCAACCCGAATGGAATGGAATGGAATGGAATGGAATGCAATTGAATGGAATGGAATGGAATGGAATGGAATGCAATGGAATGGAATGGAATGGAATTAACCCGTGTGGAATGGAAAGGTATGGAATGGAATGGAATGGAATAAAATGGAACGGAATGGAATGGAATCAACCCGAGTGAAATGCAATGGAAAGGAATGGAATGGAATCAACCCGAGTGGAACGGAATGGAATGGAATGGAATGGAATCAACCCGAGTGGAATGGAGTGGAATGGAATGCAGTGGAATGGAATGGAATGGAAGGCATTGGAATCAACTGGAATGGAATGGAACGGAATGGAATGGAATAGAATGGAATCAATCTGGGTGGAATGGAATGGAATGGAATGGAGTGGAATGGAATGGAATGGAATGGAATGGAGTGGAATGGAATGGAATGGAGTGTAATGGAATGGAATGGAATGGAATGAAATGGAATGGAATGGAATGGAATCAACCCGAATGGAATGGAATGGAATGGAATGGAATGGAATGGAATGGAATGGAATGGAATGGAATGGAATGGAATCAACACAAGTGGAATGGAATGGAAAGGAATGCAATGGAATAGAATGGAATGTTATGGAATCCACCCGAGTGGAATGGTATGGAATGGAATGGAATGGAATGGAAAGGAATAAAATAGATTGGAATAGAATGGCATCAACCCGAGTGAAATGGAATGGAATGCAATGGAATGGAATGGAATGGAATGGAATGGAATCAACCCGAGTGGAACGGAATGGAGTGGAATGGAATGGAATGGAATGGAATGGAATCAACCAGAGTGGAATGGAAAGGAGTAGAATGGAATGGAATGGAATGGAATGCAATGGAATCAACTGGAATGGAATGGAACGTAATGTAAGGGAATGGAATGAATGGAATCAACATGACTGGAATGGAAAGGAATGGAATGGAATGGAAAAGAAATGAATGGAATGGAAACAACCGAGTGTAATAGAATGAAAAGGAATGGAATGGAATGGAATGGAAAGCAATGGAATTCAAAGGAATGGAATTAACTCGAGTGGAATAGAATGGAATGGAATGGAATGGAACGGAATGGAATGGATTGGAATGGAAAGAAATTCTACGGAATGGAATCAACCAGAATGGAATGGAATGGAATGGAATGGCATGGAATGGATTGGAATGGAATGGATTGGAATCAACCCGAGTCGAATGGAATGGAATGGAATGGAATGGAATGGAATGGAATGGAATGGAATGGAATGGAATGGAATCGAATGGAATCAACTGGAATGGAATGAATGGAATGGAATGGAATGGAATGGAATGGAATGGAATGGAATCAATTGGAGTGGAATGGAATGGAATGGAATGGAATGGAATGGAATGGAATGGAAAGGAATGGAATGGAATCAACCCGAATGGAATGGAATGGAATTGAATGGAATGGAATCAAATGGAAAGGAATGGAATGGAATGGAATGGAACGGATTGGAATGGAATGGAATGGAATCAACCCGAGTGGAATGGAATGGAATGGAATGCAATGGAATGGAATGGTATGGGATCAACCATAGTGGAATGGTATGGAATGAAATGGAACGGAACGGAATGGAATGGAATCAACCCGAATGGAATAGAACGGAATGGAGTGGAATGGTATGGAATGGAATGGAATAGAAAGGAATCAACCCGAAGGGTATGGAATGGAATGGAATGGAATGGAATGGAATGCAATGGAATGGAATGGAATGCAATGGAATGGAATCAACCCGAGTGGAATGCAATGGAATGAATGGAATGGAATGGAACGGAACGGAATGGAACGGAACGGAATTGAATGGAATGGAAACAACCCGAGTGGAAAGGAATGGAATGGAAAGGAATGGAATTGAATTGAATGGAATGGAATGGAATGGAATGGAATGGAATGGAATGGAATGGAATAACATGCAATCAACTTTGGTGGAATGGTATGGAATGGAATGGAATGGAGTGGAATGGAACGGAATGGAATGGAATGGAATAAAATGGCATGGAATGGAACGGAATCAACCCGAATGGAATGGAGTGGAATGGAGTGGAATCGTATGGAATGGAATGGAATGGAAAGGAATCAACCCGAAGGGTATGGAATTGAATGGAATGGAATGGAATGGAAAGTAATGGAATCAACCCGAGTGGAATGCAACGGAATGAAACGGAATGGAATGGAACGGAAAGGAACGGAACGGAACATAATTGAATGGAATGGAATCAACCCGAGTGGAAAGGAATGGAATGGATGGAATGGAATGGAATAACATGCAATCAACTTGGTGGAATGGTATGGAATGGAATGGAATGGAATAAAAGGGTATGGAATGGAACAGAATCAACCTGAATGGAATGGAACAGAATGGAGTGGAATGGTATGGAATGGAATGGAATGGAAAGGAATCAACCCGAAGGGTATGGAATGGAATGGAATGGAATGGAATGGAATGGAATGGAAGGGAATGGAATCAACCCCAGTGGAATGCAATGGAAGGAAATGGAATGGAATGGAATGGAATGGAATGGAACGGAACGGAACGGAATTGAATAGAATGGAATCAACCCAAGTGGAAAGGAACGGAATGGAATGGAATGGAATGGAATGGAATGGAATGGAATGGAATGGAATGGAATGGAATAGCATGCAGTCAACTTTGGTGGAATGGTATGGAATGGAATGGAATGGAATGAAATGGAATGGAATGGAATAAAAGGGCATGGAATGGAATGGAATCAACCCGAGAGGAATGGAATGGAATGGAATGGAAAAGAATCAAACCGAGTGGAATGGAATGGAATGGAATGGAATGGAATGGAATGGAATGGAATGGAATAACATGCAATCAAATTTGGTGGAATGGTATGGAATGGAATGGAGTGGAATGGAACGGAATGGAATGGAATGGAATAAAAGGGCATGGAATGGAACGGAATCAACCCGAATGGAATGGAGCGGAATGGAGTGGAATGGTATGGAATGGAATGGAATGGAATGGAATGGAAAGGAATCAACCCGAAGGGTATGGAATTGAATGTAGTGGAATGGAATGGAAAGTAATGGAATCAACCCGAGTGGAATGCAATGGAATGAAACGGAATGGAATGGAACGGAAAGGAATGGAACAGAACGGAACGGAATTGAATGGAATGGAATCAACCCGAGTGGAAAGGAATGGAATGGGTGGAATGGAATGGAATGGAATGGAATAACATGCAATCAACTTTGGTGGAATGGTATGGAATGGAATGGAATAACATTCAATCAACTTTGGTGGAATGATATGGAATGGAATGGAATGGAATAAAAAGGCATGGAATGGAACAGAATCAACCCGAATGGAATGGAACAGAATGGACGGGAATGGTATGGAATGGAATGGAATGGAAAGGAATCAACCCGAAGGGTATGGAATGGAATGGAATGGAATGGAATGGAAAGGAATGGAAAGGAATGGAATCAACCCCAGTGGAATGCAATGGAAGGAAATGGAATGGAATGGAATGGAATGGAACGGAACGGAACGGAACGGAATTGAATGGAATTGAATCAACCCAAGTGGAAAGGAACGGAATGAAATGGAATGGAACGGAATGGAATGGAATGGAATAGCATGCAGTCAACTTTGGTGGAATAGTATGGAATGGAATGGAATGGAATGGAATGGAATGGAATGGAATGGAATGGAATGGAATAAAAGGGCATGGAATGGAATGGAATCAACCCGAGAGGAATGGAATGGAATGGAATGGAAATGAATCAAACCGAGTAGAATGGAATTGAATGGAATGGAATGGAATGGAATGGAAACAATGCAATGCAATGGTATCAACTGGAATGGAATGCATTGGAATGGAATGGAATGGAATCACCCTGAGTGGAAAGGAATAGAATGGAATGGAATGGAAAGGAACGGAATTGAATCAACCCGAGTGGAATGGAATGGAATGGAATGGAATGGAATGGAATGGAATGGAATGGAATCAACCTGAGTAGAATGGAATGGAATGAAATGCAATAGAATGGAATGGAATGGAATGGAATGGAATGGAATGGAATGGAACAGAACGGAATGGAATGGAATGGAATTGATTGAATCCGAGTGGAACTGAAAAAAATGGAATGCATTGGAATGGAATGGAATGGATTCAACCCGAGTGGAATGTAATGAATAGGAATGGAGTGGAATGCAACGGAATGGAATGGAATGTAATGGAATGGAACGGAATGGAATGGAGTCAACCTGAATGGAATGGAATGGAATGGAATGGAATGGTATGGAATGGAATGGAATGGAAAGGTATGAACCCAAATGGAATGCAATGGAATGGAATGGAAAGGTATGAACCCAAATGGAATGCAATGGAATGGAATGAAATGGAATGGAATGGAATGGAATGGAATGGAATGGAATGGAATGGAATGGAATGGAATGGAATCACCCCGAGTGGAATGCAATGGAATGGAATGGAATGGAATGGAATGGAATGGAATGGAATGGAACGGAATGGAATGGAACAGAATGGAAAGGAATGGAATGGAATCAACCCGAGAGGAAAGGAATGGAATGGAATGAAATGGAAAGGAATGGAAAGGATTTAAATGGAATGGAATGGAATGGATTGGAATGGAAAGGAAAGGAATGAAATGCAATGGAATGGTATGGAATCAAATTTAGTGGAATGCTATGGAATGGAACGGAAGGGAATGGAATGGAATGGATTGAAATGGAATGGAATCAACCCAAGTGTAAGGGAATGTAATGGAATAGATAGGAATGGAAAGGAATGGAATGCAATGGAATCAACTGGAATGGAATACAATGGAATGGAACGGAATCAACTTGAGTGAAATGGAATGGAATGGAATGGAATGGAAACTAATGAAATGGAATGGAAACGACCCGAGTGGAATGGAATGCAATGGAATGGAATGGAATGGAATGGAATGGAATGGAATGGAATGGAATGGAATGGAATTCAACGTAATGGAAACAACCAAAGAGGAATGGCATGGAATGGAAAGACTTGAATGTAATGGAATGGATTAGAATCAACCCGATTAGAAAGTAATGGAATGCAATGGAATGGAATGGAATTTAATGGAATGGAATGGAATGGAATGGAATAGAATGGAACGGAATGGAATGGAACGGAACGGAATGGAATGGAATGGAATGGAATCAACTCGAGTGCAATGGAATGGAATGGAATGGAATAGAATGGAATGGAATGGTATGGAATGCAATGGAATGGATTTGAATGGAATGGAACGGAACGGAACGGAATGGAATGGAATGGAATGGAATGGAATGGAATGGACCCCAATGGAATGGAATGGAATGGAATGGAATGGAATGGAATGGATTGGAATGGAATGGAACGGAATTAAACAGAGTAGAATGGAATGTAACGGAATGGAGTGGAATGGAATGGAATGGAATGGAATGGAATGGAATGGAATGGAATGGAATGGAATGGAATCAACCCGAGTGGAATGGAATGGAATGGAATGGAATGGAATGGAATGGAATGGAATGGAATGGAATGGAATGGAATGGATTGGAATGGAATGGAATGTAATCAACCCGAGTGGAATGGAATGGAATGGAATGGAATGGAATGGCATGGTATCAACCCTAGTGGAATGGTATGGAATGGAATGGAATGGAACGGAATGGAATGGAATCAACCCGAATGGAAAGGAATGGAAAGGAGTGGAATGGAATGGATTGGAATGGAATGGAATGGAATCAACGCGAGTGGAATGGAATGGAATGGAATGCAATGGAATGGAATGGCATGGAATCAACCCTAGTGGAATGGTGTGGAATGGAATGGAACGGAACGGAATGGAAGGGAATCAACCCGAATGGAATGGAAAGGAATGGAGTGGAATGGTATGGAATGGAATGGAATGGAAAGGAATCAAACCGAAGGGAATGGAATGGAATGGAATGGAATGGAATGGAATGGAATGAAATCAACCCGAGTGGAATGCAATGGAATGAAACGGAATGGAATGGAATGGAACGGAATGGAATGGAACGGAATTGAATGGAATGGAAACAACCCGAGTGGAAAGGAATGGAATGGAATGGAATTGAATGGAATGGAATGGAATTGAATGGAATGGAATGGAATGGAATGGAATGGAATGGAATAACATACAATCAACTTTGGTGGAATGGTATGGAATGGAATGGAATAGAATGGAATGGAATGGAATAAAAGGGCATGGAATGGAACGGAATCAACCCGAATGGAATGGAGCGGAATGGAGTGGAATGATATGGAATGTAATGGAATGGAAAGGAATCAAACCAAAGGGTATGGAATTGAATGGAATGGAATGGAATGGAATTGAAAGGAATGGAATCAACCCGAGTGGAATGCAATGGAATGAAATGGAATGGAATGGAAACGAACGGAACGGAACGGAACGGAATTGAATGGAATGGAATCAAAACGAGTGGAAAGGAATGGAATGGAATGGAATGGAATGGAATAACATGCAATCAACTTTGGTGGAATGGTAAGGAATGGAATGGAACGCAATGGAATGGAATGGAATGGAATGGAATAAAAGGGCATGGAATGGAACAGAATCAACTCGAATGAAATGGAACGGAATGGAGTGGAATCTATGGAATGGAACGGAATGGAAAGGAATCAATCCGAAGGTTATGGAATGGAATGGAATGGAATGGAATGGAATGGAATGGAATCAACCTGAGTGGAATGCAATGGAATAAAATGGAATGGAATGGAATGGAACGGAACGGAACGGAATGGAACGGAATTGAATGGAATGTAATCAACCCGAGTGGAAAGGAATGGAATGGAATGGAATGGAATGGAATGGAATGGAATGGAATAGAATGGAATGGAATGGAATAGCATGCAGTCAACTTTGGTGGAATGGTATGGAATGGAATGGAATGGAATGGAATGGAATGGAATGGAATAAAGGGGCATGGATTGGAATGGAATCAACCCAAGAGGAATGGAATGGAATGGAATGGAATGGAATGGAATTGAATGGAACGGAAATGAATAAAACCGAGTGGAATGTAATGTAATGTAATGGAATGGAATGGAACGGAATGGAAACAATGCAATGCAATGGTATCAACTGGAATGGAATGCATTGGAATGGAATGGAATGGAATCAACCTGAGTGGAAAGGAATGGAATGGAATGGAAAGCAATGGAATTCAAAGGAATGGAATTAACTCGAGTGGAATAGAATGGAATGGAATGGAATGGAATGGAATCGAATGGTATGGAATGGATTGGAATGGAAAGAAATTCAACGGAATGGAATCAACCAGAATGGAATGGAATGGAATGGAATGGAATGGAATGGAATGGAATGGAATGGATTGGAATGGAATGGATTGGAATCAACCCGAGTCGAATGGAATGGAATGGAATGGAATGGAATGGAATGGAATGGAATGGAATCAACCCCAATGGAATGGAATGGAATGGAATAGAATGGAATCAACTCGAATGGAATGGAATGGAATGGAATGGAATGGAATGGAATGGAATGGAATGGAAAGGAATGGAATGGAATCAACCCGAATGGAATGGAATGGAATGGATTGGAATGGAATGGAATGGAATCAACCCGAGT
Organism: Homo sapiens; assembly: GCF_000001405.40. Lineage (NCBI taxonomy): Eukaryota > Metazoa > Chordata > Mammalia > Primates > Hominidae > Homo > Homo sapiens. The sequence continues at coordinate 72,591 of NW_021159991.1, read as the reverse complement.
GGAATGGAATGGAATGGAATGGAATGCAATGGAATGGAATGGTATGGGATCAACCCTAGTGGAAAGGTATGGAATGCAATGGAACGGAATGGAAAGAAATGGAATCAACCTAAATGGAATAGAACGGAATGGAGTGGAATGGGATGGAATGGAATGGAATGGAAAGGAATCAACCCGAAGGGTATGGAATGGAATGGAATGGAATGGAATGGAACGGAACGGAACGGAATGGAATTGAATGGCATGGAAACAACCCGAGCGGAAAGGGATGGAATGGAATGGAATGGAATGGAATTGAATCGAATGGAATGGAATAGAATGGAATAACATGCAATCAACTTTGGTGGAATGGTATGGAATGGAATGGAATGGAATGGAAGGGAATGGAATAAAAGGACATGGAACAGAACGGAATCAACCCGAATGGATTGGAGCGGAATGGAGTGGAATGGTATGGAATGGAATGGAATGGAAAGGAATCAACCTGAAGGCTATGGAATTGAATGGAATGGAATGGAATGGAAAGAAATGGAATCAACCCGAGTGGAATGCAATGGAATGAAACGCAATGGAATGGAACGGAAAGGAATGGAACGGAACGGAATGGAATTGAATGGAATGGAATCAAACCGACTGGAAAGGAAAGGAATGGAATGGAATAGAATGGAATGGAATGGAATGGAATGGAATGGAATGGAATGGAATGGAATGGAATGGAATAGAATGGAATAACATGCAATCAACTTTGGTGGAATGGTATGGAATGGATTGGAATGGAATAAAAGCATGGAATGGAACAGAATCAACCCGAATGGAATGGAACGGAATGGAGTGGAATGGTATGCAATGGAATGGAATGGAAAGGAATCAACCCGAAGGGTATGGAATGGAATGGAATGGAATGGAATGGAATGGAATGGAATGGAATGGAATCAACCCCAGTGGAATGCAATGGAAGGAAATGGAATGGAATGGAATGGAACAAAATGGAACAGAACGGAACGGAATTGAATGGAATGGAATGTAATCAACCCAAGTGGAAAGGAACGGAATGGAATGGAATGAAATGGAATGGAATGGAATGGAATGGAATGGGATAGCATGCAATCAACTTGGTGGAATGGTATGGAATGGAATGGAATGGAATGGAATGGTATGGAATGGAATGGAATGGAATGGAATGGAATGGAATGGAATGGAATAAAAGGGCATGGAATGGAATGGAATCAACCCGAGAGGAATGGAATGGAATGGAATGGAAATGAATCAAACCAAGAGGAATGGAATGGAATGGAATGGAATGAAAACAATGCAATGCAATGGTATCAACTGGAATGGAATGAATTGGAATGGAAAGGAATGGAATCACCATGAGTGGAATGGAATGGAAAGGAATGGAATGGAATGGAAACTAATGAAACGGAATGGAAACAACCCGAGTGGAATGGAATACAATGGAATGGAATGGAATGGAATGGAATGGAATGGAATGGAATACAACAAAATGGAAACAACCCGAGTGGAATGGCATGGAATGGAAAGGATTTGAATATAATGGAATGGATTGGAATCAACCCGATTAGAAACTAATGGAATGGAATGGAATGGAATGGAATGGAATCGACCCGAGAGGAATGGAATGGAATGGAATGGAATTTAATGGAATGGAATGGAATGGAATGGAATGGAATGGAATGGAATGGAATGGAACGGAACGGAACGTAATGGAATGGAATGGAATGGAATCTACACGAGTGGAATGGAATGGAATGGAATTTAATGGAATGGAATGGAATAGAATGGTATGGAATCAACCCGAGTGGAATGGTATAGAATGGAATGGAATAGAATGGTATAGAATCAACCCGAGTGGAATGGTATAGAATGGAATGTAATGGAATGAAATGGAATGGAATAAAATGGAATGGAATGGAATGGAATGGAAACTAATGAAATGGAATGGAAACAACCCGAGTGGAATGGAATGGAATGGAATGGAATGGAATGGAATGGAATGGAATGGAATGGAATGGAATTCAATGGAATGGAAACAACACAAGAGGAATGGCATGGAATGGAAAGACTTGAATGTAATGGAATGGATTAGAATCAACCCGATTAGAAGGTTGGAATGGAATGGAATGGAATGGAATGGAATGGAATGGAATGGAATGGAATGGAATGGAATGGATTGGAAGGGAATGGAACGGAATTAACCAGAGTAGAATGGAATGTAATGGAATGGAGTGGAATGGAATGGAATGGAATGGAATGGAATGGAATCAACACGAGTGGAATGGAATGGAATGGAATGCAATGGAATGGAATGGCATGGAAACAACCCTAGTGGAATGGTATGGAATGGAACGGAACGGACCGGAATGGAATGGAATCAACCTCGAATGGAATGGAAATGGAATGGATTAGAATCAACCCGATTAGAAGGTTGGAATGGAATGGAATGGAATGGAATGGAATGGAATGGAATGGAATGGAATGTAAAGCAATGGAACGGAATGGAATGCAACGGAACGGAATGGAATGGAATGGAATGGAATCAACTCGAGTGGAATGGAATGGAATGGAATGGAACGGAATGGAATGCAACAGAACGGAATGGAATGGAATGGAATGGAATCAACTCGAGTGGAATGGAATGGAATGGAATGGAATAGAATGGAATGGAATGGTATGGAATGCAATGGAATGGAATGGAATGGAATGGAATGGAATGGAATGGAACGGAACGGAACAGAATGGAATGAAATGGAATGGACCCCAATGGAATGGAATGGAATGGAATGGAATGGAATGGAATGGAATGGAATGGAATGGAATGGATTGGAAGGGAATGGAACGGAATTAACCAGAGTAGAATGGAATGTAATGGAATGGAGTGGAATGGAATGGAATGGAATGGAATGGAATGGAATCAACACGAGTGGAATGGAATGGAATGGAATGCAATGGAATGGAATGGCATGGAAACAACCCTAGTGGAATGGTATGGAATGGAACGGAACGGACCGGAATGGAATGGAATCAACCCGAATGGAATGGAATGGAATGGAGTGGAATGGTATGGAATGGAATGGAATGGAAAGGAATCAACGCGAAGGGTATGGAATGGAATGGAATGGAATGGAATGGAATGGAATGGAATGGAATGAAATCAACCCGAGTGGAATGCAATGGAATGAAATGGAATGGAATGTAACGGAACGGAACGGAACAGAATGGAATGGAATGGAATCAACCCGAGTGGAAAGGAATGGAATGGAATGGAATTGAATGGAATGGAATGGAATGGAATGGAATGGAATGGAATGGAATGGAATGGAATAACATGCAATCAACTTTGGTGGAATGGTATGGAATGGAATGGAATAGAATGGAATGGAATGGAATAAAGGGGGATGGAATAGAACGGAATCAACCCGAATAGAATGGAGCGGAATGGAGTGGAATGATATGGAATGGAATGGAATGGAAAGGAATGGAATCAACCCGAGTGGAATGCAATGGAATGAAATGGAATGGACTGGAACGGAACGGAACGGAACGGAATGGAATTGAATGGAATGGAAACAACCCGAGTGGAAAGGAATGGAATGGAATGGAATGGAATTGAATGGAATGGAATGGAATGGAATGGAATGGAATGGAATGGAATGGAATGGAATGGAATGGAACATGCAATCAACTTTGGTGGAATGGTATGGAATGGAATGGAATGGAATGGAATAAAAGGGCATGGAATGGAACGGAATTAAACCGAATGGAATGGAGCGGAATGGAGTGGAATGGTATGGAATGGAATGGAATGGAAAGGAATCAAACCGAAGGGTATGGAATGGAATGGAATGGAATGGAAAGGAATGGAATCAACCCTAGTGGAATGCAATGGAATGAAACGCAATGGAATGGAACGGAAAGGAACGGAACGGAACGGAATTGAATGGAGTGGAATCAACCCGAGTGGAAAGGAATGGAATGGAATGGAATGGAATGGAATAACATGCAATCAACTTTGGTGGAATGGTATGGAATGGAATGGAATGGAATAAAAGGGCATGGAATGGAACAGAATCAACCCGAAAGGAATGGAACGGAATGAAGTGGAATGGTATAGAATGGAATGGATTGGAAAGGAATCAACCCGAAGGGTATGGAATGGAATGGAATGGAATGGAATGGAATGGAATGGAATCAACCCCAGTGGAATGCAATGGAATGGAATGGAATGGAATGGAATGGAACGGAACGGAACGGAAAGGAATTGAATGGAATGGAATCAACCCAAGATAAAAGGAACGGAATGGAATGGAATGGTATGGAATGGAATGAAATGGAATAGCATGCAATCAACTTTGGTGGAAAGGTATGGAATGGAATGGAATGGAATGGAATGGAATGGAATGGAATGGAATGGAATAAAAGGGCATGGAATGGAATGGAATCAACACGAGAGGAATGGAAAGGAATGGAATGGAAATGAATCAAACCGAGTGGAATGGAATGGAATGGAATGGAATGGAATGGAATGGAATGGAAACAATGCAATGCAATGGTATCAACTGGAATGGAATGAATTAGAATGGAAAGGAAAGGAATCACCATGAGTGGAATGGAATGGAAAGGAATGGAATGGAAACTAATGGAACGGAATGGAAACAACCCGAGTGGAATGGAATGAAATGGAATGGAATGGAATGGGATGGAATGGAATGGAATACAACAAAATGGAAACAAACCGAGTGGAATGGCATGGAATGGAAAGGATTTGAATATAATGGAATGGATTGGAATCAACCCGATTAGAAACTAATGGAATGGAATGGAATGGAATGGAATGGAATGGAATGGAATGGAATGGAATGGAATCTACCCGAGTGGAATGGAATGGAATGGAATTTACTGGAATGGAATGGAATAGAATGGTATGGAATCAACCCGAGTGGAATGGTATAGAATGGAATGTAATGAAACGGAATGGAATGGAATAAAATGGAATGGAATGGAATGGAAACAACCCGAGTGGAATGGAATGGAATAACCGGAGAGGAATGGAATGGAATGGAGTGGAATGGAATGGAATGGAATGGAATGGAATGGAATGGAATCAACCCGAGTGGAATGGAATGGAATGGAATAGAATGGAATGGAATAGAATGGAATGGAATGGAATCAACCCGAGTGGAATGGAATGGAATGGAATGCAATGGAATGGAATGGCATGGAATCAACCCTAGTGGAATGGTATGGAATGGAATTGAACGGACCGGAATGGAATGGAATCAACCCGAATGGAATGGAATGGAATGGAGTGGAATGGTATGGAATGGAATGGAATGGAAAGGAATCAACGCGAAGGGAATGGAATGGAATGGAATGGAATGGAATGGAATGGAATGGAATGGAATGAAATCAACCCGAGTGGAATGCAATGGAATGAAATGGAATGGAATGGAATGGAATGGAACGGAACAGAATGGAATGGAATGGAATCAACCCGAGTGGAAAGGAATGGAATGGAATGGAATTGAATGAAATGGAATGGAATGGAATGGAATAACATGCAATCAACTTTGGTGGAATGGTATGGAATGGAATGGAATAGAATGGAATGGAATGGAATAAAGGGGGATGGAATAGAACGGAATCAACCCGAATAGAATGGAGCGGAATGGAGTGGAATGATATGGAATGGAATGGAATGGAAAGGAATGGAATCAACCCGAGTGGAATGCAATGGAATGAAATGGAAGGGAATGGAACGGAACGGAACGGAACGGAATGGAATTGAATGGAATGGAAACAACCCGAGTGGAAAGGAATGGAATGGAATGGAATGGAATGGAATGGAATGGAATGGAATGGAATGGAATGGAATGGAAAGGAATGGAATGGAATGGAATGGAACATGCAATCAACTTTGGTGGAATGGTATGGAATGGAATGGATTGGAATGGAATAAAAGGGCATGGAATGGAACGGAATCAAACAGAATGGAATGGAGCGGAATGGAGTGGAATGGTATGGAATGGAATGGAATGCAAACGAATCAAACCGAAGGGTATGGAATGGAATTGAATGGAATGCAAAGGAATGGAATCAACCCTAGTGGAATGCAATGGAATGAAACGCAATGGAATGGAACGGAAAGGAACGGAACGGAATGGAACGGAATTGAATGGAGTGGAATCAACCCGAGCGGAAAGGAATGGAATGGAATGGAATGGAATAACATGCAATCAACTTTTTGGAATGGTATGGAATGGAATGGAATGGAATAAAAGGGCATGGAATGGAACAGAATCAACCCGAATGGAATGGAACGGAATGAAGTGGAATGGTATAGAATGGAATGGAATGGAAAGGAATCAACCCGAAGGGAATGGAATGGAATGGAATGGAATGGAATGGAATGGAATGGAATGGAATGGAATGGAATCAACCCCAGTGGAATGCAATGGAATGGAATGGAATGGAACGGAACGGAACGGAATGGAACGGAATTGAATGGAATGGAATCAACCCAAGAGGAAAGGAACGGAATGGAATGGAATGGAATGGAATGGAATGGAATGGAATGGAATGGAATGGAATAGCATGCAATCAACTTTGGTGGAAAGGTATGGAATGGAATGGAATGGAATGGAATGGAATGGAATGGAATGGAATGGAATGGAATGGAATCAACCCCAGTGGAATGCAATGGAATGGAATGGAATGGAATGGAACGGAACGGAACGGAACGGAACGGAACGGAATGGAATGGAATGGAATGGAATAGCATGCAATCAACTTTGGTGGAAAGGTATGGAATGGAATGGAATGGAATGGAATGGAATGGAATGGAATGGAATGGAATGGAATAAAAGGGCATGGAATGGAATGGAATCAACACGAGAGGAATGGAAAGGAATGGAATGGAAATGAATCAAACCGAGTGGAATGGAATGGAATGGAATGGAATGGAATGGAATGGAAACAATGCAATGCAATGGTATCAACTGGAATGGAATGAATTAGAATGGAAAGGAAAGGAATCACCATGAGTGGAATGGAATGGAAAGGAATGGAATGGAAACTAATGGAACGGAATGGAAACAACCCGAGTGGAATGGAATGAAATGGAATGGAATGGAATGGGATGGAATGGAATGGAATACAACAAAATGGAAACAAACCGAGTGGAATGGCATGGAATGGAAAGGATTTGAATATAATGGAATGGATTGGAATCAACCCGATTAGAAACTAATGGAATGGAATGGAATGGAATGGAATGGAATGGAATGGAATGGAATGGAATCTACCCGAGTGGAATGGAATGGAATGGAATTTACTGGAATGGAATGGAATAGAATGGTATGGAATCAACCCGAGTGGAATGGTATAGAATGGAATGTAATGAAACGGAATGGAATGGAATAAAATGGAATGGAATGGAATGGAAACAACCCGAGTGGAATGGAATGGAATAACCGGAGAGGAATGGAATGGAATGGAGTGGAATGGAATGGAATGGAATGGAATGGAATGGAATGGAATGGAATCAACCCGAGTGGAATGGAATGGAATGGAATAGAATGGAATGGAATGGAATGGAATGGAATGGAATCAACCCGAGTGGAATGGAATGGAATGGAATGCAATGGAATGGAATGGCATGGAATCAACCCTAGTGGAATGGTATGGAATGGAATGGAACGGACCGGAATGGAATGGAATCAACCCGAATGGAATGGAATGGAATGGAGTGGAATGGTATGGAATGGAATGGAATGGAAAGGAATCAACGTGAAGGGAATGGAATGGAATGGAATGGAATGGAATGGAATGGAATGGAATGGAATGAAATCAACCCGAGTGGAATGCAATGGAATGAAATGGAATGGAATGGAATGGAATGGAACGGAACAGAATGGAATGGAATGGAATCAACCCGAGTGGAAAGGAATGGAATGGAATAGAATTGAATGAAATGGAATGGAATGGAATGGAATAACATGCAATCAACTTTGGTGGAATGGTATGGAATGGAATGGAATAGAATGGAATGGAATGGAATAAAGGGGGATGGAATAGAACGGAATCAACCCGAATAGAATGGAGCGGAATGGAGTGGAATGATATGGAATGGAATGGAATGGAAAGGAATGGAATCAACCCGAGTGGAATGCAATGGAATGAAATGGAAGGGAATGGAACGGAACGGAACGGAATGGAATTGAATGGAATGGAAACAACCCGAGTGGAAAGGAATGGAATGGAATGGAATGGAATGGAATGGAATGGAATGGAATGGAATGGAATGGAATGGAATGGAAAGGAATGGAATGGAATGGAATGGAACATGCAATCAACTTTGGTGGAATGGTATGGAATGGAATGGATTGGAATGGAATAAAAGGGCATGGAATGGAACGGAATCAAACAGAATGGAATGGAGCGGAATGGAGTGGAATGGTATGGAATGGAATGGAATGGAAAGGAATCAAACCGAAGGGTATGGAATGGAATTGAATGGAATGCAAAGGAATGGAATCAACCCTAGTGGAATGCAATGGAATGAAACGCAATGGAATGGAACGGAAAGAAACGGAACGGAATGGAACGGAATTGAATGGAGTGGAATCAACCCGAGTGGAAAGGAATGGAATGGAATGGAATGGAATAACATGCAATCAACTTTTTGGAATGGTATGGAATGGAATGGAATGGAATAAAAGGGCATGGAATGGAACAGAATCAACCCGAATGGAATGGAACGGAATGAAGTGGAATGGTATAGAATGGAATGGAATGGAAAGGAATCAACCCGAAGGGTATGGAATGGAATGGAATGGAATGGAATGGAATGGAATGGAATGGAACGGAATGGAATCAACCCCAGTGGAATGCAATGGAATGGAATGGAATGGAACGGAACGGAACGGAATGGAACGGAATTGAATGGAATGGAATCAACCCAAGAGGAAAGGAACGGAATGGAATGGAATGGAATGGAATGGAATGGAATGGAATGGAATAGCATGCAATCAACTTTGGTGGAAAGATATGGAATGGAATGGAATGGAATGGAATGGAATGGAATGGAATGGAATGGAATCAACCCCAGTGGAATGCAATGGAATGGAATGGAATGGAATGGAATGGAATGGAATGGAATGGAATCAACCCCAGTGGAATGCAATGGAATGGAATGGAATGGAATGGAACGGAACGGAACGGAACAGAACGGAATGGAATGGAATGGAATGGAATGGAATGGAATAGCATGCAATCAACTTTGGTGTAAAGGTATGGAATGGAATGGAATGGAATGGAATGGAATGGAATGGAATGGAATGGAATGGAATAAAAGGGCATGGAATGGAATGGAATCAACACGAGAGGAATGGAAAGGAATGGAATGGAAATGAATCAAACCGAGTGGAATGGAATGGAATGGAATGGAATGGAATGGAATGGAATGGAATGGAAACAATGCAATGCAATGGTATCAACTGGAATGGAATGAATTAGAATGGAAAGGAAAGGAATCACCATGAGTGGAATGGAATGGAAAGGAATGGAATGGAAACTAATGGAACGGAATGGAAACAACCCGAGTGGAATGGAATGAAATGGAATGGAATGGAATGGGATGGAATGGAATGGAATACAACAAAATGGAAACAAACCGAGTGGAATGGCATGGAATGGAAAGGATTTGAATATAATGGAATGGATTGGAATCAACCCGATTAGAAACTAATGGAATGGAATGGAATGGAATGGAATGGAATGGAATGGAATGGAATCTACCCGAGTGGAATGGAATGGAATGGAATTTACTGGAATGGAATGGAATAGAATGGTATGGAATCAACCCAAGTGGAATGGTATAGAATGGAATGTAATGAAACGGAATGGAATGGAATAAAATGGAATGGAATGGAATGGAAACAACCCGAGTGGAATGGAATGGAATAACCGGAGAGGAGTGGAATGGAATGGAGTGGAATGGAATGGAATGGAATGGAATGGAATGGAATGGAATGGAATGGAATCAACCCGAGTGGAATGGAATGGAATGGAATGGAATGGAATGGAATGGAAAGGAATGGAATCAACCCGAGTGGAATGCAATGGAATGAAATGGAATGGAATGGAATGGAACGGAACGGAACGGAACGGAATTGAATGGAATGGAATCAACCCGAGTGGAATGGAATGGAATGGAATGGAATGGAATGGAATGGAATGGAATGGAATGGAATGGAAAGGAATGGAATGGAATGGAATGGAATAACATACAATCAACTTTGGTGGAATGGTATGGAATGGAATGGAATGGAATGGAACAAAAGGGCATGGAATGGAACAGAATCAACCCGAATGGAATGGAACGGAATGGAGTGGAATGGTATGGAATGGAATGGAATGGGAAGGAATCAACCCGAAGGGTATGGAATGGAATGGAATGGAATGGAATGGAATGGAATGGAATGGAATGGAATGGAATGGAATGGAATAAACCTGAGTGGAATGCAATGGAAAGAAATGGAATGGAACAGAATGGAATGGAATGGAATGGAACGGAACGGAACGGAATGGAATTGAATGGAATGGAATCAACCCAAGTGGAATGGAATGGAATGGAATGGAATGGAGTGGAATGGAATGGAATGGAATAGAATGGAATGGAATAGCATGCAATCAACTTTGTAGGAATGGTATGGAATGGAATGGAATGGAATGGAATGGAATGGAATGGAATGGAATGGAATGGAATAAAAGGGCATGGAATGGAATGGAATCAACCCGAGACGAATGGAATGGAATGGAATGGAATGGAATGGAATGGAATTGAATGGAATGGAAATGAATCAAACCGAGTGGAATGTAATGGAATGGAATAGAAAGGAATGGAATGGAAACAATGCAATGCAATGGTATCAGCTGGAATGGAATGCATTGGAATGGAAAGGAATTGAATCACCCTGAGTGGAAAGGAATGGAATGGAATGGAATGGAATGGAATACAATAAAATGGAAACAACCCGAGTGGAATGGCATGGAATGGAAAGGACTTGAATATAATGGAATGGATTGGAATCACCCGATTAGAAACTAATGGAATGGAATGGAATGGAATGGAATGGAATGGAATGGAATGGAATGGAATGGAATCTACCCAAGTGGAATGGAATGGAATGGAATTTAATGGAATGGAATGGAACGGAATGGAATGGAATGGAATGGAATGGAATGGAATGGAATGGAACAGAATGGTATGGAATCAACCCGAGTGGAATGGTATAGAATGTAATGTAATGGAATGGAACGGAATAAAATGGAATGGAATGGAATGGAAACAACCCGAGTGGAATGGAATGGAATGGAATGGAATAACCGGAGAGGAATGGAATGGAATGGAGTGGAATGGAATGGAATAGAATGGAATGGAATGGAATGGATTAGAATGAAATGGAAAGGAATGGAATGGAAACAAACCGAGTGGAATGGAATGGTATGGAATGGAATGGAATAATATGCAATCAACTTTGGTGGAATGGTATGGAATGGAATGGAATGGAATGGAATGGAATGGAATGGAATGGAATGAAAGGGCATGGAATGGAATGGAATCAACCAGAATGGAATGGAGCGGAATGGAGTGGAATGATATGGAATGACATGGAATGGAAGGGAATCAACCCGAAGGGTATGGAATGGAATGGAATGGAATGGAACGGAACGGAACGGAATTGAATGGAATGGAATCAACCCGAGTGGAAAAGGAATGGAAGGGAATGGAATGGAATGGAATAGAATGGAATGGAATAACATGCAATCAACTTTGGTGGAATGGTATGGAATGGAATGGAACGGAATGGAATGGAATGGAATGGAATAAAAGTGCAAGGAATGGAACGGAATCAACCCGAATAGAATAGAAGGGAATGGAGTGGTATGGTATGGAATGGAATGGAATGGAAAGGAATCAACTCGAAGGGAATGGAATGGAATGGAATGGAATGGAATGGAATGGAATGGAATGGAATGGAATCATCCCGAGTGGAATGCAATGGAATGAAATGGAATGGAATGGAACGGAACAGAGAGGAACGGAACGGAATTGAATTGAATGGAATGAACCCGAGTGGAAAGGAATGGAATGGAATGGAATGGAATGGAATGGAATGGAATGCAGTGGAATGGAATAACATGCAGTCAACTTTGGTGGAATGGTATGGAATGGAATGGAATGGAATGGAATAAAAGGGCATGGAATGGAACAGAGTCAACCCGAATGGAATGGAACAGAATGGAGTGGAATGGTATGGAATGTAATGAAATGGAAAGGAATCAACCCGAAGGGTATGGAATGGAATGGAATGCAATGGAATGGAATGGAATGGAATGGAATGGAATGGAATGGAATGGAATGGAATGGAAAGGAATGGAATCAACCCGAGTGGAATACAATGGAATGAAATGGAATGGAATGGAAAGGAATGGAACGGAATTGAAAGGAATGGAATCAACCCGAGTGGAATGGAATGGAATGGAATGGAATGGAATGGAATGGAATGGAATGGAATGGAATGGAATAACATGCAATCAACTTTGGTAGAATGGTATGGAATGGAATGGAATGGAATGGAATGGAATGGAATGGAATTGAATAGAATGGAATAAAAGGGCATGGAATGGAACCAAATCAACCCGAATGGAATGGAACGGAATGGAGTGGATTGGTATGGAATGGAATGGAATGGAAAGGAATCAATCCGAAGGGAATGAAATGGAATGGAATGGAATGGAATGGAATGGAATGGAATGGAATGGAATGGAATGGAATCAACCCGAGTGGAATGCAATGGAATGAAATGTAATGAAATGGAATGGCACGGAACGGGACAGAACGGAACGGAATTGAATGGAATGGAATCAACCCAAGTGGAAAGGAATGGAACGGAATGGAATGGAATAGCATGCAATCAAATTTGGTGGAATGGTATGGAATGGAATGGAATGGAATGGAATGGAATGGAATGGAATGGAATGGAAATGAATCAAATCAAGTGGAATGGAATGGAATGGAATTTAATGGAATGGAATGGAAACAATGCAATTCAATGGTATCAACTGGAATGGAATGCATTGGAATGGAATGGAATGGAATCAACCCGAGTCGAATGGAATGGAATGGAATGCAATGAAATGGAATGGTATGGAATCAACCCTAGTGGAATGGTATGGAATGGAATGGAACGGAACGGAATGGAATGTAATCAACCCGAATGGAATGGAATGGAGTGGAATGGTATGGAATAGAATGGAATGGAAAGGAATCAACCCGAAGGGTATGGAATGGAATGGAATGGAATGGAATGGAATGGAATGGTATGGAATCAACCCGAGTGGAATGCAATGGAATGAAATGCAATGCAATGGAACGGAATGGAACGGAATGGAATGGAACGGAATTGAATGTAATGGAATCAACCCGAGTGGAAAGGAATGGAATGGAATGGAATTGAATGGAATGAAATGGAATGGAATGGAATAACATGCAATCAACTTTGGTGGAATGGTATGGAATGGAATGGAATGGAATGGAATGGAATGGAATGGAATGGAATGGAATGGAATAAAAGGGCATGGAATGGAACGGAATCAACCCGAATGGAATGGAGCGGAATGGAGTGGAATGATATTTAATGGAATGGAAAGGAATCAACCCGAACGGTATGGAATTGAATGGAATGGAATGGAATGGAAAGGAATGGAATGAACTCGAGTGGAATGCAATGGAATGAAATGGAATGGAATGGAATGGAATGGAACGGAACAGAACGGAATTGAATAGAATGGAATCAACTCGAGTGGAATGGAATGGAATGGAATGGAATGGAATGGAATGGAATGGAATGGAATAACATGCAATCAACTTCGGTGGAATGGTATGGAATGGAATGGAATGGAATGGAATGGAATGGAATGGAATGGAATAACATGCAATCAACTTTGGTGGAATGGTATGGAATGGAATGGAATGGAATGGAATGGAATAAAAGGGCATGGAATGGAACAGAATCAACCCGAATGGAATGGAACGGAATGGAGTGGAATTGTATGGAATGGAATGGAATGGAAACGAATCAACCCGAAGTGTATGGAATGGAATGGAATGGAATGGAATGGAATCAACCCGAGTGGAAAACAATGGAATGAAATGGAATGGAATGGAATGGAATGGAACGGAACGGAACGGAATTGAATGGAATGGAATCAACCCAAGTGGAAAGGAATGGAATGGAATGGAATGGAATGGAATGGAATGGAATGGAATGGAATGGAATAGAATGGAATGCTATGGAATGGAATAGCATGCAATCAACTTTGGTGGAATGGTGTGGAATGGAATGGAATGGAATGGAATGGAATGGAATGGAATGGAATGGAATAAAGGGGCGTGGAATGGAATGGAATCAACCCGAGAGGAATGAAATGGAATGGAATGGAATGGCAATGAATAAAACGGAGTGGAATGGAATGGAATGGAATGGAATGGAATGGATTGGAATGGAATGGAAACAACGCAATGCAATGGTATCAACTGGAATGGAATGCATTGGAATGGAATGGAATGGAATCACCCTGAGTGGAAAGGAATAGAATGGAATGGAATGGAAAGGAATGGAATGGAATGGAAACTAATGGAAAGGAATGGAAACAACCCGAGTGGAATGGAATACAATGGAATGGAATGCAATGGAATGGAATGGAATGCAATGGAATGGAATGCAATGGAATGGAATGGAATGGAATGGAATGGAATGGAATGGAATACAACAAAATGGAAACAACCCGAGTGGAATGGCATGGAATGGAAAGGACTTGAATATAATGGAATGGATTGGAATCAACCCGATTAGAAACTAATGGAATGGAATGGAATGGAATGGAATCTACCCGAGTGGAATGGAATGGAATGGAATTTAATGGAATGGAATGGAATGGAATGGAATGGAATGGAATGGAATGGAATGGAATGCAGTGGAACGGAATGGAATGGAATATAATGGAATCTACCCGAGTGGAATGGAATGGAATGGAATTTATTGGAGTGGAATGGAATAGATTGGTATGGAATCAACCTGAGTGGAATGGTATAGAACGGAATGTAATGGAACGGAATGGAATGGAATAAAATGGAATCGAATGGAATGGAAACAACCCGAGTGGAATGGAATGCAATGGAATGGAATAACCGGAGAGGAATGGAATGGAATGGAGTGGAATCGAATGGAATAGAATGGAATGGAATGGAATGGAATGGAATGAAATGGAAAGGAATGCAATGGAAACAACCCGAGTGGAATGGAATGGAATGGAATGGAATGGAATGGAATGGAATGGCACGGAAACAATGCAATGCAATGGTATCAACTGGAATGGAATGCATTGGAATGGAATGGAATGGAATCACCCTGAGTGGAAAGGAATGGAATGGAATGGAATGGAAACGAATGGAATGGAATGGAAACTAATGGAACGGAATGGAAACAACCCGAGTGGAATGGAATGCAATGGAATGGAATGGAAAGGAATGGAATGGAATGGAATGGAATGGAATGGAATGGAATGGAATGGAATGGAATACAACAAAAGGGAAACAACCCGAGTGGAATGGCATGGAATGGAAAGGACTTGAATAGAATGGAATGGATTGGAATCAACCCGATTAGAAACTAACGAAATGGAATGGAATGGAATCTACCCGAGTGGAATGGAATGGAATGGAATGGAACATGCAATCAACTTTGGTGGAATGGTATGGAATGGAATGGATTGGAATGGAATAAAAGGGCATGGAATGGAACGGAATCAAACAGAATGGAATGGAGCGGAATGGAGTGGAATGGTATGGAATGGAATGGAATGGAAAGGAATCAAACCGAAGGGTATGGAATGGAATTGAATGGAATGCAAAGGAATGGAATCAACCCTAGTGGAATGCAATGGAATGAAACGCAATGGAATGGAACGGAAAGAAACGGAACGGAATGGAACGGAATTGAATGGAGTGGAATCAACCCGAGTGGAAAGGAATGGAATGGAATGGAATGGAATAACATGCAATCAACTTTTTGGAATGGTATGGAATGGAATGGAATGGAATAAAAGGGCATGGAATGGAACAGAATCAACCCGAATGGAATGGAACGGAATGAAGTGGAATGGTATAGAATGGAATGGAATGGAAAGGAATCAACCCGAAGGGTATGGAATGGAATGGAATGGAATGGAATGGAATGGAATGGAATGGAACGGAATGGAATCAACCCCAGTGGAATGCAATGGAATGGAATGGAATGGAATGGAACGGAACGGAATGGAATGGAATGCAATGGAATGGAATCTACCTGAGTGGAATGGAATGGAATGGAATAAAATGGAATGGAATGGAATGGAAACAACTCGAGTGGAATGGAATGGAATGGAATGGAATAACCAGAGAGGAATGGAATGGAATGGAGTGGAATGGAATGAAATAGAATGGAATGGAATGGAATGGAATGGAATGGAATGGAATGGAATGGAATAGAATGAAATGGAAAGGAATGGAATGGAAACAACCCGAGTGGAATGGAATGGAATGGAATGGAATGGAATGGAATGGAATGGAATGGAATAAAAGGGCATGGAATGGAACGGAATCAACCCGAATGGAATGGAGCGGAATGGAGTGGAATGGCATGGAATGGAATGGAATGGAAAGGAATCAACCTGAAGGGTATGGAATGGAATGGAATGGAATGGAATGGAATGGAATGGAATGGAATCAACCCGAGTGGAATGCAATGGAATGAAATGGAATGGAATGGAACGGAACGGAACGGAATTGAATGGAATGGAATCAACCCGAGTGGAAAGGAATGGAATGGAATGGAATGGAATAACATGCAATCAATTTTGGTGGAATGGTATGGAATGGAATGGAGTGGAAAGGAATGGAATAAAAGGGCATGGAATGGAATGGAATCAACACAAATGGAATGGAGCGGAATAGAGTGGAATGGTATGGAATGGAATGGAATGGAAAGGAATCAACCCGAAGGGTATGGAATGGAATGGAATGGAATGGAATGGAATGGAATGGAATGGAATGGAATGGAAAGGAATGGAATCAACCCGAGTGGAATGCAATGGAATGAAATGGAATGGAATGGAATGGAACGGAACGGAACGGAACGGAATTGAATGGAATGGAATCAACCCGAGTGGAATGGAATGGAATGGAATGGAATGGAATGGAATGGAATGGAATGGAAAGGAATGGAATGGAATGGAATGGAATAACATACAATCAACTTTGGTGGAATGGTATGGAATGGAATGGAATGGAATGGAACAAAAGGGCATGGAATGGAACAGAATCAACCCGAATGGAATGGAACGGAATGGAGTGGAATGGTATGGAATGGAATGGAATGGGAAGGAATCAACCCGAAGGGTATGGAATGGAATGGAATGGAATGGAATGGAATGGAATGGAATGGAATAAACCTGAGTGGAATGCAATGGAATGAAATGGAATGGAACAGAATGGAATGGAATGGAACGGAACGGAACGGAATGGAATTGAATGGAATGGAATCAACCCAAGTGGAATGGAATGGAATGGAATGGAATGGAATGGAATGGAATGGAATGGAATGGAATGGAGTGGAATGGAATGGAATGGAATAGAATGGAATGGAATAGCATGCAATCAACTGTGTTGGAATGGTATGGAATGGAATGGAATGGAATGGAATGGAATGGAATGGAGTGGAATGGGATGGAATAAAAGGGCATGGAATGGAATGGAATGGAATCAACCCGAGACGAATGGAATGGAATGGAATTGAATGGAATGGAAATGAATCAAACCGAGTGGAATGTAATGTAATGGAATAGAAAGGAATGGAATGGAAACAATGCAATGCAATGGTATCAGCTGGAATGGAATGCATTGGAATGGAATGGAATTGAATCACCCTGAGTGGAAAGGAATGGAATGGAATGGAATGGAATGGAATGGAATGGAATGGAATCGAAAGGAATGGAATGGAATGGAAACTAATGGAACGGAATGGAAACAACCAGAGTGGAATGGAATGCAATGGAATGGAATGGAATGGAATGGAATGGAATGGAATGGAATGGAATGGAATGGAATGGAATACAACAAAATGGAAACAACCCGAGTGGAATGGCATGGAATGGAAAGGACTTGAATATCATGGAATGGATTGGAATCACCCGATTAGAAACTAATAGAATGGAATGGAATGGAATGGAATGGAATGGAATGGAATGGAATGGAATGGAATACAACAAAATGGAAACAACCCGAGTGGAATGGCATGGAATGGAAAGGACTTGAATATAATGGAATGGATTGGAATCACCCGATTAGAAACTAATGGAATGGAATGGAATGGAATGGAATGGAATGGAATGGAATGGAATGGAATAAACCTGAGTGGAATGCAATGGAAAGAAATGGAATGGAACAGAATGGAATGGAATGGAATGGAACGGAACGGAACGGAATGGAATTGAATGGAATGGAATCAACCCAAGTGGAATGGAATGGAATGGAATGGAATGGAGTGGAATGGAATGGAATGGAATAGAATGGAATGGAATAGCATGCAATCAACTTTGTAGGAATGGTATGGAATGGAATGGAATGGAATGGAATGGAATGGAATGGAATGGAATGGAATAAAAGGGCATGGAATGGAATGGAATCAACCCGAGACGAATGGAATGGAATGGAATGGAATGGAATGGAATTGAATGGAATGGAAATGAATCAAACCGAGTGGAATGTAATGGAATGGAATAGAAAGGAATGGAATGGAAACAATGCAATGCAATGGTATCAGCTGGAATGGAATGCATTGGAATGGAAAGGAATTGAATCACCCTGAGTGGAAAGGAATGGTATGGAATGGAATGGAATAACATGCAATCAACTTTGGTGGAATGGTATGGAATGGAATGGAATGGAATGGAATGGAATGGAATGGAATGGAATGGAATGGAACAGAATGGTATGGAATCAACCCGAGTGGAATGGTATAGAATGTAATGTAATGGAATGGAACGGAATAAAATGGAATGGAATGGAATGGAAACAACCCGAGTGGAATGGAATGGAATGGAATGGAATAACCGGAGAGGAATGGAATGGAATGGAGTGGAATGGAATGGAATAGAATGGAATGGAATGGAATGGATTAGAATGAAATGGAAAGGAATGGAATGGAAACAAACCGAGTGGAATGGAATGGTATGGAATGGAATGGAATAATATGCAATCAACTTTGGTGGAATGGTATGGAATGGAATGGAATGGAATGGAATGGAATGGAATGGAATGAAAGGGCATGGAATGGAATGGAATCAACCAGAATGGAATGGAGCGGAATGGAGTGGAATGATATGGAATGACATGGAATGGAAGGGAATCAACCCGAAGGGTATGGAATGGAATGGAATGGAATGGAACGGAACGGAACGGAATTGAATGGAATGGAATCAACCCGAGTGGAAAAGGAATGGAAGGGAATGGAATGGAATGGAATAGAATGGAATGGAATAACATGCAATCAACTTTGGTGGAATGGTATGGAATGGAATGGAACGGAATGGAATGGAATGGAATGGAATAAAAGTGCAAGGAATGGAACGGAATCAACCCGAATAGAATAGAAGGGAATGGAGTGGTATGGTATGGAATGGAATGGAATGGAAAGGAATCAACTCGAAGGGAATGGAATGGAATGGAATGGAATGGAATGGAATGGAATGGAATCATCCCGAGTGGAATGCAATGGAATGAAATGGAATGGAATGGAACGGAACAGAGAGGAACGGAACGGAATTGAATTGAATGGAATGAACCCGAGTGGAAAGGAATGGAATGGAATGGAATGGAATGGAATGGAATGGAATGGAATGGAATGGAATGGAGTGGAATGGAATAACATGCAGTCAACTTTGGTGGAATGGTATGGAATGGAATGGAATGGAATGGAATAAAAGGGCATGGAATGGAACAGAGTCAACCCGAATGGAATGGAACAGAATGGAGTGGAATGGTATGGAATGTAATGAAATGGAAAGGAATCAACCCGAAGGGTATGGAATGGAATGGAATGCAATGGAATGGAATGGAATGGAATGGAATGGAATGGAATGGAATGGAATGGAATGGAAAGGAATGGAATCAACCCGAGTGGAATACAATGGAATGAAATGGAATGGAATGGAAAGGAATGGAACGGAATTGAAAGGAATGGAATCAACCCGAGTGGAATGGAATGGAATGGAATGGAATGGAATGGAATGGAATGGAATGGAATGGAATGGAATAACATGCAATCAACTTTGGTAGAATGGTATGGAATGGAATGGAATGGAATGGAATGGAATGGAATGGAATGGAATAGAATGGAATAAAAGGGCATGGAATGGAACCAAATCAACCCGAATGGAATGGAACGGAATGGAGTGGATTGGTATGGAATGGAATGGAATGGAAAGGAATCAATCCGAAGGGAATGGAATGGAATGGAATGGAATGGAATGGAATGGAATGGAATGGAATGGAATGGAATGGAATCAACCCGAGTGGAATGCAATGGAATGAAATGTAATGAAATGGAATGGCACGGAACGGGACAGAACGGAACGGAATTGAATGGAATGGAATCAACCCAAGTGGAAAGGAATGGAACGGAATGGAATGGAATAGCATGCAATCAAATTTGGTGGAATGGTATGGAATGGAATGGAATGGAATGGAATGGAATGGAATGGAATGGAAATGAATCAAATCAAGTGGAATGGAATGGAATGGAAACAATGCAATTCAATGGTATCAACTGGAATGGAATGCATTGGAATGGAATGGAATGGAATGGAATCAACCCGAGTCGAATGGAATGGAATGGAATGCAATGAAATGGAATGGTATGGAATCAACCCTAGTGGAATGGTATGGAATGGAATGGAACGGAACGGAATGGAATGTAATCAACCCGAATGGAATGGAATGGAGTGGAATGGTATGGAATAGAATGGAATGGAAAGGAATCAACCCGAAGGGTATGGAATGGAATGGAATGGAATGGAATGGAATGGAATGGTATGGAATCAACCCGAGTGGAATGCAATGGAATGAAATGCAATGCAATGGAACGGAATGGAACGGAATGGAATGGAACGGAATTGAATGTAATGGAATCAACCCGAGTGGAAAGGAATGGAATGGAATGGAATTGAATGGAATGAAATGGAATGGAATGGAATAACATGCAATCAACTTTGGTGGAATGGTATGGAATGGAATGGAATGGAATGGAATGGAATGGAATGGAATGGAATAAAAGGGCATGGAATGGAACGGAATCAACCCGAATGGAATGGAGCGGAATGGAGTGGAATGATATTTAATGGAATGGAAAGGAATCAACCCGAACGGTATGGAATTGAATGGAATGGAATGGAATGGAAAGGAATGGAATGAACTCGAGTGGAATGCAATGGAATGAAATGGAATGGAATGGAATGGAATGGAACGGAACAGAACGGAATTGAATAGAATGGAATCAACTCGAGTGGAATGGAATGGAATGGAATGGAATGGAATGGAATGGAATGGAATGGAATAACATGCAATCAACTTCGGTGGAATGGTATGGAATGGAATGGAATGGAATGGAATGGAATGGAATGGAATGGAATAACATGCAATCAACTTTGGTGGAATGGTATGGAATGGAATGGAATGGAATGGAATGGAATAAAAGGGCATGGAATGGAACAGAATCAACCCGAATGGAATGGAACGGAATGGAGTGGAATTGTATGGAATGGAATGGAATGGAAACGAATCAACCCGAAGTGTATGGAATGGAATGGAATGGAATGGAATGGAATCAACCCGAGTGGAAAACAATGGAATGAAATGGAATGGAATGGAATGGAATGGAACGGAACGGAACGGAATTGAATGGAATGGAATCAACCCAAGTGGAAAGGAATGGAATGGAATGGAATGGAATGGAATGGAATGGAATGGAATGGAATAGAATGGAATGCTATGGAATGGAATAGCATGCAATCAACTTTGGTGGAATGGTGTGGAATGGAATGGAATGGAATGGAATGGAATGGAATGGAATAAAGGGGCGTGGAATGGAATGGAATCAACCCGAGAGGAATGAAATGGAATGGAATGGAATGGCAATGAATAAAACGGAGTGGAATGGAATGGAATGGAATGGAATGGAATGGATTGGAATGGAATGGAAACAACGCAATGCAATGGTATCAACTGGAATGGAATGCATTGGAATGGAATGGAATGGAATCACCCTGAGTGGAAAGGAATAGAATGGAATGGAATGGAAAGGAATGGAATGGAATGGAAACTAATGGAAAGGAATGGAAACAACCCGAGTGGAATGGAATACAATGGAATGGAATGCAATGCAATGGAATGGAATGCAATGGAATGGAATGCAATGGAATGGAATGGAATGGAATGGAATGGAATGGAATGGAATACAACAAAATGGAAACAACCCGAGTGGAATGGCATGGAATGGAAAGGACTTGAATATAATGGAATGGATTGGAATCAACCCGATTAGAAACTAATGGAATGGAATGGAATGGAATGGAATCTACCCGAGTGGAATGGAATGGAATGGAATTTAATGGAATGGAATGGAATGGAATGGAATGGAATGGAATGGAATGGAATGGAATGGAATGCAGTGGAACGGAATGGAATGGAATATAATGGAATCTACCCGAGTGGAATGGAATGGAATGGAATTTATTGGAGTGGAATGGAATAGATTGGTATGGAATCAACCTGAGTGGAATGGTATAGAACGGAATGTAATGGAACGGAATGGAATGGAATAAAATGGAATCGAATGGAATGGAAACAACCCGAGTGGAATGGAATGCAATGGAATGGAATAACCGGAGAGGAATGGAATGGAATGGAGTGGAATCGAATGGAATAGAATGGAATGGAATGGAATGGAATGGAATGAAATGGAAAGGAATGCAATGGAAACAACCCGAGTGGAATGGAATGGAATGGAATGGAATGGAATGGAATGGAATGGCACGGAAACAATGCAATGCAATGGTATCAACTGGAATGGAATGCATTGGAATGGAATGGAATGGAATCACCCTGAGTGGAAAGGAATGGAATGGAATGGAATGGAAACGAATGGAATGGAATGGAAACTAATGGAACGGAATGGAAACCACCCGAATGGAATGGAATGCAATGGAATGGAATGGAAAGGAATGGAATGGAATGGAATGGAATGGAATGGAATGGAATGGAATGGAATGGAATGGAATGGAATACAACTGAAGGGAAACGACCCGAGTGGAATGGCATGGAATGGAAAGGACTTGAATAGAATGGAATGGATTGGAATCAACCCGATTAGAAACTAACGAAATGGAATGGAATGGAATCTACCCGAGTGGAATGGAATGGAATGGAATTTAATGGAATGGAATGGAATGGAATGGAATGGAATGGAATGGAACGGAACGGAATGGAATGGAATGCAATGGAATGGAATCTACCTGAGTGGAATGGAATGGAATGGAATAAAATGGAATGGAATGGAATGGAAACAACTCGAGTGGAATGGAATGGAATGGAATGGAATAACCAGAGAGGAATGGAATGGAATGGAGTGGAATGGAATGAAATAGAATGGAATGGAATGGAATGGAATGGAATGGAATGGAATGGAATGGAATGGAATGGAATAGAATGAAATGGAAAGGAATGGAATGGAAACAACCCGAGTGGAATGGAATGGAATGGAATGGAATGGAATGGAATGGAATGGAATGGAATGGAATGGAATGGAATAAAAGGGCATGGAATGGAACGGAATCAACCCGAATGGAATGGAGCGGAATGGAGTGGAATGGCATGGAATGGAATGGAATGGAAAGGAATCAACCTGAAGGGTATGGAATGGAATGGAATGGAATGGAATGGAATGGAATGGAATGGAATGGAATGGAATCAACCCGAGTGGAATGCAATGGAATGAAATGGAATGGAATGGAACGGAACGGAACGGAATTGAATGGAATGGAATCAACCCGAGTGGAAAGGAATGGAATGGAATGGAATGGAATAACATGCAATCAATTTTGGTGGAATGGTATGGAATGGAATGGAGTGGAAAGGAATGGAATAAAAGGGCATGGAATGGAATGGAATCAACCCAAATGGAATGGAGCGGAATAGAGTGGAATGGTATGGAATGGAATGGAATGGAAAGGAATCAACCCGAAGGGTATGGAATGGAATGGAATGGAATGGAATGGAATGGAATGGAATGGAAAGGAATGGAATCAACCCGAGTGGAATGCAATGGAATGAAATGGAATGGAATGGAATGGAACGGAACGGAACGGAACGGAATTGAATGGAATGGAATCAACCCGAGTGGAATGGAATGGAATGGAATGGAATGGAATGGAATGGAATGGAATGGAATGGAATGGAAAGGAATGGAATGGAATGGAATGGAATAACATACAATCAACTTTGGTGGAATGGTATGGAATGGAATGGAATGGAATGGAACAAAAGGGCATGGAATGGAACAGAATCAACCCGAATGGAATGGAACGGAATGGAGTGGAATGGTATGGAATGGAATGGAATGGGAAGGAATCAACCCGAAGGGTATGGAATGGAATGGAATGGAATGGAATGGAATGGAATGGAATGGAATAAACCTGAGTGGAATGCAATGGAATGAAATGGAATGGAACAGAATGGAATGGAATGGAACGGAACGGAACGGAATGGAATTGAATGGAATGGAATCAACCCAAGTGGAATGGAATGGAATGGAATGGAATGGAATGGAATGGAATGGAATGGAATGGAATGGAGTGGAATGGAATGGAATGGAATAGAATGGAATGGAATAGCATGCAATCAACTGTGTTGGAATGGTATGGAATGGAATGGAATGGAATGGAATGGAATGGAATGGAGTGGAATGGGATGGAATAAAAGGGCATGGAATGGAATGGAATCAACCCGAGACGAATGGAATGGAATGGAATTGAATGGAATGGAAATGAATCAAACCGAGTGGAATGTAATGTAATGGAATAGAAAGGAATGGAATGGAAACAATGCAATGCAATGGTATCAGCTGGAATGGAATGCATTGGAATGGAATGGAATTGAATCACCCTGAGTGGAAAGGAATGGAATGGAATGGAATGGAATGGAATGGAATGGAATGGAATGGAATCGAAAGGAATGGAATGGAATGGAAACTAATGGAACGGAATGGAAACAACCAGAGTGGAATGGAATGCAATGGAATGGAATGGAATGGAATGGAATGGAATGGAATGGAATGGAATGGAATGGAATGGAATACAACAAAATGGAAACAACCCGAGTGGAATGGCATGGAATGGAAAGGACTTGAATATCATGGAATGGATTGGAATCACCCGATTAGAAACTAATAGAATGGAATGGAATGGAATGGAATGGAATGGAATGGAATGGAATGGAATGGAATACAACAAAATGGAAACAACCCGAGTGGAATGGCATGGAATGGAAAGGACTTGAATATAATGGAATGGATTGGAATCACCCGATTAGAAACTAATGGAATGGAATGGAATGGAATGGAATGGAATGGAATGGAATGGAATGGAATCTACCCAAGTGGAATGGAATGGAATGGAATTTAATGGAATAGAATGGAACGGAATGGAATGGAACAGAATGGTATGGAATCAACCCGAGTGGAATGGTATAGAATGTAATGTAATGGAACGGAACGGAATAAAATGGAATGGAATGGAATGGAAACAACCCGAGTGGAATGGAATGGAATGGAATGGAATAACCGGAGAGGAATGGAATGGAATGGAGTGGAATGGAATGGAATAGAATGGAATGGAATGGAATGGATTAGAATGAAATGGAAAGGAATGGAATGGAAACAAACCGAGTGGAATGGAATGGAATGGAATGGAATGGAATGGAATGGAATGGAATGGAATCAACCCGAGTGGAATGGAATGGAACGGAATATAATGGAATGGAATGGAATCATCCCGAGTGGAATGGAATGGTATGGAAAGCAATAGAATGGAATGGAACAGAACGGAATGAAATGGAATGGAATAGATTGAATGCGAGTGGAATTGAATGGAATGGAATGGATTGGAATGGAATGGAATGGATTGGAGTGGAATGGAATGGAATCAACACGAATGGAATGGAACGGAAAGGAATGGAATGGAAAGGAACGGAATGGAATCAACCCGAGTGGAATGGAATGGAATGGAACAGAATTGAATCCAATGGAATCAACTGGAATGGAATGGAATAGAATCAATCTCGGTTGAATTGAATGTAATGTAATGGAGTGGAATGGAATGGAAAGAAGTGGAATGGAATGGAATGGAATGGAATGGAATGGAATGGAATAGAATGGAATGGAATGGTATAGAATCAACCCGAATGGAATGGAACGGAATGGAATGGAATGGAAAGGAAGAGAATAGAATGGAATCAACCCGAATGGGATGGAATGGAATGGAATGGAATGGAATGGAATGGAATGGAATGGAATGGAATGGAATCAACCGGAGTGGAGTGGAACGGAATGGATTGGAATGGAATGGAATGGAATGGAATGGAATGGAATGAAATGGAAAGGAACGGAATGGAATCAAACCGAGTGGAATGGAATGGAATGGAATGGAATGGAATGGAATGGAATGGAATGGAATGGAATCCACCTGAGTGGAATGGAATTGAACAGAATATAATGGAATTGAAAGGAATCATCCCGAGTGGAATGGAATGGTATCTAATGCAATGGACTGCAATGGAACAGAACGGAATGGAATGGAAAGAATAGATTGAATCCAGGTGGAATTGAATGGAATGGAATGGATTGGAAAGGAATGGAATGGATTGGAATGGAAAGGAATGGATTCAACCCGAGTGGAATGTAATGGATTGGAATGGAGTGGAATGGAATGGAATGGAATCAACACGAAAGGAATGGAACGGAACGGAATGGAATGGAATGGAATGGTATGGATTGGAATGGCATCAACACGAATGGAATGGAACGGAATGGAATAGAATGGAATGAAATGGAATGGAATGGAATGGAATGCAATGGAATGGAATGCAATGGAAAGGAATGGAATGGAATCAACCCAAGTGGAATGGAATGGAATGGAATGGAATGGAATGGAATGGAATGGAAGGGAATCAACACGAGTGGAATGGAATGGAATGGAATGCAATAGAATGGAATGGAATGGAATGGAATGGGATGGAATGGAATGGAATCAACACAAATGGAATGGAATGGAAAGGAATAGAATGGAAAGGAATGGAATGCAATGGAATGGAAAGAAATGGAATAAACCCGAATGGAATGGAATGGAATGGAGTGGAATGGAATAAACACCAGTGGAATGAAATCGAATGGAATGAAATGGAATGGAATGGAATCAACCCGAGTAGAATGTAACAGAATGGAATGGAATGGAATGGAATGGAAAGGAATGGAATCAACTGGAATGGAATGAAATGGAATGGAATGGAGTGGAATGGAATGGAATGCAATGGAATCAACACGAATGGAATGCAATGGAATGGATTGGAATGGAATGGAATGGAATGGAACGGAACGGAATGGAATGGAATGAACCCGAATGCAATGGAACGGAATGCAATGGATTGGAATGGAATGGAATGGAATCAACCAGAGTGCAATGAAATGTAATGGAATGGAGTGGAATGGAATGGAATTGAATGGAATGGAATCAACCCGAATGGAATGGAATGGAATGGAATGGAATGGAATGGAATGGAATGGAATGGAATGGAATGCATTTGAATGGAATGGAACGCAATGGAATCAACTGGAATGGAATGAAATGGAATGGAATGGAAAGGAACTGAATCAACCTGAATGGAATGGAATGGAATGGAATGGAATGGAATGGAATGGAATGGAATCAACTGGAATGGAATGGAATAGAATGGAATCAACCCGAGTGGATTGGAAAAAATGGAATGGAATGGAATGGAATCAAGCCGAGTGGAACGGAATGGAATGGAATGGAAAGGAATGGAATGGAATGGAATCAACCCGAGTGGAAAGGAATGGAATGGAATGGAATGGAATGGAATGGAATGGAACGGAATGGAATGGAATGGAATGGAATGCAATGGAATCAACTGGAATGGAATGGAATGGAATGGAATGGAATGGAATGGAATGGAATGGAACGGAATCAACCTGAGTCAAATGGAATGGAATGGCATGGAATGGAATGGAATGGAATGGAATGGAATAGAATAGAATGGAAAGGTATGGAATGCAATGGAATGGAATTGAATGGAATGGAACGGAACGGAACGGAATGGAATGGAATGGAATGGACCCCAATGGAATTGAATGGAATGGAATGGATTGGAATGGAATGGAACGGAATTAACCTGAGTGGAATGGAATGTAATGGAATGGAGTGGAATGGAATGGAATGGAATGGAGTGGAATGGAATGGAATGGAATGGAGTGGAATGGAATGGAATGGAATGGAATGGAAAGGAATCAACTCGAAGGGAATGGAATGGAATGGAATGGAATGGAATGGAATGGAATGGAATGGAATGGAATGGAATCATCCCGAGTGGAATGCAATGGAATGAAATGGAATGGAATGGAACGGAACAGAAAGGAACGGAACGGAATTGAATGGAATGGAATGAACCCGAGTGGAAAGGAATGGAATGGAATGGAATGGAATGGAATGGAATGGAATGGAATGGAACAACATGCAATCAACTTTGGTGGAATGGTATGGAATGGAATGGAATGGAATGGAATAGAATGGAATAAAAGGGCATGGAAAGAACCAAATCAACCCGAATGGAATGGAACGGAATGGTATGGAATGGAATGGAATGGAAAGGAATTAACCCGAAGGGAATGGAATGGAATGGAATGGAAAGGAATGGAATGGAATTAACCCTAGTGGAATGCAATGGAATGAAATGTAATGAAATGGAATGGAATGGAACGGGACAGAACGGAACGGAATTGAATGGAATGGAATCAACCCAAGTGGAAAGGAATGGAATTGAATGGAATGGAACGGAATGGAATGGAATAGCATGCAATCAACTTTGGTGGAATGGTATGGAATGGAATGGAATGGAATGCAATGGAATGGAAATGAATCAAACCGAGTGGAAAGGAATGGAATTGAATGAAATGGAATGGAATGGAATGGAACGGAATGGAAACAATGCAATTCAATGGTATCAACTGGAATGGAATGGAATTGAATGGAATGGAATGGAATGGAATGGAACGGAATGGAAACAATGCAATTCAATGGTATCAACTGGAATGGAATGCATTGGAATGGAATGGAATGGAATCAACACGAGTGGAATGGAATGGAATGGAATGGAATGGAATGGAATGGAATGGAATGGTATGGAATCAACCCTAGTGGAATGGTATGCAATGGAATGGAACGGAACGGAATGGAATGCAATCAACCCAAATGGAATGGAATAGAATGGAGTGGAATGGTATGGAATGGAATAGAATGGAAAGGAATCAACCTGAAGGGTATGGAATGGAACGGAATGGAATGGAACGGAATGGAATGGAATGGAATGGAATGGAATGGAATGGAATAAAAGGGCATGGAATGGAACGGAATCAACCCGAATGGAATGGAGCGGAATGGAGTGGAATGATATTTAATGGAATGGAAAGGAATCAACCCGAAGGGTATGGAATAGAATGGAATGGAATAGAATGGAAAGGAATGGAATCAACTCGAGTGCAATGCAATGGAATGAAATGGAATGGAATGGAATGGAACGGAACAGAACAGAACGGAATTGAATAGAATGGAATCAAACTGAGTGGAAAGGAATGGAATGGAATGGAATGGAATGGAATGGAATGGAATAACATGCAATCAACTTTTGTGGAATGGTATGGAATGGAATGGAATGGAATGGAATGGAATGGAATGGAATAAAAGGACATGGAATGGAACAGAATCAACCTGAATGGAATGGAACGGAATGGAGTGGAATTGTATGGAATGGAATGGAATGGAAAGGAATCAACCCGAAGTGTATGGAATGGAATGGAATGGAATGGAATGGAATGGAATCAAACCGAGTGGAATGCAATGGAATGAAATGGAATGGAATGGAATGGAATGGAATGGAATGGAATGGAATGGAATGGAACGGAATGGAACGGAACAGAATTGAATGGAATGGAATCAACCCAAGTGGAAAGGAATGGAATGGAATGGAATGGAATGGAATGGAATGGAATGGAATGGAATGGTATGGAATGGAATAGCATGCAATCAACTTTGGTGGAATGTTATGGAATGGAATGGAATGGAATGGAATGGAATGGAATGGAATGGAATGGAATGGAATGGAATAAAGGGGCATGGAATGGAATGGAATCAACCCGAGAGGAATGAAATGGAATGGAATGGAATGGAATGGAATGGAATGGCAATGAATAAAATCGAGTGGAATGAAATGGAATGGAATGGAATGGAATGGAATGGAATGGAATGGATTGGAATGGAATGGAAACAACGCAATGCAATGGTATCAACTGGAATGGAATGCATTGGAATGGAATGGAATGGAATCACCCTGAGTGGAAAGGAATAGAATGGAATGGAACGGAAAGGAATGGAATGGAATGGAAACTAATGGAAAGGAATGGAAACAACCAAGTGGAATGGAATGCAATGGAATGGAATGCAATGGAATGGAATGGAATGGAATACAACAAAATGGAAACAATCCGAGTGGAATGGCATGGAATGGAAAGCACTTGAATATAGTGGAATGGATTAGAATCAACCAGATTAGAAACTAATGGAATGGAATGGAATGGAATGGAATCTACCCGAGTGGAATGGAATGGAATGGAATTTAATGGAATGGAATGGAATGCAATGGAACGAAATGGAATGGAATCTACCCGAGTGGAATGGAATGGAATGGAATTTAATGGAATGGAATGGAATGCAATGGAACGAAATGGAATGGAATCTACCCGAGTGGAATGGAATGGAATGGAATTTAATGGAGTGGAAAGGAATAGGATGGTATGGAATCAACCTGAGTGGAATGGTAAAGAATGGAATGTAATGGAACGGAATGGATTGGAATAAAATGGAATCGAATGGAATGGAAAAAACCCGAGTGGGAAGGAATGCAATGGAATGGAATAACCGGAGAGGAATGGAATGGAATGGAGTGGAATCGAATGGAATTGAATGGAATGGAATGGAATGGAATAGAATGAAATGGAAAGGAATGGAACGGAAACAACACGAGTGGAATGGAATGGAAAGCAATAGAATGGCATGGAAACAATGCAATGCAATGGTATCAACTGGAATGGAATGCATTGGAATGGAATGGAATGGAATCGCCCTGAGTGGAAAGGAATGGAATAGAATGGAATGGAAAGGAATGGAATGGAATGGAAACTAATGGAACGGAATGGAAACAACCCGAGTGGAATGGAATGCAATGGATTGGAATGGAATGGAATGGAATGGAATACAACAAAATGGAAACAACCCGAGTGGAATGGCATGGAATCGAAAGGACTTGAATAGAATGGAATGGATTGGAATCAACCCGATTAGAAACTAATGGAATGGAATGGAATGGAATCTACCCGAGTGGAATGGAATGGAATGGATTTTAATGGAATGGAATGGGATGGAATGGAATGGAATGGAATGGAATGGAATGGAATGGAACGGAACGGAATAGAATGGAATGCAATGGAATGGAATCTACCCGAGTGGAATGGAATGGAATGGAATTTAATGGAATGGAATGGAATAGAATGGTATGAAATCAACCCGAGTGGAATGGTATAGAATGGAATGTAATGGAACGGAATGGAATGGAATAAAATGGAATGGAATGGAATGGAAACAACTCGAGAGGAATGCAATGGAATGGAATAAAAGGGCATGGAATGGAATCACCCTGAGTGGAAAGGAATGGAATGGAATGGAATGGAAAGCAATGGAATGGAATGGAAACTAATGGAATGGAATGGAAAAAACCCGAGTGGAATGGAATGCAATGGATTGGAATGGAATGGAATGGAATAAAACAAAATGGAAACAACCCGAGTGGAATGGCATGGAATAGAAAGGACTTGAATAGAATGGAATGGATTGGAATCAACCCGATTAGAAACTAATGGAATGGAATGGAATGGAATCTACCCGAGTGGAATGGAATGGAATGGAATTTAATGGAATGGAATGGAATGGAATGGAGTGGAATGGAATGGAATGGAACGGAACGGAATGGAATGGAATGCAATGGAATGGAATCTACCCGAGTGGAATGGAATGGAATGGAATTTATTGGAATGGTATGGAATAGAATGGTATGAAATCAACCCAAGTGGAATGGTATAGAATGGAATGTAATGGAACGGAATGGAATGGAATAAAATGGAATGGAATGGAATGGAAACAACTCGAGTGGGATGGAATGGAATGGAATGGAATAACCGGAGAGGAATGGAATGGAATGCAGTGGAATGGAATGGAATAGAATGGAATGGAATGGAATGGAATAGAATGAAATGGAAAGGAATGGAATGGAAACAACCCGAGTGGAATGGAATGGAATGGAATGGAATGGAATGGAATGGAATGGAATGGAATGGAATGCAATGGAATGGAATAAAAGGGCATGGAATGGAACGGAATCAACCCGAATGGAATGGAGCGAAACGGAGTGGAATGGGATGGAATGGAATGGAATGGAAAGGAATCAACCTGAAGGGTATGGAATGGAATGGAATTGAATGGAATCAACCCGAGTGGAATGCAATGGAATGAAATGGAATGGAATGGAACGGAACGGAACGGAATTGAATGGAATGGAACCAACCCGAGTGGAAAGGAATAGAATGGAATTGAATGGAATAACATGCAATCAACTTTGGTGGAATGGTATGGAATGTAATGGAATGTAATGGAATGGAATGGAATGGAATGGAATAAAAGGGCATGGAATGGAACGGAATCAACCCGAATGGAATGGAGTGGAATGGAGTGGAATGGTATGGAATGGAATGGAATGGAAAGGAATCAAACCGAAGGGTATGGAATGTAATGGAATGGAACGGAATGGAATGAAAAGGAATGGAATGGAATCAACCCGAGTGGAATGCAATGGAATGAAATGGAATGGAATGGAATGCAACGGAACGGAACGGAACGGAATTGAATGGAATGGAATCAATCCGAGTGGAATGGAATGGAATGGAATGGAATGCAATGGAATGGAATGGAATGGAATGGAATGGAATAACATGCAATCAACTTTGGTGGAATGGTATGGAATGGAATGGAAAGGAATGGAATGGAATAACATGCAATCAACTTTGGTGGAATGGTATGGAATGGAATGGAATGGAATGGAATGGAATGGAATAAAAGGGAATGGAATGGAACAGAATCAACCCGAATGGAATGGAATGGAATGGAGTGGAATGGTATGGAATGGAATGGAATGGGAAGGAATCAACCCGAAGGGTATGGAATGGAATGGAATGGAATGGAATGGAATGGAATGCAATGGAATGGAAAGGAATGGAATGGAATCAACCTGAGTGGAATGCAATGGAATGAAATGGAATGGAACAGAATGGAATGGAATGGAACAGAACGGAACGGAACGGAATTGAATGGAATGGAATCAACCCAAGTGGAATGGAATGGAATGGAATGGAATGGAATGGAATGGAATGGAATGGAATGGAATGGAATGGAATGGAATAGCATGCAATCAACTTTGGTGGAATGGTATGGAATGGAATGGAATGGAATGAAAATGAATCAAACCGAGTGGAATGTAATGTAATGGAATGGAAAGGAATGGAATGGAAACAATACAATGCAATGGTATAAACTGGAATGGAATGCATTGGAATGGAACGGAATTGAATGACCCTGAGTGGAAAGGAATGGAATGGAATGGAATGGAAAGGAAAGGAATGGAATGGAATGGAAACTAATGGAATGGAATGGAAACAACCAGAGTGGAATGGAATGCAATGGAATTGAATGCAATGGAATGGAATGGAATGGAATACAACAAAATGGAAACAACCCGAGTGGAATGGCATGGAATGGAAAGGACTTGAATATAATGGAATGGATTGGAATCAACCCGATTAGAAACTAAAGGAATGGAATGGAATGGAATGGAATGGAATCTACCAAAGTGGAATGGAATGGAATGGAATTTAATGGAATGGAATGGAATGGAATGGAATGGAATGGAATGGAATGGAATGGAACGGAATTGAATGGAATGGAATGGAATAGAATGGAATGGAATGGATTGGAATGGAATGGAATGGAATCAACCCGAGTGGAATGGAATGGAATGGAGTGGAGTGGAATGGAATGGAATGGAAAGGAATGGAATGAAATGGAATGGAAAGGAATCAGCCCGAGTGGAGTGGAATGGAATGGAATTTCATGGAATGGAATGGAATAAAATGGAATGGAATGGAATGGAATCAACTCGAGTGAAATTGAATGGAATGAAATGGAATGGAATCAACCGGAGTGGAGTGGAATTTAATGGAGTGGAATGGAATGGAATGGAATGGAATGGAATGGAATGGAATGGAATGGAATGAAATGGAAAGGAACGGAATGGAATCAACCCGAGTGGAATGGAATGGAATGGAATGGAATGGAATGCAATCCACCCGAGTGAAATGGAATGGAATGGAATGCAATGGAATTGAACGGAATATAATGGAATTGAATGGAATCATCCCGAGTGGAATGGAATGGTATCTAATGCAATGGAATGGAATGGAACAGAACGGAACGGAATTGAATGGAATGGAATCAACCCGAGTGGAAAGGAATGGAATGGAATTGAATGGAATAACATGCAATCAACTTTGGTGGAATGGTATGGAATGGAATGGAATGGAATAGAATGGAATGGAATGGAATGGAAAGGAATCAAACTGAAGGGTATGGAATGTAATGGAATGGAACGGAATGGAATGAAAAGGAATGGAATGGAATCAACCCGAGTTTAATGCAATGGAATGAAATGGAATGGAATGGAATGGAACGGAACGGAACGGAATTGAATGGAATGGAATCAATCCGAGTGGAATGGAATGGAATGGAATGGAATGGAATGGAATGGAATGGAATAACATACAATCAACTTTGGTGGAATGGTATGGAATGGAATGGAAAGGAATGGAACGGAATAACATGCAATCAACTTTGGTGGAATGGTATGGAATGGAATGGAAAGGAATGGAATGGAATGGAATAAAAGGGAATGGAATGGAACAGAATCAACCCGAATGGAATGGAACGGAATGGAGTGGAATGGTATGGAATGGAATGGAATGGGAAGGAATCAACCCGAAGGGTATGGAATGGAATGGAATGGAATCAACCTGAGTGGAATGCAATGGAATGAAATGGAATGGAACAGAATGGAATGGAATGGAACGGAACGGAACGGAACGGAACGGAATTGAATGGAATGGAATCAACCCAAGTGGAATGGAATGGAATGGAATGGAATGGAATGGAATGGAATGGAATGGAATGGAATAGCATGCAATCAACTTTGGTGGAATGGTATGGAATGGAATGGAATGGAATGGAATGGAATGGAATGGAATGGAGATGAATCAAACCGAGTGGAATGTAATGTAATGGAATGGAAAGGAATGGAATGGAAAGAATACAATGCTATGTTATCAACTGGAATGGAATGCATTGGAATGGAACGGAATTGAATCACCCTGAGTGGAAAGGAATGGAATGGAATGGAATGGAAAGGAAAGGAATGGAATGGAATGGAAACTAATGGAATGGAATGGAAACAACCAGAGTGGAATGCAATGCAATGGAATGGAATGGAATGGAATACAACAAAATGGAAACAACCCGAGTGGAATGGCAGGGAATGGAAAGGACTTGAATATAATGGAATGGATTGGAATCAACCCGATTAGAAACTAAAGGAATGGAATGGAATGGAATGGAATGGAATGGAATGGAATGGAATGGAATCTACCCAAGTGGAATTTAATGGAATGGAATGGAATGGAATGGAACGGAATTGAATGGAATGGAATGGAATAGAATGGTATGGAATCAACCCGAGTGGAATGGAATAGAATGGAATGGAATGGAATGGAATGGAATAGAATGAAATTGAAAGGAATGGAATGGAAACAACACGAGTGGAATGGAATGGAATGGAATGGAATGGAATGGAATGGAATGAACCCGAATGGAATGGAATGGAATGGAATGGAATGGAATGGAATGGAATGGAATGGATTGGAATGGAATGGAATGGAATCAACCCGAGTGGAATGGAATGGAATGGAGTGGAGTGGAGTGGAATGGAATGGAATGGAAAGGAATGGAATGAAATGGAATGGAAAGGAATCAACCTGAGTGGAGTGGAATGGAATGGAATTTCATGGAATGGAATGGAATAAAATGGAATGGAATGGAATGGAATCAACTCGAGTGAAATGGAATGGAATGAAATGGAATGGAATCAACCGGAGTGGAGTGGAATTTAATGGAGTGGAATGGAATGGAATGGAATGGAATGGAATGGAACGGAATGGAATGGAATGGAATGAAATGGAAAGGAACGGAATGGAATCAACCCGAGTGGAATGGAATGGAATGGAATGCAATGGAATTGAATGGAATATAATGGAATTGAATGAAATCATCCCGAGTGGAATGGAATGGTATCTAATGCAATGGACTGGAATGGAACAGAACGGAATGGAATGGAAAAAATAGATGATTGAATCCAAGTCGAATTGAATGGAATGGAATGGATTGGAAAGGACTGGAATGGATTGGAATGGAAAGGAATGGATTCAACCCGAGTGGAATGTAATGGATTGGAATGGAGTGGAATGGACTGGAATGGAATCAACACAAATGGAATGGAACGGAATGGAATGGAATGGAATGGAATGGAATGGAATGGTATGGAATGAAATGGAAAGGAACGGAATGGAATCAACCCAAGTGGAATGGAATGGAATGGAATGGAAGGGAATCAACACGAGTGGAATGGAATGGAATGGAATGCAATGGAATGGAATGGAACGCAATGGAATGGAATGGAATGGAATGGAATGGAATGGAATCAACCCGAGTGGAGTGGAATGGAATGGAAGGAATCAACCCAAGTGGAATGGAATGGAATGGAATGGAAAGGAGTTGAAAGGAATGGAATGGAATGGAGTGGAATGGAATGGAATGGAATGGAATGGAATCAACCCGAGTGGAATGGAATGGAATGGAATGGAATGGAATGGAATGGAATGGAATGGAATAGAATGGAATGGAATCAACCGGAGTGGAGTGGAATGGAATGGATTGGAATGGAATGGAATGGAATGGAATAGAATGAAATGGAAAGGAACGGACTGGAATCAACCCGAGTGGAATGGAATGGAATGGAATGGAATGGAATGGAATGGAATGGAATGGAATGGAATGGAATCCACCCGAGTGGAATGGAATGGAATGGAATGCAATGGAATTGAACGGAATTTAATGGAATTGAATGGAATCACCCCGAGTGGAATGGAATGGTATCTAATGGAATGGACTGGAATGGAACAGAACGGAATGGAATGGAAAGAATAGAATGAATCCATGTGGAATTGAATGGAATGGAATGGATTGGAAAGGAATGGAATGGATTGGAATGGAAAGGAATGGATACAACCCGAGTGGAATGTAATGGATTGGAATGGAGTGGAATGGAATGGAATGGAATCAACACGAAAGGAATGGAACGGAATGGAATGGAATGGAATGGTATGGATTGGAATGGCATCAACACGAATGGAATGGAACGGAATGGAATGGAATGGAATGGAATGCAATGGAATGGAATGCAATCGAAAGGAACGGAATGGAATCAACACAAGTGGAATGGAATGGAATGGAATGGAAGGGAATCAACACGAGTGGAATGGAATGGAATGGAATGGAATGCAATAGAATGGAATGGAATGGAATGGGATGGAATTCAATGGAATCAACCCGAGTGGAATGGAATGGTATGGAATGCAATGGAATGGAGTGGAACAGAACGGAATGGAATAGAATGGAATTGATTGAATCCGAGTGGAATTGAATGAAAGGGAATGCATTGGAATGGAATGGAAAGGATTCAACCCGAGTGCAATGTAATGGGTTGGAATGCAGTGGAATGGAATGGAATGGAATCAACACAAATGGAATGGAATGGAATGGAATAGAATGGAAAGGAATGGAATGCAATGGAATGGAATGGAATGGAATGAAATGGAATAAACCCGAATGGAATGGAATGGAATGGAATGGAGTGGAATGGAATAAACACCAGTGGAATGAAATCGAATGGAATGAAATGGAATGGAATGGAATCAAACCGAGTAGAATGGAATGGAATGGAATGGAAAGGAATGGAATGGAAAGGAATGGAATCAACTGGAATGGAATGAAATGGAATGGAATGGAGTGGAATGGAATGGAATGCAATGGAATCAACACGAATGGAATGGAATGGAATGGAATGGAATGGAATGGAATGGAATGGAATCAACCCGAGTGGAATGGAATGGAATGGTATGGAATCAACCCGAGTGGAATGGTATGGAATGGAATGGAATGGAACGGAACGGAACGGAACGGAATGGAATGGAATGGAATGGAATGGAATCAACCGGAGTGGAGTGGAATGGAATGGATTGGAATGGAATGGAATGGAATGGAATGGAATGGAATGGAATGGAATGGAGTGGAATGGAATGGAATGAAATGGAAAGGAACGGACTGGAATCAACCCGAGGGGAATGGAATGAAATGGAATGGAATGG
The DNA here is from genome assembly GCF_000001405.40 of Homo sapiens. Taxonomy (NCBI): domain Eukaryota; kingdom Metazoa; phylum Chordata; class Mammalia; order Primates; family Hominidae; genus Homo; species Homo sapiens. The sequence goes on along the minus strand of NW_021159991.1, from coordinate 33,439 downwards.
AATGGAATGGAATGGAATGGAGTGGAATCCACCCGAGTGGAATGGAATGGAATGGAATGCAATGGAATTGAACGGAATATAATGGAATTGAATGGAATCACCCCGAGTGGAATGGAATGGTATCTAATGCAATGGACTGGAATGGAACAGAACGGAATGGAATGTAAAGAATAGATTGAATCCATATGGAATTGAATGGAATGGAATGGATTGAAAGGAATGGAATGGATTGGAATGGAAAGGAATGGATTCAACCCGAGTGGAATGTAATGGATTGGAATGGAGTGGAATGGAATGGAATGGAATGGAATGGAATCAACACGAAAGGAATGGAACGGAATGGAATGGAATGGAATGGAATGGAATGGTATGGATTGGAATGGCATCAACACGAATGGAATGGAACGGAATGGAATGGAATGGAATGGAATGGAATGCAATGGAATGGAATGCAATCGAAAGGAACGGAATGGAATCAACCCAAGTGGAATGGAATGGAATGGAATGGAATGGAATGGAATGGAATGGAAGGGAATCAACACGAGTGGAATGGAATGGAATGGAATGCAATAGAATGGAATGGAATGGAATAGGATGGAATTCAATGGAATCAACCCGAGTGGAATGGAATGGTATAGAATGCAATGGAATGGAGTGGAACAGAACGGAATGGAATAGAATGGAATTGATTGAATCCGAGTGGAATTGAATGGAAGGGAATGCATTGGAATGGAATGGAAAGGATTCAACCCGAGTGCAATGTAATGGATTGGAATGCAGTGGAATGGAATGGAATGGAATGGAATGGAATGGAATGGAATGGAATCGACACAAATGGAATGGAATGGAATGGAATAGAATGGAAAGGAATGGAATGGAATGGAATGAAATGGAATAAACCCGAATGGAATGGAATGGAATGGAGTGGAATGGAATAAACACCAGTGGAATGAAATCGAATGGAATGAAATGGAATGGAATGGAATCAACCCGAGTAGAATGGAATGGAATGGAATGGAAAGGAATGGAATGGAAAGGAATGCAATCAACTGGCATGGAATGATATGGAATGGAATGGAATGGAATGGAATGGAATGGAATAGAATCAACTCGAGTGGAATGGAATGTAATGAAATTGAGTGGAATGGAATGGAATTGAATGGAATGGAATGGAATGCTGTGGAATGGAAATAGAATGAAATAAAAACGAATAGAATGGAACGGAATGGAATGGAACGGAATGGAATGTAATGGAATGGAATGGAATGGAATGGAATGGAATGGAATGAAATGGAAAGGAACGGAATGGAATAAACCTGAGTGGGACGGAATGGAATGGAAAGGAATCAACCCGAGTGGAATGAAATGTAATGTAATGCAATGGAATGGAGTGGAATCAACCTGAGTCGAATGCAATGGAATGGAATAGTATGGAGTGGAATGGAATGGAATGGAATGGAAAGGAATGGAATGGAATGGAATGGAACGTAATGGAATCCAACGGAATCAACTGGAATTGAATAGCATAGAATGGAATGGAATGGTATGGAATCAATCCCGGTGGAATGGAACGGAATGTATGGAGTGGAATGGAATGGAAAGGAGTGGAATGGAATGGAATGGAATGCAGTGGAATTTAATAGAATAGAATCAACCCGAATGGAATGGAACGGAATGGAATGGAAAGGAATGGAATGGAATGGAATGGAATGGAATGGAATGGAATGGAATGGAATGGAATGGAATTATCCCGAGTGGAATGGAATGGTATGGAATGCAATGGAATGGAATGGAACAGAACGGAAAGGAATGGAATGGAATAGATTGAATCCGAGAGGAATTGACTGGAGTGGAATGGATTGGAATGGAATGCAAGGGATTCAACCCAGTTGAATGTCATGGATTGGAAAGGAGTGGAATGGAATGGAATGGTATCAACACGAATGGAATGGAACGGAATGGAATGGAATGGAATGGAATGGAATGGAATGGAATGGAATGGAATGGAATGGAATGGAAACAAGACAAATGGAATGGAACGGAATGGAATGGAATGGAATGCTGTGGAATCGAATGGAATGGAATGAAATAAACACGAATAGAATGGAACGGAATGGAATGGAATGGAATGGAATGGAATGGAATGGAATGGAATGGAATGAAATGGAAAGGAACGGAATGCAATTAACCCGAGTGGAACGGAATGAAATGGAAAGGAATCAATCCGAGTGGAATGAAATGGAATGTAATGCAATGCAATGGAGCGGAATCAACCTGAGTCGAATGCAATGGAATGAAATGGAAAGGAGTGGAATGGAATGGAACGGAATGGAATGGAATGGAATGGAATGGAATGTAACTGAATGGAATCCAATGGAATCAACTGGAATGGAATAGCATAGAATGGAATGGAATGGAATGGAATCAATCCGGGTGGAATGGAATGGAATGTATGGAGTGGAATGGAATGGAATGCAGTGGAATGGAATGGAATGGAATGCAGTTGAATTTAATGGAATGGAATCAACCCGAATGGAATGGAAAGGAATGGAATGGAATGGAATGGAATGGAATGGAATGGAATGGAATGATCAACCCGAATGGGATGGAATGAAATGGAATGTAATGGAATGCAATGGAATGCTATGGAATCAACCCGAGTGTAAGGGAAATGCATGGAATGGAATGGAATGGAATGGAATGGAATGGAATCAACCCAAGTGCAATGGAATGGAATGGAATGCAACGGAATCAACCCGAGTGGAATGGAAGGGAAAGGAATGGAATGAAATGGAATGGAAAGGAATGGAATGGAATCAACCCGAATGGAATGTAATGGAATGGAAAGGAATGAATGGAATAGAATGGAATGGTATGGAATCAACCCGAGTGGAATGGAATGTACTGGAATGGAATAGAATGGAATGGAATGCAATGGAATGGAATGGAATGGAAAGGAACGGAATGGAATGCAATGGAATGGAATAGAATGGAATGGAATGGAATGAACCCGAATGGAATGGAATGGAAAGGAATGCAATGGAATAAAATGAAATGGAATCAACCCGAATGGAATGGAACGGAATGGAATGGAAAGGAATGGAATGGAATGGAATTGAATGGAATGGAATGGAATGGAACAGAACCGAAAGGAATGGAATGGAATAGATTGAATCCGAGAGGAATTGACTGTAGTGGAATGGATTGGAATGGAATGCAAGGGATTCAATCCAGTTGAATGTCATGGATTGGAAAGGAGTGGAACGGAGTGGAATGGAAAGCAGTGGAATGGAATGGAATGGAATCAACACGAATGGAATGGAACGGAATGGAATGGAATGGAATGGAATGGAGTGGAATAGAAACAACACGAATGGAATGGAACGGAACGGAATGGAATGGAATGCTGTGGAATGGAAAGAATTGGAATGAAATAAACACGAATAGAATGGAATGGAATGGAATGGAAAGGAAAGGAATGCAATGCAATGGAATGGAATGGAAAGGAAACAACATGAATAGAATGGAACGGAATGGAATGGAATGCTGTGGAATGGAATGGAATGGAATGAAATAAACACGAATAGAATGGAACGGAACGGAATGGAATGGAATGGAATGGAATGGAATGGAATGGAATGGAGTGAAATGGAAAGGAACAGAATGGAATTAACTCGAGTGGAATTGAATGGAATGGAAAGGAATCAACCCGAGTGGAATGAAATGGAATGTAATGCAATGGAATGGAGCAGAATCAACCTGAGTGGAACGGAATGGAATGGAATGGAATGGAATGGAATGGAATGGAATGCAATGGAACGGAATGGAATGGAATCATCCCGAGTGGAATGGAATGGTATGGAATGCAATGGAATGGAATGGAACAGAACGGAAAGGAATGGAATGGAATAGATTGAATCTGAGAGGAATTGACTGGAGTGGAATGGATTGGAATGGAATGCAAAGGATTCAACCCAGTTGAATGTCATGGATTGGAAAGGAGTGGAATGGAATGGAATGGAAAGGAGTGGAATGGAATGGAATGGAATGGAGTAAAATGGAAAGGAACAGATTGCAATTCACCCGAGTGGAATTGAATGGAATAGAAAGGAATCAACCCGAGTGGAATGAAATGGAATGTAATGCAATGGAATGGAGCGGAATCAACCTGAGTGTAAGGGAATGGAATGGAATGGAATGGAATGGAATGGAATGGAATGGAATCAACCCGAATGGAATGGAACGGAATGGAATGGAACGGAATGGAAAGGAATGGAATGGAATGGAATGGAACGGAATGGAATCATCCGAAGTGGAATGGAATGGTATGGAATGCAAGGGAATGGAATGGAACAGAACGGAAAGGAATGGAATGGAATAGATTGAATCCGAGAGGAATTGACTGGAGTGGAATGGACTGGAATGGAATGCAAGGAATTCAACCCAGTTGAATGTCATGGATTGGAAAGGAGTGGAATGGAATGGAATGGAATCAACACGAATGGAATGGAACGGAATGGAATGAAATGGAATGGAATGGAATGGAATGGAATGGAATGGAATGAACCCGAATGGAATGGAATGGAATGGAATGGAATGGAATGGAATGGAATGGAATGGAATAGAATCAACTCGAGTGGAATGGAATGTAATGGAATTGAGTGGAATGGAATGGAATTGAATGGAATGGAATGGAATGCTGTGGAATGGAAATAGAATGAAATAAAAACGAATAGAATGGAACGGAATGGAATGGAACAGAATGGAATGGAATGGAATGGAATGGAATGGAATGGAATGGAATGAAATGGAAAGGAACGGAATGGAATCAACCCGAGTGGAATGGAATGGAATGGAATGCAATGGAATTGAACGGAATATAATGGAATTGAATGGAATCATCCCGAGTGGAATGGAATGGTATCTAATGCAATGGACTGGAATGGAACAGAACGGAATGGAAAGGAAAAAATAGATGATTGAATCCAAGTCGAATTGAATGGAATGGAATGGATTGGAAAGGACTGGAATGGATTGGAATGGAAAGGAATGGATTCAACCCGAGTGGAATGTAACGGATTGGAATGGAGTGGAATGGACTGGAATGGAATCAACACAAATGGAATGGAACGGAATGGAATGGAATGGAATGGTATGGAATGGAATGGAATGGTATGGAATGAAATGGAAAGGAACGGAATGGAATCAACCCAAGTGGAATGGAGTGGAATGGAATGGAATGGAATGGAAGGGAATCAACACGAGTGGAATGGAATGGAATGCAATGGAATGGAATGGAATGGAATGGAATGGAATGGAATGGAATGGAATCAACCCGAGTGGAGTGGAATGGAATGGAAGGAATCAACCCAAGTGGAATGGAATGGAATGGAATCGAAAGGAGTGGAAAGGAATGGAATGGAATGGAGTGGAATGGAATGGAATGGAATGGAATCAACCCGAGTGGAATGGAATGGAATGCTATGGAATCAACCCGAGTGGAATGGTATGGAATGGAATGGAATGGAATGGAACGGAATGGAATGGAATAAAATGGAATGGAATGGAATGGAATCAACCCGAGTGGAATGGAATGGAATGGAATGGAATGGAATGGAATGGAATGGAATGGAATGGAATGGAATAGAATGGAATGGAATCAACCGGAGTGGAGTGGAATGGAATGGATTGGAATGGAATGGAATGGAATGGAATGGAATGGAATGGAATGGAATGGAATGAAATGGAAAGGAACGGACTGGAATCAACCCGAGTGGAATGGAATGGAATGGAATGGAATGGAATGGAATGGAGTGGAATGGAATGGAATCCACCCGAGTGGAATGGAATGGAATGGAATGCAATGGAATTGAACGGAATTTAATGGAATTGAATGGAATCACCCCGAGTGGAATGGAATGGTATCTAATGGAATGGACTGGAATGGAACAGAACGGAATGGAATGGAAAGAATAGAATGAATCCATGTGGAATTGAATGGAATGGAATGGATTGGAAAGGAATGGAATGGATTGGAATGGAAAGGAATGGATACAACCCGAGTGGAATGTAATGGATTGGAATGGAGTGGAATGGAATGGAATGGAATCAACACGAAAGGAATGGAACGGAATGGAATGGAATGGAATGGTATGGATTGGAATGGCATCAACACGAATGGAATGGAACGGAATGGAATGGAATGGAATGGAATGCAATGGAATGGAATGCAATCGAAAGGAACGGAATGGAATCAACACAAGTGGAATGGAATGGAATGGAATGGAAGGGAATCAACACGAGTGGAATGGAATGGAATGGAATGGAATGCAATAGAATGGAATGGAATGGAATGGGATGGAATTCAATGGAATCAACCCGAGTGGAATGGAATGGTATGGAATGCAATGGAATGGAGTGGAACAGAACGGAATGGAATAGAATGGAATTGATTGAATCCGAGTGGAATTGAATGAAAGGGAATGCATTGGAATGGAATGGAAAGGATTCAACCTGAGTGCAATGTAATGGATTGGAATGCAGTGGAATGGAATGGAATGGAATGGAATGGAATCGACACAAATGGAATGGAATGGAATGGAATAGAATGGAAAGGAATGGAATGCAATGGAATGGAATGGAATGGAATGAAATGGAATAAACCCGAATGGAATGGAATGGAATGGAGTGGAATGGAATAAACACCAGTGGAATGAAATCGAATGGAATGAAATGGAATGGAATGGAATCAACCCGAGTAGAATGGAATGGAATGGAATGGAAAGGAATGGAATGGAAAGGAATGCAATCAACTGGCATGGAATGAAATGGAAAGGAATGGAATGGAATGGAATAGAATCAACTCGAGTGGAATGGAATGTAATGAAATTGAGTGGAATGGAATGGAATTGAATGGAATGGAATGGAATGCTGTGGAATGGAAATAGAATGAAATAAAAACGAATAGAATGGAACGGAATGGAATGGAACGGAATGGAATGGAATGGAATGGAATGGAATGGAATGGAATGGAATGAAATGGAAAGGAACGGAATGGAATAAACCTGAGTGGGACGGAATGGAATGGAAAGGAATCAACCCGAGTGGAATGAAATGTAATGTAATGCAATGGAATGGAGCGGAATTAACCTGAGTCGAATGCAATGGAATGGAATAGTATGGAGTGGAATGGAATGGAATGGAATGGAAAGGAATGGAATGGAATGGAATGGAACGTAATGGAATCCAACGGAATCAACTGGAATGGAATAGCATAGAATGGAATGGAATGGTATGGAATCAATCCCGGTGGAATGGAACGGAATGTATGGAGTGGAATGGAATGGAAAGGAGTGGAATGGAATGGAATGGAATGCAGTGGAATTTAATAGAATAAAATCAACCCGAATGGAATGGAACGGAATGGAATGGAAAGGAATGGAATGGAATGGAATGGAATGGAATGGAATGGAATGGAATGGAATTATCCCGAGTGGAATGGAATGGTATGGAGTGCAATGGAATGGAATGGAACAGAACGGAAAGGAATGGAATGGAATAGATTGAATCCGAGAGGAATTCACTGGAGTGGAATGGAATGGAGTGGAATGCAAGGGATTCAACCCAGTTGAATGTCATGGATTGGAAAGCAGTGGAATGGAATGGAATGGAAAGGAGTGGAATGGAATGGAATGGAATCAACACGAATGTAATGGAACGGAATAGAATGAAATGGAATGGAATGGAATGGAATGGAATGGAAAGGAACGGAATGGAATTAACCCGACTGGAACGGAATGGAATGGAAAGGAATCAACCCGAATGGAATGAAATGGAATGTAATGCAATGGAATGGAGCAGAATCAACCCGAGTCGAATGCAATGGAATGGAATGGAAAGGAGTGGAATGGAATGGAACGGAATGGAATCCAATGGAATCAGCTGGAATGGAATAGCATAGAATGGAATGGAATGGAATGGAATCAATCCGGGTGGAAAGGAATGGAATGTATGGAGTGGAATGTAATGGAATGGAGTGGAATGTAATGGAATGGAATGCAGTGGAATTTAATGGAATGTAATCAACCCGAATGGAATGGAGCAGAATGGAATGGAATCGAATGCAATGGAATGGAATGGAATGGAATCAACCCGAATGGGATGGAATGGAATGGAATGGAATGGAATACAATGGAATGCTATGGAATCAACCCGAGTGTAAGGGAAATGCATGGAATGGAATGGAATGGAATGGAATGAAACGGAATGGAATGGAATCAACCCAAGTGCAATGGAAAGGAATGGAATGCAACGGAATCAACCCGAGTGGAATGGAATGGAAAGGAATGGAATGAAATGGAATGGAAAGGAATGGAATGGAATCAACCGAATGGAATGGAATGGAATGGAAAGGAATGAATGGAATGGAATGGAATGGAATGGAATGGAATGGAATGGAATGGAATCAACCCGAGTGGAATGGAATGGACTGGAATGGAATAGAATGGAATGGAATGGAATGGAATGGAATGCAACGGAATCAACCCGAGTAGAATGGAATGGAAAGGAATGGAATGAAATGGAATGGAAAGGAATGGAATGGAATCAACCCGAATGGAATGGAATGGAATGGAAAGGAACGAATGGAATGGAATGCAATGGAATGGAATGGAATGGAATGGAATGGAATGGAATGGAATGGAAAGGAATGGAATGGAATGGAATGGTATGGAATCAACCCGAGTGGAATGGAATGGACTGGAATGGAATAGAATGGAATGGAATGGAATGGAATCAACCCAAATGGGATGGAATGGAATGGAATGGACTGGAATGGAATGCAGTGGAATGGAATGGAATGTAACTGAATGGAATCCAATGGAATCAACTGGAATGGAATAGCATAGAATGGAATGGAATGCAATGGAATCAATCCGGGTGGAATGGAATGGAATGTATGGAGTGGAATGGAATGGAATGGAGTGGAATGGAATGGAATGGAATGCAGTGGAATTTAATGGAATGGAATCAACCCGAATGGAATGGAAACGAATGGAATGGAATGGAATGGAATGGAATGGAATGGAATGGAATGGAATGGAATGGAATGGAATCAACCCGAATGGGATGGAATGAAGTGGAATGTAATGGAATGGAATGGAATGGAATGGAATCAACCCGAATGGGATGGAATGAAATGGAATGTAATGGAATGCAATGGAATGCTATGGAATCAACCCAAGTGTAAGGGAAATGCATGGAATGGAATGGAATGGAATGGAATCAACCCATGTGCAATGGAATGGAATGGAATGCAACGGAATCAACCCGAGTGGAATGGAATGGAAAGGAATGGAATGAAATGGAATGGAAAGGAATGGAATGGAATCAACCCGAATGGAATGGAATGGAATGGAAAGGAATGAATGGAATGGAATGGAATGGAATGGAATGGAATGGAATGGTATGGAATCAACCCGAGTGGAATGGAATGGACTGGAATGGAATAGAATGGAATGGAATGGAATGGAATGCAATGGAATGGAATGGAATGGAAAGGAACGGAACGGAACGGAATGGAATGGAATGGAATGGAATGGGATGGAATGGAATGGAATGGAATGAACCCGAATGGAATGGAATGGAAAAGAATGCAATGGAATAAAATGGAATGGAATCAACCCGAATGGAATGGAACGGAATGGAATGGAAAGGAATGGAATGGAATGGAATGGAATGGAATGGAATGGAATGGAATGGAACAGAACGGAAAGGAATGGAATGGAATAGATTGAATCCGAGAGGAATTGACTGTAGTGGAATGGATTGGAATGGAATGCAAGGGATTCAACCCAGTTGAATGTCATGGATTGGAAAGGAGTGGAATGGAGTGGAATGGAAAGGAGTGGAATGGAATGGAATGGAATCAACACGAATGGAATGGAACGGAATGGAATGGAATGGAATGGAATGGAATGGAATGGAATGGAATAGAAACAACACGAATGGAATGGAACAGAACGGAATGGAAAGGAATGCTGTGGAATGGAAAGAATTGGAATGAAATAAACAGGAATAGAATGGAACGGAATGGAATGGAAAGGAATGGAATGCAATGGAATGGTATGGAAAGGAAACAACACGAATAGAATGGAACGGAATGGAATGGAATGCTGTGGAATGGAATGGAATGGAATGAAATAAACACGAATAGAATGGAACGGAATGGAATGGAATGGAATGGAATGGAATGGAATGGAGTGAAATGGAAAGGAACAGAATGGAATTCACCCGAGTGGAATTGAAAGGAATGGAAAGGAATCAACCCGAGTGGAATGAAATGGAATGTAATGTAATGGAATGGAGCGGAATCAACCTGCGTGGAATGGAATGGAATGGAATGGAATGGAATGGAATGGAATGGACCGGAACGGAATGGAATGGAATGGAATGGAATGGAATGGAATGGAATGGAACGGAACGGAATGGAATGGAATGGAATCATCCCGAGTGGAATGGAATGATATGGAATGCAATGGAATGGAATGGAACGGAACAGAAAGGAATGGAATGGAATAGATTGAATCCGAGAGGAATTGACTGGAGAGGAATGGATTGGAATGGAATGCAAGGGATTCAACCCAGTTGAATGTCATGGATTGGAAAGAGTGGAATGGAATGGAATGGAAAGGAGTGGAATGGAATGGAATGGAATGGAGTGAAATGGAAAGGAACGGATTGGAATTAACCCGAGTGGAATTGAATGGAATGGAAAGGAATCAACCCGAGAGGAATGAAATGGAATGTAATGCAATGGAATGGAGCGGAATCAACCTGAGTGGAATGGAATGGAATGGAATGGAATGGAATGGAATGGAATGGAATGGAATGGAATGGAATGGAATGGAATGCAATTGAATGGAATGGAATGGAATCAACCCGAATGGAATGGAACGGAATGGAAAGGAATGGAATGGAATGGAATGGAACGGAATGGAATGGAATGGAATGGAATCATCCCGAGTGGAATGGAATGGTATGGAATGCAATGAAATGGAATGGAACAGAACGGAAAGGAATGGAATGGAATAGACTGAATCCAAGAGGAATTGACTGGTGTGGAATGGACTGGAATGGAATGCAAGGAATTCAACCCAGTTGAATGTCATGGATTGGAAAGGAGTGGAATGGAATGGAATGGAAAGGAGTGGAATGGAATGGAATGGAATGGAATCAACACGAATGGAATTGAACGGAATGGAATGAAATGGAATCGAATGGAATGGAATGGAATGGAATGGAATGGAATGGAATGGAATGAACCCGAATGGAATGGAATGGAATGGAATGGAATGGAATGGAATGGAATGGAATGGAATGGAATAGAATCAACTCGAGTAGAATGGAATGTAATGGAATTGAGTGGAATGGAATGGAATTGAATGGAATGGAATGGAATGCTGTGGAATGGAATGGAATGAAATAAAAACGAATAGAATGGAACGGAATGGAATGGAACGGAATGGAATGGAATGGAATGAAATGAAATGAAATGGAAAGGAACGGAATGGAATAAACCCGAGTGGGACGGAATGGAATGGAAAGGAATCAACCAGAGTGGAATGAAATGTAATGTAATGCAATGGAATGGAGCGGAATCAACCTGAGTCGAATGCAATGGAATGGAATGGTATGGAGTGGAATGGAATGGAATGGAATGGAATGGAATGGAATGGAATGGAACGGAATGGAATCCAACGGAATCAACTGGAATGGAATAGCATAGAATGGAATGGAATGGTATGGAATCAATCCCGGTGGAATGGAACGGAATGTATGGAGTGGAAAGGAATGGAATGGAGTGGAATGGAATGGAATGGAATGCAGTGGAATTTAATGGAATGGAATCAACCCGAATGGAATGGAACGGAATGGAATGGAAAGGAATGGAATGGAATGGAATGGAATGGAATGGAATGGAATGGAATCAACCCGAATGGGATTGAATGGAATGGAATGTAATGGAATGCAATGGAATGCTATGGAATCAACCGGAGTGTAAGGGAAATGCATGGAACGGAATGGAATGGAATGGAATGGAATGGAATGGAATGGAGTGAAATGGAAAGGAACGGAATGGAATTAACCCGAGTGGAATTGAATGGAATGGAAAGGAATCAACCCGAGTGGAATGTAATGCAATGGAATGGAGCGGAATCAACCTGAGTGGAATAGAATGGAATGGAATGGAATGGAATGGAAGGGAATGGAATGCAATGGAACGGAATGGAATGGAATGGAATGGAAACATCCCGAGTGGAATGGAATGGTATGGAATGCAATGGAATGGAATGGAACAGAACGGAAAGGAATGGAATGGAATAGATTGAATCCGAGAGGAATTGACTGGAGTGGAATGGATTGGAATGGAATGCAAGGGATTCAACCCGAATGGGATGGAATGGAATGGAATGGAATGGAATGCAATGGAATGCTATGAAATCAACCCGAGTGTAAGGGAAATGCATGGAATGGAATGGAATGGAATGGAATCAACCCAAGTGCAATGGAATGGAATGGAATGCAACAGAATCAACCCGAGTGGAATGGAATGGAAAGGAATGGAATGAAATGGAATGGAAAGGAATGGAATGGAATCAACCCGAATGGAATGGAATGGAATGGAAAGGAATGAATGGAATGGAATGGAATGGAACGAATGGAATGGAAGGGAATGGAATGGAATGGTATGGAATCAAACCGAGTGGAATGGAATGGACTGGAATGGAATAGAATGGAATGCAATGGAATGGAATGGAATAGAATGGAATCAACCAGAATGGAATGGAATGGAATCGAATGGAATGGAATGGAATGGAATGCTATGGAATCAACCCCGAGTGTAATGGAAATGAATGGAATGGAATGGAATGGAATGGAATGGAATGGAATGGAATGGAGTGGAATGGAAGACAATGGAATGGAATGGAATGGAATGGAATGGAATGGAATGGAATGGACCTGAACGGAATGGAATTGAATGGCATGGAATGAACCCGAATGGAAAGGAATGGAATGGAATGGAATGGAAAGGAATAGAATCAACTCGAGTGGAATGGAATGTAATGGAATGGAGTGGAATGGAATGGAATTGAATGGAATGGAATGGAATGGAATCAACCTGAATGGAATGGAATGGAATGGAATGGAATGGAATGGAATGGAATGGAATGGCATGGAATCAACCCGAGTGGAATGGAATGGAATGGAATTCAATGGAATGGAATGGAATGGAATGGTATGGAATCAACCCGAGTGGAATATTATCGAATGGAATGGAATGGAACGGAATGGATTGGAATAAAATGGAATGGAATGGAATGGAATCAACCAGAATGGGATGGAATGGAATGGAATGGAATGGAATGGAATGGAATGGAATGGAGTGGAATGGAATGGAAACATCCCGAGTGGAATGGAATGGTATGGAATGCAATGGAACGGAATGGAACAGAACGGAATGGAATGGAAAGGAATGGAATGGAATGGAATGGAATGGAATGGAATGGAATGGAATGGAATGGAATCAACCCGAATGGGATTGAATGGAATGGAATGTAATGGAATGCAATGGAATGCTATGGAATCAACCGGAGTGTAAGGGAAATGCATGGAACGGAATGGAATGGAATGGAATGGAATGGAATGGAATGGAATGGAATGGAGTGAAATGGAAAGGAACGGAATGGAATTAACCCGAGTGGAATTGAATGGAATGGAAAGGAATCAACCCGAGTGGAATGTAATGCAATGGAATGGAGCGGAATCAACCTGAGTGGAATAGAATGGAATGGAATGGAATGGAATGGAAGGGAATGGAATGCAATGGAACGGAATGGAATGGAATGGAATGGAAACATCCCGAGTGGAATGGAATGGTATGGAATGCAATGGAATGGAATGGAACAGAACGGAAAGGAATGGAATGGAATAGATTGAATCCGAGAGGAATTGACTGGAGTGGAATGGATTGGAATGGAATGCAAGGGATTCAACCCGAATGGGATGGAATGGAATGGAATGGAATGGAATGCAATGGAATGCTATGAAATCAACCCGAGTGTAAGGGAAATGCATGGAATGGAATGGAATGGAATGGAATCAACCCAAGTGCAATGGAATGGAATGGAATGCAACAGAATCAACCCGAGTGGAATGGAATGGAAAGGAATGGAATGAAATGGAATGGAAAGGAATGGAATGGAATCAACCCGAATGGAATGGAATGGAATGGAAAGGAATGAATGGAATGGAATGGAATGGAACGAATGGAATGGAAGGGAATGGAATGGAATGGTATGGAATCAAACCGAGTGGAATGGAATGGACTGGAATGGAATAGAATGGAATGCAATGGAATGGAATGGAATAGAATGGAATCAACCAGAATGGAATGGAATGGAATCGAATGGAATGGAATGGAATGGAATGCTATGGAATCAACCCCGAGTGTAATGGAAATGAATGGAATGGAATGGAATGGAATGGAATGGAATGGAATGGAATGGAATGGAATGGAGTGGAATGGAAGACAATGGAATGGAATGGAATGGAATGGAATGGAATGGAATAGAATGGACCTGAACGGAATGGAATTGAATGGCATGGAATGAACCCGAATGGAAAGGAATGGAATGGAATGGAATGGAAAGGAATAGAATCAACTCGAGTGGAATGGAATGTAATGGAATGGAGTGGAATGGAATGGAATTGAATGGAATGGAATGGAATGGAATCAACCTGAATGGAATGGAATGGAATGGAATGGAATGGAATGGAATGGAATGGCATGGAATCAACCCGAGTGGAATGGAATGGAATGGAATTCAATGGAATGGAATGGAATGGAATGGTATGGAATCAACCCGAGTGGAATATTATCGAATGGAATGGAATGGAACGGAATGGATTGGAATAAAATGGAATGGAATGGAATGGAATCAACCAGAATGGGATGGAATGGAATGGAATGGAATGGAATGGAATGGAATGGAATGGAGTGGAATGGAATGGAAACATCCCGAGTGGAATGGAATGGTATGGAATGCAATGGAACGGAATGGAACAGAACGGAATGGAATGGAACGGAATAGATTGAATCAGAGAGTAATTGAATGGAGAGGAATGGATTGGAATGGAATGCAATGGATTCAACCTAGTTGAATGTCATGGATTGGAAAGGAATGGAATGGAATGGAATGGAATGGAGTGGAATCAACACGAATGGAAAGGAACGGAATGGAATGGAATGCAATGGAATGGAATGGAATGGAATGGAATGGAATGGAATGGAATGGAATGGAATGGAATGGAATCAACCCGAGTGGAATGGAATGGAATGGAATGCAATGGAATGAAACGTAATATAATGGAATAGAATGGAAACATCCCGAGTGGAATGGAATGGTATGGAAGGCAATGGAACAGAATGTAACAGAACGGAATGGAATGGAACGGAATAGAATAAATCAGAGAGGAATTGAATGGAGAGGAATGGATTGGAATGGAATGCAATGGATTCAACGCTAGTTGAATATCACGGATTGGAAAGGAACGGAATGGAATGGAATGGAATGGAATGGAATGGAATGGAATGGAATGGAGTGAAATGGAATGGAGTGGAATGGAATAGAATCAACTTGAGTGGAAGGGAATGTAATGGAATGGAGTGGAATGGAATGGAATGGAATGGAATGGAATGGAATGGAATGGAATGGAATGGAATCATCCCGAGTGGAATGGAATGGTATGGAATGCAATGGAATGGAATGCAACAGAACGGAATGGAATGGAATCAACCCAAGTGCAATGGAATGGAATACAATGCAACGGAATCAACCCGAGTGGAATGGAATAGAAAGGCATGCAATGGAATCGAATGGAAAGCAATGGAATGGAATCAACCCGACTGGAACGGAATGGAATGGAAAGGAATGAAGGGAATGGAATGGAATGGAAAGGTATGGAATCAACCCGAGTGGAATGGAATGGAATGGAATGGAATGGAATGGAATGGAATGGAATGGAATGGAATGGAATGGAATGGAATGGAATGGAGTGGAATGGAAGGCAATGGAGTGGAATGGAAGGCAATGGAATGGAATGGAATGGAATGGAATGGAATGGAATGGAATGGAATGGAATGGAACAGAATGGAATTGAATGGCATGGAATGAACCCGAATGGAATGGAATGGAATGGAATGGAATGGAATAGAATCAATTCGCGTGGAATGGAATGTAATGGAATGGAGTGGAATGGAATGGAATGGAATGGAATGGAATGGAATGGAATGAACCCAAGTGCAATGGAATGGAATAGAATGCAACGGAATCAAACCGAGTGGAATGGAATAGAAAGGCATGCAATGGAATCGAATGGAAAGCAATGGAATGGAATCAACCCGACTGGAATGCAATGGAATGGAAAGGAATGAAGGGAATGGAATGGAATGGAAAGGTATGGAATCAACCCGAGTGGAATGGAATGGAATGGAATGGAGTGGAATGGAATGGAATGGAGCGGAATGGAAGGCAATGCAATGGAATGGAATGGAATAGAATGGAACGGAACGGAATGGAATTGAATGCCATGGAATGAACCCGAATGCAATGGCATGGATGGAATGGAATGGAATGGAATGGAATGGAATGGAATGGAATGGAATGGAATGGAATAGAATCAACTCGAGTGGAATGGAATGTAATGGAATGGAGTGGAATGGAATTGAATTGAATGGAATGGCATGGAATGGAATGGAATGGAATGGTATCAACACGACTGGAATGGAATGGAATGGAATGGAATGGAATCAACCCGTGTAGAATGGAATGGAATGGAATGCAATGGAATGAAACGGAATATAATGGATATTGGTTTTTCATTATAGGCCTCAATGGGCTCCTAAATGTTCTTGCACAGCTTCTACTAAAAAAGTGTTTCCAACCTGTTAAATCAAAGGAAAGGATTATCTCTGTGAGATGAATCCACACATGGCAAAGCATTTTAACAGATTCTTTCTAGTTTTTAGTGTGGGATATTGGTTTTTCACTGCAGGCCTCAATGGACTCCCAAATGTTTCTGTGCATATTCTACAAAAAGAGTGTTTCCCAACTGCTGAATAAAAAAGAAAGGATTAACTCTGTGAGCTTAATACACACACAGCAAGGTGTTTTCACAGATAGATTCCTTCTAGTTTTTATCAAGGAATATCAGTTTCTCACTACAGGTATCAATGGGCTCCCAAATGTCCCTGCACAGATTCTACAAAAAGAGTGTTTCCAACCTGCCAAATTTAAATAAAGTTTTAACTCTATGAGATGACTCTACACATCACAAAGCTGCTAATTCAAATATAGGTTTAACTTTGTGAGATGAATTCACAAATTGCAAATCAATTTCACAGGTAGCTTCTTTCCAGTTTTTTTCACAGGATATCAGTTTTGCACTATAGGCCTTAATGACTTTAAAAGTGTCCCTGAGCATTCTACAAAAACAGTGTTTTTAACGTGCTGAATCAAAAGAATGGCTTAACTCTGTGAGATGAATCCACAGTGTGCAAAGCATTTTCACAGATAGCTTCTTTTTAGTTTTTATCATGATATATTCAATTTATCACTATAGTCCTCAAAAAGTTTCCTAATGTCCTAATAAAATGCCAAGCGTTTTCAAAGATAGCATCTTCCTAGTATTTATCATGGACATTTGATTCATCATTGTAGGCCTAAATGAACTCCCAAATGTCCTTGTGCAGAATCTACAAAAAGAGTGTTTCCAACATACTTAATTAAAGGAAAGTTTTAACTGTGTGAGATAAGTCCACTAAGCACAAAGCATTTTTACAGATAGATTATTTTTGTTTTTATTCTGTGGTATTCAGTTTATCACTATAGGCCTCAATGTGCTCCCAAATGTCCCTGTGAAGATCTACAAAAAGAGGGTTTCCAACCTGCTGAATAATAAGAAAGGTTTAACACTTTGAGATGAAACTACACATTGGAAAACGTTTTTACAGAGACCTTCTTTCTAATTTTTATAACAGGATATCTGTTTTGCACTAATAGGCCTCATTAGGCTCCTGAATGTCCCTGTGCAGATTCTACAAAAACAGTGTTTCTGAACCTGCTCAATCAAAAGAAAGGTTTAACGCTGTGAGATGAATCCACAAAGTGCAAAGTGTTTTTCACAGAGTGCTGCTTTCTAGTTTTCATCATGGGATGTCGATTTTGCACTATAGGGCTCATTGGGCTCTGAAATGTCTTTGTGCAGACTCTACAAAATGAGTGTTTCCAACCTGCTGAATCAAAAAAGGTTTAACACTGGGATGAATCCAGAAAGCACAAAGCATTCTCACAGATAGCTTCTTTTTTGGTTTTTGTTTGTTTGTTTGTTTGCAGGATTATTGGTTTATCACTCTAAGTCCCAATGGGCTCCCAAAAGTCCCTGCACAGATTCTACAAGAAAAGTGTTTCCAACCACCTGAATCAAAATAAAGGTGTAACTCTGTTAGATTAATCCACACATCCTGAGTGTTTTTACAGGGAGCTTCTTTCTAGTTTTTATCACGAAATATCAGTTTTTCACTACAGGCACCAATGGGCTCCGAAGTGTCCCTATACAGATTCTACAAGAAGAGTGTTTCCTACCTGCTGAATCAAAAGAAAGGTTAAAATCTGTGAGGTGAATCCACAAAGCACAAAGCATTATCATAGATAGCTTCTTTTCAGTTTTTATCAAAGGATATTCAGTTTATCACTATAGGCTTCAATGGGCTTAGAAATGTCCTTGCACAGATTCTACAAAAAGAGTGTTTCCAACCTGATGAATCAAAAGAAAGGTTTAATCCTGTGAAATGAATCTACAAAGCACAAAGAACTTTTAAGAATAGCTTTTTTGTTGTTTTAATTGCAGGATAATCAGTTTATCACTCGAGGCCTCAATAGGCACTAAGTGTCACTAAACAGATACTACAAAAAGAGTGTTTCCAACCTGCTGAATTAAAAGAAAGGTTTAAATTTGTGAGATGAATCCTCAAGGTGTAAAGTGTTTTCACAGATAGCTTCTTTTTAGTTTTTATTGTGGGATATTCAGTTTATCACTATAGGCCTCAATAGAACACCAAATGTCCTTGTGCAGATTCTACAAAAAGAGTGTTTCCAACCTGCTGCCTCAAAAGAAAGGTTAAACTCTGTGAGATGAATCCACACATTGCAAAGCATTTTCTCAGATACTTCCCTCTAGTTTTTATCATGGAGTTTTCTTTTCTTCACTATAGGCCTCAATGGACTCAGAAATCTTCCTACTAAGATTCTCCAGGAAGAATATTTTCATCCTACTGAATCAAAAGAATGTTTTAACTTGTGGAATGAATCCATAAAGTGGAAAGCACTTTCACAGATATCTTTTTTAGTTTTTATTGCAGAAAACTCTTTTTATCACTATAGGCCTCAATGGGCTCCCAAAAGACCCTGCACAGATTCTACAAAAAGAGTCTTTTGAACCTGCTGATTCAAAGGAAAGTTTTAACTCTGTGAGATGATCCACAAAGCACAAAGCATTTTCATAGATAGCTTCTTTTTAGTTTTTATCACAGGATATTCTGATTATCACTATATGTCTCAAGGGACTCCCAAATATCCTTGTGCAGATACTACAAAAAGAGTGATTCCAACCTGATGAATCAAAACAGTGGTTTAACTCTGTGAGATGAATGAATAAAGTGCAAAGCATTTTAACAAGTAGCTTCTTTCTTGTTTTTATCACATGACACCTGTTTTTCACTATACAACTCATTGTGTTTCAAAATGTCTTTGCATAGATTGTACAAAAAGAGTGTTTCCAACCATCTGAATCAAAAAAAAAAGGTTTAACTATGTGAGATGAATCCACAAAGCACAAAGCATTTAACAGTTAGCTTCTTTTGAGTTTTTATCATGGGATATCAGATTTTCACTATAGGCCTCAATGGATTCTGATGTGTCCCTGCACAGATTCTACTAAAAGAGTGTTTCCAACCTGCTGAATCAAAAGAAACATTTAACTCTGTGAGATAATTCCACAAAGTTCAAAGCATTTTCACAGAAAACTTCTTTTTAGTTTTTATCATGGGATTATAAGTTCATCACTACAGGCCTCAATGGGTTCCCAAATGCCCCTGCGCAGATTCTACAAAAAGAGGGTTTCCAACGAGATGAATCAAAAGAAAGGTTTAACTTTGTGAGATAAATCAACACTTCACAAAGCATTTCCACAGATAGCTTCATTTTAGTTATTTGGGGGGAATAATTGGTTTTTAGCTATAGGCCTTAATTGGCTTCCAAATGTCCCTTTGCAGATTCTAGAACAAGAGTGTTTCCAACCTGCTGATTTAAAAGACAGGTTTATCTCTGTGATATGAATCCACACATGGCAGAGCCTTTTCACAGACAGCTACTTTATAGTTTGTATTGTGGGATATTTGATTTTTCACTAAAGGCCTGAATGGGTTCCCAAATGTCCTTTGCAGATTATACAAAAATAGTGTTTCCAACCAGTTGAATCAAAAAAAGGTTTAACTCTGTGAGGTAAATCCACACACTGCAAAGCATTAGCACAAATAGCTTCTTTCTAGTTTTTTGGGGGTAATATTCAGTTTTTCACTATAGGCCACAATGGGCTCCCAAATGTCCCTTCATAGATTCTACAGGAAGTGTGTTTCAAACATGCTGAATAAAAGAAAGGTTTAACTCTGCCAGATGAATCCACTCATTGCAAAACGTTTTCACAATAGCCTCCTTCTAGTTTGTGTCATGGAATATTTGGTTTTTCACTATATGCCTAAATGAGTTCCCAAATGTCCATTTGCAGATTCTACAAAAAGAATGTTTCCAATCAACTGAATCAAAAGAAAGGTTTACCTCTGTGAGATGAGTCCACACATCACAAGCGTTTTCAAAGGAAGTTTCTTTCTAGTTTTTTCATGTGATATTCTGTTTTTCACTGTAGGCCTCAACGGGCTTTCAAATGTCCTTCTTAAATTCTACAAACTGAGTGTTTCCAACATGCTGAATAGAAAGAAAGGTTTAAATCTATGAGCTGAATCCACACATTGTGAAGTGTTTTCACAGATAACTTCTTTATAGTTTTGATTATGGGATATTTAATTTTCTACTATATACCCCAATGGGCTCCAAAATATACCTTCACAGATTCTACAAAAAGAGTATTTCCAACATGCTGAATCAAAAGAAAGGTGTAAGTCTGTAAGATGAAACCACATTGCATAGTGTTTACACAGATAGCTTTCTTCAAGTTTTTATCATGGGATATTCAGTTTTTGACTATAGGCCTAAAAGGGCTCCTATATGTCCTTTCACCGATTCTACAAAAAGAGGCTTTCCAACCTGCTGAATCAAAAGAAGTGTTTAACTCTGTGAGATACATCCACACATCTCGAAGCCTTTCCACAGATAGCTTCTTTCTAGTTTTTGTCACGGGATATTCAGGTCTTCAATAAAGGCCTCAATGGACTCCCAAATGTCCCTTTGCAAATGCTATAAAAATAGTGTTCCCAACCTGCTGAATCAAAGAATTGTTCAACTTGGTGAGTTGAATCCACACATTGCAAAGTGTTTCCTCAGATCACTTTTTCTAGTTTTTCTTGTGGTATATTCGGCTTTTCACTCTAGGCCTCAATGGCCTCCCATATGTGCCTTGGCAGAATCTACAAAAAAAAAAAGTGTATTCAACCTTTCAATAGAAAGTTTTAACTTTGTGAGATGAATCCACACTTCACAGAGCGTTTCCACAGGTAGTTTTTTTCTAGTTTTCATTTCAGAATAGTCAGTTTTTCAGTATAGGCATCAATGGACCCCAAAATGTCCGTTCACAGATTCTATAAGAAGAGTGTTTCCAACATGCTGAATGTAAAGAAAGGTTTATCTAGATTTGATTTATCCACACATGGCAAAGCATTTTCACAGATATATTCTTTCTAGTTTTTATTGCGGGATACTCGGTTTTTCCATGTGTGCCTCTAAGAGCTTCCAAATATCCCTGTACACATTCTACAACAAGAGTGTTTCCAACCTGCTGAATCAAAATTAAGGTTTACTTCTGCGAGATGAATCCACACATCACAAAGCATGTCCTCAAATAGCTTTGAGGGTTTTTTGTTGCTGTTTTTTGTTTTTTTGTTTTTGTTTTTGTTTTTGTTTTTGTTTTTGTTTTTTTTTGGCCAAGGGGGAAATATTCAGTTTTCCCTACAGGGCTCTATTGGCTCACAAATGTCCCTTTGCAGATGCTTCCAAAAGAGTGTTTCCAACCTGCTGAATCAAAAGGAAGGTTTAACTCTTTGAGTTGAATCCTCACATCCCAATCATTTTCACATATATCTTATTTCTAGTTTTTACACAGAATATTTGGTTTTTCACTATAGGCCTCAATGGGCTTCCAAATGTCCCTTTGCAGATTCTACAAAAACATTGTTTCATACCTGCTCAATCAAAAGAAAGGTTTAACTCTTTGAGATGATTTCACACATCACAAACTGTTTTCACAGACAGCTTTTTCTAGTTTTTATCTGGGGATTTTCAGTTTTTCACTATAGGCCTCAAGTGGCTCCCGAATTTCCCTTCACAGATTCTAAATAACGAGTGTTTTCAACCTACAGAATCAAAAGAATGGCTTACCATTGTGAGATGAATCCTCACATTACAAAGCATTTTCAAAAATAGCTTCTTTCTAGTTTATATCACAAAATATTCAGTTTTTCAATATAGGCCTCCATGGGCTCTCAAATGTCCCTTCTCATATTCTACCAAGAGAGTGTTTCCAACCTGCAGAATCAGAGCAAAGGTTTAACTCTTTGAGATGTATCCTCACATGGCAAAGCGTTTTTACACACAGCTTTTTTCTGGTTTTTATCACGGGATATTAGGTTTTTCACTATGGGCCTCAGTGGGCTCCCAAAATGTCCCTTTGCACATTCTACAAAAAGAATGTTTCCTACCTACTGAATCGAAAGAAAGGTTTACCTCCATGAGACAAATCCACCCATGGCAAAGCATTTCACAATTCATTTCATTCTACTTTTTAATCACAGGATATACAATTTATCACTATAGGCCTCAAGGGCTCCAAAATATCTTTCATACATTTCCAAAGAGAGTGTTTGCAAAGAAATGTTTAACTCTGTAAAATGAATCCACACATTGCAAAGTGTTTTTCACAGATAGTTTCTTTTCAGTGTGTATGGTGGGATTTTCAGTTTTTCACTACAGGCCTCAATGGGCTCCCAATTATCCCTGGGCAGGTTCTACAATAAGAGTGTTTCCAACCTGCAAATAAAAAGAAAGGTTAAACTTCGTTAGATGGATCCCACATTCCATAGTCTTTCCACAGATAGCTACTTTTTTTTTTTTCGAGGAATATTTGGTTTTTCACCAAAGTCCTCAATGGGCTTTTTTTTTTTTTTTTGAGATGGAGTTTCGCTCTGTCACCCAGGCTGGAGTGCAGTGGTGTGATCTTGGCTCACTGCAAGCTCTGCCTCCCGGGTTCATGCCATTCTCATTCTTCAGCCTCCCAAGTAGCTGGTACTACAGGCGCCTGCCCCAACGCCCAGTTAATTTTTTCTATTTTTTAGTAGAGACGGGGTTTCACCATGTTAGCCAGGATGGTCTTGATCTCCTGACCTCATGATCTGCCTCGCCCTCACAAAGTGCTGGGATTACAGGTGTGAGCTACCACGCCCAGCCCTCAATGGGCTTTTAAATGTCCCATCACAGATTCTACAAAAAAAGATTTTCCATCCTGCTGAATCAAAGTAAAGATTCAACTCTGGGAGATGAATGCATAAATTGCAAAGAGTTTCCACATATAGTTTCTTTTTAGTTATTTTTTGTGTGTGTGTGTGAATATTCGTTTTCACTACAGGCCTCAAGGGTTCTCAAATGTCTCTTCACAGATTCTACAAAAACAGCATTTCCAGGGTGCTGAATCAAAAGAAAGGTTTAACTCTGTGAGATGAATCCACACATTGCAAAGCGTTTTCACAGAGAGCTTCTTTCTAGTTTTTATCCTGGGATATTCACTTTTTCACTATAGGACTCAATGGACTCCCAAATATCTTTTGTAGATTCTACAAAAGAAATGTTTGCAACATGGTGAATCAAAAAAAAGGTTTAATCTTCTAAATGAATCCACACATTGGAAAGCATTTTCCCAGATAGATTCTTGCTAGTTTTTATCACAGTATATTCGGTTTTTTGCTATTGGGCTCAATGGGCTCCCAAATGTCTTTTGTTGATTTTCCAAAAAGTGTGTTTCCAACCTGCTGAATAAAAAGAAAAGTTTAACTCTGTGAGATGAATCCACACATCAAGAATCATTTTCACAGAGCTTCTTTCTAGTTTTTGCTACAGGATATTCAGTTTTTCATTATAGGCCATAATGGGCTCCCAAATGTCCCTTCACAGATTCTACAAAAAAAAAAAAGTGTTTCCAAGCTGCTGACTCAAAAAAAAGGTTTAATTCTGTGACATGAATCCACACATCACAAAGCATTTCCAGAGATAGGTTCTTTCATGTATACATATGTAACAAACCTGCACATTGTGCACATGTACCCTAGAACTTAAAGTATAATAATAAAAAAAAAGAAAGAAAGAAAGAAACGATGCAAGCAAAAAAAAAAAAAGAAAAGAAATCTACCTGGTGGTCTACTCGAGTTCTGCTGAGTTGCCACCCAAGCCACAAATCCAAGTCCTTCCCACTATTGCCTTCCATTTCCACAAGCAAAAAAGTCTCTCCCCATGGCCACCACTGCCCCAGGCCTGCAATGAGTCCTGCCTGGGTACTGCCAATGTTCACTCAAGGCCCAGTGGCTCTTCAGTCATCTTGTGGTAAATGCTGCCATGCCTGAGACTCACCCTATTAAGGCAGTGGGCTTCCCTCTGGCCCAGGGCAGGTCCAGAAATACCATTCAAGATCCAAGGCCTGGAATCAGAGACCCCAAGAGCCTACTTGGTGTTCTGTCTCACTGGCTGAGCTGGTACCTGAGTTGCAAGACAAAGTGCCTTTTACTCTTCGCTTTACTCTTCTACTCCTTTTCTCAAGCAGAAAGAATCTATCCCCATAGCCACCACAGATGGGAATGTGGTGGATCAAATTTAAAACCAGTATGTCTCTGAGTATTACCCAAGGCATGGTGAGTACTGCCTGCCTACCATTACTGATTATTCAGGGTCCAAACGCTCTTTAGCCAGCAGATGATAAATTCTGCCAGGACTGGGTCCTTCTCTTCAAGGCAACTGGTTCCCTTCTGGCCCAAAGCATGTCTAGAAATGTCACTTGGGAGCTAGGGCTTGGAATGGCTGCCTCAAAACTCTGCCCAGTGCCCTAACCTACTGTGGCTGAGCTGGCATCCAAGTTGCAAGACAAAATCCTCTTTATTATTCCCTCTCTTCTCCTCAAGTGGAGGGAAGGAATCTCTCCCAGAGCTTTGAGCTGTGCTACCGGAGGTTGGGAGAGAAGTGGCACAAGCACTCCTTTGGCCACACTGGCTGGTGTTTCATTAGGTTGCATGTCGCCCAAGTCCACTGGCTCTGAGACCAGCACAGAACCAGGACTTGCTCAGCAGGTCTTGCTATTTCTTCTGCCCTAGACTGCCTTTCAAGTTTATTTAGGACCCCCAGAGCACTTTAGCCTGCCCTGAAAGGGCTTCCAGATGGGTGATTCTCCTCTGACTAGGTCTGTTCTAAATCCTCCTTCAATGGTCACCAGCTGAGTTCTGCATGGTGTTGCTTTCCACTGTGACAGGGTAGCACTGAGTTCCAATGCAAAGTCCCACAATCACTGCACTTTCCCTCCCATCAAGCACACAGATTCTCTCTCCACACCATACAGCCATTGCTGAGGGGGTTAAGGGAGGGGTTATGTAGGCAATTCAAGACTGTCCTTCCTAACTCTTCAGTGCCTCTTTCAGTTACCTGAAGTTAAACCAGGTACTGTGAATGCTCATCTGGTTTTTCTTTCTTATGAAGGTGCTTTTTTGTGTGAATAGTTGTTCAATTTGCTGTTCCTGTGGGGAGGACAATTGGTGAAGGTTTCTATTTGGCCATCTTGCCCCACTATTTTTCCTTTGTTATTGTTTCTTCCATTGTTCCCAGAATCTATGTGATCATCTAAAAAGTGTACTGGGATTAAAAATCAAATGAGAAATCAGAAACAAGAGGATATTTCTTGAATTGCCAGATTCCACTAAGCAGACAATTGGTTGAAGAGAAAGTCCTGAAGATGGACGGCCTAGTCTCCAGGATGGAAGACATTAGCTGTTAAGACTTTGTCCAGTATAAAGTAGGGGGAGAGATCTGGATGCTTCCTTTTCCCCTGCAGGATTCCACTTTTTCCATCTGCAGACCATAACCACCCCAGGTTGGGGGTCACTGGATTACAAAACCTACCTCCCTCAGGGCACACTCAAGAAACTAGTGCATTGTTATTTACAATTTAAAATAAATCTGAGGGGAAAAGAAAGAAAACAATATCCAAATTCAACATTTAAATTTAGCTAGCTAAATTTTTAGAAGAAAAAAACAGAAATGGAAATTGCCAGAGATGTTAGAAAATGTTTACGTGGACATTGTTAGAAAGCTCTGTTATGGCAAAAATAAAAAATAAAAACAGAGAGAAATGTTAATATACTGTCCTATTTTTCTATGAAGCAGTGCTAATATGAGAATCTGCACAATTTACTTCTCTGAAAAGCAAACTGGAATTGATTTATTTAATTTCTAATCTATAGATTTCCTCAGAAATCTTAAAAATAAGGAGAGCTAGGAACATAATTGTATTTTGCTGGATTCACAGATTATACCACTTCACTAATCATTTCAAGTTCGACCATGTCATGAAGTCTCCATCACTTCTTAGGAGGTCACCTCCCTCCCTGACAACTTACATAGTAGGCCTTAGCCTCCTTCCCCAAAGCTGTTCAGTGGGTACACTCAGAAGGGCCTCAACTGGAGAAACTGTAGTCAGCCACAC
Source organism: Homo sapiens (assembly GCF_000001405.40). Classification (NCBI taxonomy): domain Eukaryota; kingdom Metazoa; phylum Chordata; class Mammalia; order Primates; family Hominidae; genus Homo; species Homo sapiens. The sequence continues at coordinate 6,358 of NW_021159991.1, read as the reverse complement.
TCTCACTCTGCCCATAATATCAGGACCTTTGTTTTACCTCGGGATTTTGCAACAACAAGCATCTGTGAAGTCAGGACACATAGAAGCACTGGAATAATGATCATCAAGTTAAAGAGGATTAACATAACACCAATGTTCCACTAGTATTGTGTAATAATAACTATACTAACTTTTTGTTCACTTGCACACAGCACACTACTGTATGAAGGTGTGAAGGGATTTTTAAATATGTGTTTATTTTTATATATAACAAACACAGTATCTTTGGGAATATTAAACAGATACATTTGAATTTTACCCCCATTTCCCTCTACCTTTGGATCTCAGTTTCTTCTGAGCCATCTTCCAGTTCACAAATTCTGTTCAATTATTTGTTTATTCTGTTGTTAAATCATTCCACTGAATTCTTAATTTCAGTTATTGTATTTAAGAGTTCTACAATTTTTCTTTTTTTTATTTTATCTTCACTCTTTTTTTAATACTCTTCTTTTTTTATTATACTTTAAGTTCTAGGGTACATGTGCACAACGCACAGGTTTCTTACATATGTATACATGCGCCATGATGGGGTGCTGCACCCATTAACTCGTCATTTACATTAGGTATATCTCCCAATGCTATCCCTCCCCGCTTCCCCCACCCCTCAACAGGCCCTGGTGTGTGATGTTCCTCTTCCTGTGTCCAAGTTTTCTCATTGTTCAATTCTCACCTATGAGTGAGAATATGCAGTGTTTGGTTTTTTGTCCTTGTGATAATTTGCTGAGAATGACGGTTTCCAGCTTCATCCATGTCCCTACAAAAGACAAGAACTCATTCTTCTTTACGGCTGCATAGTATTCCATGGTGTATATGTGCCACATTTTCTTAATCCAGTCTATCACTGTTGGACATTTGGGTTGGTTCCAAGTCTTTCCTATTGTGAATAGAGTCGCAATAAACATATGTGTGCATGTGTCTTTACAGCAGCAAGATTTATAATAATTTGGGTATATACCCAGTAATGGGATGGCTGGGTCAAATGGTATTTCTAGTTCTAGATCCCTGAGGAATTGCCACACTGTCTTCCTCAATGGTTGAACTAGTTTACAGTCCCACCAACAGTGTAAATGTGTTCCTATTTCTCCACATCCTCTCCAGCACCTGTTGTTTCCTGACTTTTTAATGATCTCCATTCCAACTGGTGTAAGATGTTATCTCATTGTGGTTTTGATTTGCATTTCTCTGATGGCCAGTGATGTTGAGCATTTTTTCATGTGTTTTTTGGCTGCATAAATGTCTTTTTTGGAAAAGTGTCTGTTCATATACTTTGCCCACTTTTTGATGGGGTTGTTTGTTTTTCTCTTGTAAATTTGTTTGTGTTCATTGTAGATCCTGGATATTAGCCCTTTGTCGGATGAGTAGGTTGCAAAAATTTTCTCCCATTCTGTAGGTTGCCTGTTCACTCTGTTGGTAGTTTCTTTTGCTGTGCAGAAGCTTTTTAGTTTACTTAGGTCTCATTTGTCAATTTTGGCTTCTGTTGCCATTGCTTTTGGTGTTTTAGACATGAAGTCCTTGCCCATGCCTATGTCCTGAATGGTATTGCCTAGGTTTTCTTCTAGGGTTTGTATGGTTTTAGGTCTAACATGTAAGTCTTTAATCCATCTTGAATTGATTTTTGTATAAGGTGTAAGGAAGGGATCCAGTTTCAGCTTTCTACATAAGGCTAACCAGTTTTCCCAGCACCATTTATTAAATAGGGAATCCTTTCCCCATTCCTTGTTTTTGTCAGGTTTGTCAAAGATCAGATAGTTGTAGACATGCGACATTCTTTCTGAGGGCTCTGTTCTGTTCCATTGATGTATATCTCTGTTTTGGTACCAGTACCATGCTGTTTTGGTTACTGCAGACTTGTAGTATAGTTTGAGGTCAGGTAGCGTGATGCCTCCAGCTTTGTTCTTTTGGCTTAGGATTGACTTGGCGATGTGGGCTCTTTTTTGGTTCCATATGAACTTTAAAGTAGTTTTTTTCCAATTCTGTGAAGAAAGTCATTGGTAGCTTGATGGGGATGACATTGAATCTATAAATTACCTTGGGCAGTATGGCAATTTTCACGCCATTGATTCTTCCTACCCATGAGCATGGAATGTTCTTCCATTTGTTTGTATGCTCTTTTATTTCATTGAGCAGTGGTTTGTAGTTCTCCTTGAAGAGGTCCTTCACATCCCTTTGAGTTGGATTCCTAGGTATTTTATTCTATTTGAAGCAATTGTCAATGGGAGTTCACTCATGATTTGGCTTTCTGTTTGTCTATTATTGGTGTATAAGAATGCTTGTGATTTTTGCACATTTATTTTGTATCCTGAGACTTTGCTGAAGTTCCTTATCAGCTTAAGGAGATTTTGGGCTGAGACAATGGGTGTTTCTAGATATACAATCATGTCATCTGCAAACAGGAACAATTTGACTTCCTCTTTTCCTAATTGAATGCACTTTATTCCCTTCTCCTGCCTGATTGCCCTGGCAGAACTTCCAACACTATGTTGAATAGGAGTTGTGAGACAGGGCATCCCTGTCTTGTGCCAGTTTTCTTTTTTTTTAAGTTTTTTTTTCTTTTATTATTATACTTTAAGTTTTAGGGTACATGTGCACATTGTGCAGGTTAGTTACATATGTATACATGTGCCATGCTGGTGCGCTGCACCCACTAACTTGTCATCTAGCGTTAGGTATATCTCCCAATGCTATCCCTCCCGCCTCCCCCCACCCCACAACAGTCCCCAGAGTGTGATGTTCCACTTCCTGTGTCCATGTGATCTCATTGTTCAATTCCCACCTATGAGTGAGAATATGCGGTGTTTGGTTTTTTGTTCTTGTGATAGTTTACTGAGAATGATGATTTCCAATTTCATCCATGTCCCTACAAAGGACATGAACTCATCACTTTTTATGGCTGCATAGTATTCCATGGTGTATATGTGTCACATTTTCTCAATCCAGTCTATCATTGTTAGACATTTGGGTTGGTTCCAAGTCTTTGCTATGGTGAATAATGCCACAATAAACATGCATGTGCATGTGTCTTTATAGCAGCATGATTTATAGTCCTTTGGGTATATACCCAGTAATGGGATTGTTGGGTCAAATGGTATTTCTAGTTCTAGATCCCTGAGGAATCGCCACACTGACTTCCACAATGGTTGAACTAGTTTACAGTCCCACCAACAGTGTAAAAGTGTTCCTATTTCTCCACATCCTCTCCAGCACCTGTTGTTTCCTGATTGTTTAATGATTGCCATTCTAACTGTTGTGAGATGGTATCTCATTGTGGTTTTCATTTGCATTTCTCTGATGGCCAGTGATGATGATCATTTTTTCATGTGTTTTTTGGCTGCATAAGTGTGTTCTTTTGAGAAGTGTCTGTTCACTTCCTTCGCCCACATTTGATGGGGTTGTTTGTTTTTTTCTTGTAAATTTGTTTGAGTTCATTGTAGATCCTGGATATTAGCCCTTTGTCAGATGAGTAGGTTGCGAAAATTTTCTCCCATTTTGTAGGTTGCCTATTCACTCTAATGGTAGTTGCTTTTGCTGTGCAGAAGCTCTTTAGTTTAATTAGATCCCATTTTGTCAATTTTGGCTTTTGTTGCCATTGCTTTTGGTGTTTTAGACATGAAGTCCTTGCCCATGCCTATGTCCTGAATGGCAATGCCTAGGTTTTCTTCTAGGGTTTTTATGGTTTTAGGTCTAATGTTTAAGTCTTTAATCCATCTTGAAATGATTTTTGTATAAGGTGTAAGGAAGGGATCCAATTTCAGCTTTCTCCATGTGGCTAGCCAGTTTTCCCAGCACCATTTATTAAATAGGGAATCCTTTCCCCATTCCTTGTTTTTGTCAGGTTTGTCAAAGATCAGATAGTTGTAGATATGCAGCATTCTTTCTGAGGGCTCTGTTCTCTTCCATTGATCTATATCTCTGTTTTGGTAACAGTACCATGATGTTTTGGTTACTGTAGCCTTGTAGTATAGTTTGAAGTCAGGTAGCCTGATGCCTCTGGCTTTGTTCTTTTGGCTTAGGATTGACTTGGCGATGCGGACTCTTTTTTGGTTCCACATGAACTTTAAAGTAGCTTTTTTCAATTCTGTGAAGAAAGTCATCGGTAGCATGATGCGGATGGCATTGAATCTATAAATTACCTTGGGCAGTATGGCAATTTTCATGATATTGATTCTTCCTACCCATGAACATGGAATGTTCTTCCATTTGTTTGTATCCTCTTTTATTTCCTTGAGCAGTGGTTTGTAGTTCTCCTTGAAGAGGTCCTTCACATCCCTTGTAAGTTGGATTCCTAGGTATTTTATTCTCTTTGAAGCAATTGTGAATGGGAATTCACTCGTGATTTGGCTCTCTGTCTGTTGTTGGCGTATAAGAATGCTCGTGATTTTTGTACATTGATTTTGTATCCTGAGACTTTGCTGAATTTGCTTATCAGCTTAAGAGATTTTGGGCTGAGATGATGGGGTTTTTCTAGATATACAATCATGTCATCTGCAAACAGGAACAATTTGACTTCCTCTTTTCCTAATTGAATACCCTTTATTTCCTTCTCCTACCTAATTGCCCTGGCCAGAACTTCCATCACTATGTTGAATAGGAGTTGTGAGAGAGGACATCCCTGTCTTGTGCCATTTTTCAAAGGGAATGCTTCCAGTTTTTGCCCATTCAGTATGATATTGGCTGTGGGTTTGTCATAGATAGCTCTTATTATTTTGAAATACGTCCCATCAATACTTAATTTATTGGGAGTTTTTAGGATGAAGGGTTGTTGAATTTGGTCAAGGCCTTTTCTGCATCTATTGAGATAATCATGTGGTTTTTGTCTTTGACTCTGTTTATATGCTGGATTACATTTATTGATTTGCATATATTGAACCAGCCTTGCATCCCAGGGATGAAGCCCACTTGATCATGGTGGATAAGCTTTTTGAAGTGATGCTGGATTCGTTTTGCCAGTATTTTATTGAGGATTTTTGCATCAATGTTCATCAAGGATATTGGTCTAAAATTCTCTTTTTTGGTTGTATCTCTGCCCGGCTTTGGTATCAGAATGATGCTGGCCTCATAAAATAAGTTAGGGAAGATTCCCTCTTTCTCTATTGATTGGAATAGTTTCAGAAGTAAAGGTACCAGTTCCTCCTTGTACCTGTGGTAGAATTCGGCTGTGAATCCGTCTGGTCCTGGACTCTTTTTGGTTAGTAAGCTATTGATTATTGCCACAATTTCAGCTCCTGTTATTGGTGTATTCAGAGATTCAACTTCTTCCTGGATTAGTCTTGGGAGAGTGTATGTGTCGAGGAATTTATCCATTTCTTCTAGATTTTCTAGTTTATTTGCATAGAGGTGTTTGTAGTGTTCTCTGATGGTAGTTTGTATTTCTGTGGGATTGGTGGTGATATCCCCTTTATCATTTTTTATTGCATCTATTTGATTCTTCTCTCTTTTTTTCTTTATTAGTCTTGCTAGCGGTCTATCAATTTTGTTGATCCTTTCAAAAAACCAGCTCCTGGATTCATTAATTTTTTGAAGACTTTTTTGTGTCTCTATTTCCTTCAGTTCTGTTCTGAGTTTAGTTATTTCTTGCCTTCTGTTAGCTTTTGAATGTGTTTGCTCTTGCTTTTCTAGTTCTTTTAATTGTGATGTTAGGGTGTCAATTTTGGATCTTTCCTGCTTTCTCTTGTGGGCATTTAGTGCTATAAATTTCCCTCTACACACTGCTTTGAATGTGTCCCAGAGATTCTGGTATGTTGTGTCTTTGTTCTCATTGGTTTCTAAGAACATCTTTATTTCTGTCTTCATTTCGTTATGTACCCGATAGTCATTCAGGAGCAGATTGTTCTGTTTCCATGTAGTTGAGCGGTTTTGAGTGAGTTTCTTAATCCTGAGTTCTAGTTTGATTGCAGTGTGGTCTGAGAGATAGTTTGTTATAATTTCTGTTCTTTTACATTTGCTGAGGGGTGCTTTACTTCCAAGTATGTGGTCAATTTTGGAATAGGTGTGGTGTGGTGCTGAAAAAAATGTATATTCTGTTGATTCAGGGTGGAGAGTTCTTTAGATTTCTATTAGGTCCGCTTGGTGCAGAGCTGAGTTCAATTCCTGGGTATCCTTGTTGACTTTCTGTCTCGTTGATCTGTCTAATGTTGACAGTGGGGTGTTAAAGTCTCCCATTATTAATGTGTGGGAGTCTAAGTCTCTTTGTAGGTCACTCAGGACTTGCTTTATGAATCTGGGTGCTCCTGTGTTGGGTGCATATCTATTTAGGATAGTTAGCTCTTCCTGTTGAATTGATCCCTTTACCATTATGTAATGGCCTTCTTTGTCTCTTTTG